>NC_000011.10:119293636-119596667 GCF_000001405.40 Homo sapiens | reverse complement strand
GCAGGGGCTCACGCCTGTAGTCACAGCACTTTGGGAGGCCGAAGCGGGCATATCACTTGAGGCCAGGAGTTCAAGACCAGCCTGGCCAAAGTGGCAAAATCCCATCTCTACTAAAAATACAAAAATTAGCTGGGCATGGTGGTGTGCACCTGTAATCACAGCTACTCAGGAGACTGAGGCAGGAGAATCCTGAACTCAGGAGGCAGAGGTTGCAGTGAGCTGAGATCGCACCATTGCACTCCAGCCTGGGTGACAGAGTGAGGCTCTGTCTAAAAAAAAAAAAAATTAAAAAAAAATTAACTACTTGAGACTGGGTAATTTATAAAGGAAAGAAGTTTAATTGACTCACAGTTCTGCATGGCTGGGGAGGCCTCAGGAAACTTACAATCATGGCAGAGGGTGAAGGGGAAGCAAAGCACCTTCTTCACAAGGTGCCAGGAGAGAGAAGTGCCAGCAGGGGAAATGCCAGACACTTATAAAACCATCAGATCTCGTGTGAGAACTCACTATCATGAGAACAGCATGGGGAAACCGCCCCTGTGATCCAATCACTTCCTACAAGGTCCCCCTCATGACATATGGGGATTGTGGGAACTACAATTCAAGATGAGATTTGGGTGGAGACACAGCCAAACCATATCATTCCACTTTCTGAGAGATTTGTTTGGGCTCAGGAAACAATACCCCAAAATGAAGGCCTCAGCAGCAGCCTCAGAAGCAAAAGCTCTTCTCTGATCTTCTCCTGCCCATTGTCTGTCAGTCCAGTTCTCCCTCAAGGCCAGCCACAGAAACAAGAATCCTTTTTCCCCAAAGCCAGCCATGAAACCTAAAAAGATTACTCTCATTTTCCCTTTGCCTTTCTGCATAAAAAACTGCGCATAAAGAAATTATCTGACCTACCTTGTTAGATTGAAGGTTGTGAGACCCCCTAATCCAGAGAGGGTCCCGATGCGCACACCCAACGGAAGGAAAGCATTCTCAGAGAGGCCGAGAAGAATCTGGACAGACAACCCTGCTGGGTTTCCCCACTCAGTCTATCAGCATTAGGTCAGACCCTCTTTCTTTCTATCGTATTTCTACATAGCTGTTCATACTCGTCTTTTGCATGTTAAATTTTCCTCAAAACTCCAGAAGTTCGAGGGCTTTGGCCCCCACATTTCCTAGACCTTATCCTCTAATGCTTCTACTGAAATTTTCAATTTCTCCTGTTATATTTTTAATTTCTAAGAGCTCTTTTTTGTTCTTTTATATAGCATCCATTTCTTATTTCATGCAATTATCTTCACTTATCTATCTAAAGATATTAATAATAGTTCTTCAGAAGTTTTCTTCTTCCTACATCGCACTTAGCACTGCTGAGTTGCTTATTGTCTTGTTTGTCTTGACTTTCCCGCATTATTAGCTCCTGTGTGAGAGTTGGGGACCGACTGTTAATTGGAAGCTCTTAGTGGGTGAGTGGGACCTGTCTGACCATGAGATCCCTGTAGGGTGAATGGCTATGTAGTTGGGGAACCTCTGATGTCTGTATCTTTAAATCTTTCCTCTTGAGCTAACCAGATTCCCCAGAAAAAAACTCTTCCAGTCTTTGGCTTAGAAAGTAAAGGCCTGACTGTCAGCATTCTCAGGAGAGGGATATGGAGGCGTCAGGCTCCTATATGCATAAGTTCATTTTGAAGAGACCAAAAACACAAAAGGAGAAACAGAAAGATATATGATCTGCATGTTCCTTATCTGACTAAAACACAGCTTTATGTGAGTCAGCGGCCACAACCCTGCCCCCCTCCCACCCTCCAGGGAGGTCAACTGACCTTGGACACTACGACATTCCAAAAAAATTGTGTAAAGAAACTTCATCAGAACCTCCCATACTTGAAGCCCTAACCCCTTCTTTTGTTAACCATGTATAAACCTTTTACTCTTGCTGTCCAGCAAGGCACTCACTACTGACTGCTCCTGCACATTTGTCTTTTCTCCTGTTAATCTGTCTAATGTCCATCCATTTGCAGGGCCCCAACTACACAGACCCAAGCTGGTAGAGAGGAAGTTTTTTCTTCCAACAGTTTCATCTCTTTCCCCTTTTTTTTTGTTAACATAGTATCTCTATCCTCAACCTGGTATCCCCCAATCCAGAGATCCCGTTTTACCATTTCCAAGAACAAACCTCAGTCTTCTGCCAGCATGGAGAAACAGCAATTATCCACTGCTATAGTTTACTCTTTTTTTCTTTTTTGAGACAGTCTCACTCTGTTGCCCAGGCTGGTGTGCAGTGGTGTGATCACAGCTCACTGTAGCCTTCATCTCCTGGGCTCAAGGGATCCTCCCACCTCAGCCTCCCAGGTAGCTAGGACTACAAGTGTACATCACCATGCCCAGCTAATTTTTTAATGTTTTGTAGAGAAGGGTCACACTGCCAGGCGCGGTGGCTCACGCCTGTAGTCCCAGCACTTTGTGAGGCTGAGGCAGGTGGATCACGAGGTCAGGAGTTCAAGGCCAGCCTGGCCAACATGGTGAAACCCTATCTCTACTAAAAATACACAAATTAGCTGAGCGTGGTGGCAGGTGCCTGTAATCCCACCTACTCAGGAGGCTGAGGCAGGAGAATTGCTTGAACCTGGGGGGCAGAGGTTGCAGTGAGCCAAGATTGCACCACTGCACTCCAGCCTGGGCGACAAAATAAGACTCTATCTAAAAAAAAAAAAAAAAAAAAAAAAAAAAAGAGAGAGAGAGAGAAGGGTCATACTATGTTGCCCAGGTTAGCCTCTAACTCTTGGCCTCAGGTGATTTTTCCTGCCTCTTATAAAACCTGACACTTATAAAACCATCAGATCTCATGAGAACTAACTCACTATCATGAGAACACCATGGGGGAAACCACCCCTCTGCTGAGGTTTAGCCTCCCAAAGTGCTGAGATTACAGGCACGAGCCATTGTGCCCAGCCACTGCTATGGTTTGAATCTGTTCCCCAAGTTTCACGTGTTGGAAACAGTCTTCAAATTTATATGTCAATTGGAGGTGGGGCCTTTGGGAGATTCTTAGGATTAAGTAAGATCATCAGAGTGAAACTCCTTCTTATAAAGCCACCAGTCCCATCAGGGAAAAGAGACCTGAACTGACATGTATGCTCCTGCCCTCTTGCCATGTGATGCCCTCCACCATGCTATGACACAGCAAGAAGGCCCTTGCAGAAACTGAGCAGATGATGACACCATGTTCTTGGACTTCCCAACCTCCAGAATTATAAAAAATAAATTTATTTTCTTTATAAATTACCCAGTCTCTGTTTTTGTTTGTTTGTTTGTTTGTGACAGCACCTCATTCTGTCACCCAGGCTGGAGTGCAGTGGTGCAGTCTTGGCTCACTGCCACCTCTACCTCCCAGGTTCAAGTGATTCTCCTGCCTAAGCCTCCCAATTAACTGGGATTACAGGTGTCTGCCACTACACCTGGCTAATTTTTGTATTTTTAGTAGAGACAGCGTTTCACCATGTTGGCCAGGCTGATCTCAAACTCCTGACCTCAAGTGATCTGCCTGCCTCAGCCTCCTAAAGTGCTGGGATTACAGGCATGAGCCACTGCACCCGGCCCAAGAGCTCCTTATTTAACTCCCTTCCTCACTCTACTTTCCAGCAACAGTAGTGTCACCAATGCCTGAGACTCTGGAGGGGTTTTGGAGAAAGGGGGTGGGAATTGGCTTTTTAGCTTTCCCCTCTTTCAGTTTGGGCTTCAGCTTTTCCCAGTCTACTCAGTTTACTCATTCATTGCTTTACAGTTTCCAAACTTGGGCTGCTGTTGTCTTCTCTCCCATTATTTCTGGCACAGGGCAAACCCCAAAATTGGGGCTCAGCCCGGGAGGCCACGTGGGTTCTTGGCTTTGTGCAGGAAGAAATTCAAGCACAGGAAGGAATTCAAGAGCAAGCAGAATAAAGTGAAAGCAAGTTTATTAAGAAAGTAAAGGAATAGGCTGGGCACGGTGGCTCACCCCTATAATCCCAGCACTTTGGGAAGCCGAGGCACGTGGATCACCTGAGGTCAGGAGTTCCAGACCAGCCTGGCCAACATGGAGAAACCCCATCTCTACTAAAAATACAAAAACTAGCAGGGCGTGGTGGCGTGCACCTGTAATCCCAGCTACTGGGGAGGCTGAGGCAGGAGAATCACTTGAACCCAGGAGGCGGAGGTTGCAGTGAGCCAAGATCGTGCCACTGCACTCCAGCCTGGGCAACAGAGCAAAACTCCATCTCAAAAAAAAAAAAAAGAAGAAAACTAAAGGAATAAAAGGTGGTTATTCCATAGGCAGAGCAGCCTTTGAGGGCTGTTGGCCGGCTATATTTATAGTTAATTCTTGATTATATGCTAAATATGGGGTTGATTATTCATGAGTTTTCCAGGAAAGGGGCAGAGATTTCCCAGAACTGAGGGTTCCTCCTTCTTTTAGACCATATAAGGTAACTTCTGGATGTGCGATGGCATTCGTAAACTGTCATGGCGCTAGTGAGAGTGCCTTTAGCATGCTAATGCATTGTAATTAGCATATAATGAGCAGTGAGGACAATCAGAGATTGCTTTTGTTGCCATCTTGGTTTTGGCAGGTTTTGACTGGCTTCTTTGCCACATCCTGTTTTATCAGCAGTGTCCTTGTGACCCGCATCTTGTAAAACAAGTCCTGCCGAATTTCTGTCTCATCTCCACCTTTATGGGTTTCTGATTTTTAAAAAATCCCTTTATAGTCACTTTAGGGTTTTCAAGAAGAGCAAGATGAATTGTGTGCATTCAATTCACCATCTTTACTGGAAGTCTCCATCTGCATTCCACCTTTGAACTGATGGGCTTATGCCTTTTAATAAAATCCTTTTACTGTTATTTCCATGGGCTTTGGGGAGTGTAAACTAATGAATGGGTTCAACTTGCCATCTTTAACTGGAACTGATTTGTTTGTTATTAAACTTTGCTCTAGACATAAATGTCTATCTCCCCACTTACAGCACTTACTGTGGTGAGCTTCTTAAGAAGAATTTTTTGTTTTTTTGTTTTTTGCCTCAAAAGCCAGCACAACGGCTGGATACTAAAGACTTATGACTGGGCCTAGGTTTTCATGTTATTTAAACTACCTTCCCTTCTCCTCCACAAATGTGCATTCAACAAATATTTACCAAATATTTAGTAAGCATCTACTGTTTGTCAGGTAATATTCAGGCCCCAGGCACACAGCAGAAGTCAAGTCCGACTGAGTTGATGCTCACATGGAACTTGCATTCAGCTCTGTTAAAATATTCTCTAGGAGCTTATTACTTCTCAAGGCAGCCCACCCTATCAGCTCCTGCTGAAAACTGGTTTCCCATTACTTTCGCTCATTGGTCCAAATTCCTCCTGGCAGAGGCTCCCTCTTCTGTAGGATAGACCTCCAGTTAAGTAAAGATGATCTGTGATTCTGTTTTCTTCATACTTTCCTTCAACCACTCATACAGTTCCGGCGCCTCCTCCCACAATGAAGTCACGAAACACTCAGGATGCTCCCCCATTCTCTTCCTTCTTCTCTGTGAGTAGGAAAGTGGGATAAAGTCAAAAATAATATATTTAGTCTTTGTCCCAGGTTCCTGGCACAGAGCTTCAAAAACCCTCAGAAGTTTGAATGACAGGAATGTCTTTTGTTATTCATAATGAGCCCTTTTCAGCCACACCTGAGTTTATGCTAATGAGATGACTCACAGCAGATCCCCTAGACAGTTTCAGAACAGAGGCTGGTTCTCAGGAAAACCAACCAAGGGATTAAAGAGTTGGAACTTTCAGCCCCTCCCCTCTCCCTTCCACCTCCAGGAAAAGATGGAGATGGAGTCCAGTCACATGGCCAATGATTAAATCAATCATGCTTACATAATGAAACCTCAACAGAAACTCTGAACAACAAGGCTTGGAGAACTTCCTGGTTGGTAAACATACTAATATTGGCATACCAGAAGGGTGGCACACCCTGACTCCAACAGAAGCTTTTGTGCTTGGGACTCTTCCAGACCTTGCTGTGTGTGCATGTTCATCAGGCTGTTTATTTGTATCTTTTACAATAAAATGGTAATTGTAAATATAATGCTTCCAGTGAGTTCTCTGAGTCATTCTTTATCAACCCAAAATGAGGGTGTAGAGGAACCCCCGAATTTATAGCTGGGCAGGCAGAAGTGTGAGTGGCTTGAGGACACCCAGGACTTGTAGTTGGTACCTGAAGTGGGCAGTCTTGCGGGACTAAGCCCCTTAACCTGTGGGATTTGTGCTAACGCCAGGTAGCTGATGTCAGAATTGAATTGGATTGAATTGAATTGAATTGAATTGAATTGAATTGAATTGAATTGAATTGAATTGAATTGAGTGACATCCAGTCGGTGTCAGGGGACTGGTGTGGGAAGGCAGAAAGGGAGCCTGCTGTGATGCTCGGCACCCCAATATCTTTCCCTCTTGGCCTCATGCTCTCTGCCCAGCCAAAGAGAACTCAATTTACCCTTGGAGCACCATTGTTTGATGGGATGGGCCTAGGGCTCTGAAAACAGCTTCCTTCCTTCTCCAATTGTGTGTACTGCAATCTGTTTCCCATTATTTCCCATTATTTCTCTGTTTGAAGGAAGGTTTACTTATCATCTCCAATGACTGTAAAACCCATCAGAGTTGTCTTGGCTCCTGTGAAATGTCCAGCAAATATGGGCATTCAGGGGATGCTCAGTAATGGTGCTTGGCATGTGTTAGCTTGGCATGCATTAATTTGCCCTTTGAAGAGATCCTGCCCCTCCTCCACCCTCCTTCCCTCCTGCAGACTCCCATGAAAGCTTTCATGAGTGCTCAGAGGGTCCTCACTGGAATGAGTCCTAGAGGCCCAAGTCTAACTTTTGTTGGATTGGGAGGAACCCACGTGGATACATATCACAACTTCAGTTTTTGTTGGTTGTTTTTGAGGCTGTTGTTTTGGTTTACCATGGAACATGCACCTGTATGTGCAGGGGTGGGGGTGGTTTGATGAGTGATATGGATGCTGAGGTGTCTGGCCAGGCATCCCACTTCCTGCAAGACAGGAGTAGGAATAACAACTCACATCTGCACATCCCTCTACAGACTATCAAGTTCCTTCCCACACCAAAGAGCATCCTCCCAACCTGTGTTTGTCTGTAACCCTAACCAATATCCCAGTTTTACAGATGGGAAAAATAAGGCTAAACAAAATTAGGTAACAGCTAGCAAATGAAGAGATCTCAGGTCTTCTGACTGCAGATCTCTTGAGCTTTCCGTTCCACCATTCTGTGACCCACCTGAAGGCAGAAGGAATCACAGTGGGTAGGCAGAGAGAAAGGTGCAGGATCCTTCTTTCCCTGTCATCTCCCTTCTGTCCCTCACACTGTAGCTCTTGCCTCACTGGCTCCAATGCACAGAGCCAATTATGTGCCTCTGCCAAGCACACTCCAGCTGTGGGGTGGGAATGGCAGAGAAGAGCCAGAGACTAAAAAGCATGTGCACCCATTAGCCAGCAGTCCACAGCATTGGGTTGGGAGGGGGAACAGCTGGCATTGGCTGCAACAATACCCTCTTTCCTTAGTTTTAGCCCTTTCCAAGCTTCTGCCCCTTGCAATTTGCTCTCCAAAATTGCCCCAACCAAGAGAGGCCACTTTTAGGCTGATTCAGAAAAAGACCAAGAGTGGGCTTACTCAGTCCTTTCTGGACAAGGGGGAACTGACAAAGCTCCTTTCAGGAATCTCTGGGCCTGACTCTCTAATCTTTTTTTTTTTTTTTTTTTTTTTTTTTTTGAGACAGAGTCTTGCTCTGTGGCCCATGCTGGAGTGCAGTGGCGTGATCTCTGCTCACTGCAACCTCTGCTTCTTGGGTTAAAGAAATTCTCCTGCCTCAGCCTCCTGAGTAGCTAGGATTACAGGTGTGTGCCACCACACCTGGCTAATTTTTTTGTTTGCTTTGTTTTTTTTTTTTCTTTTTGAGACAGAGTCTCATTCTGTCACCCAGGCTGGAGTGCAGTGGCGCAATCTTGGCTCACTGCAACCTCTGCCTCCCGAGTTCAAGCGATTCTTCTGCCTCAACTTCCTGAGTAGCTGGGATTACAGGCGTGCACCACCACGCCCAGCTAATTTTTGTAATTTAAGTAGAGACGGGGTTTTACTGTGTTGCCCAGCTGGTCTTGAACTCCTGGCCTCAAGTGATCTGCCCACCTCGGCCTCCCAAAGTGCTGGGATTACAGGTGTGAGCCACTGCTCCTGGCCAGATCCCCTAATCTTAACCCTTGTGTCCAGCCCATCAACCTGGAGCAGGAAGTGGAAGGAGGGAAGGGCACTGGGACCACTTTCTTTGCTTTGGGCTCGTCCTACTGCCAGAGGCTCAGCAGGGCCACCATATCTGATGGCAGAGTAAGTGCTTATAACTTAGTGCTAACGTCAGGGGCTCTGAGACCAAGTGCTATCAACATTGATCTTATTTTTACCAGAGAAGAAAGTCCAGAGTTAGATATAAAAAGTCTTACATTATTTAAATATGAATATCATCTTTGTCTGTTTTGTGCTGCTCCCACAGAATACCTCAGACTGGGTAATTTATAGTGAATAGAAATTTACTGGCTTATGGTTCTGGAGGCTGGGAAGTCCAAGACTGAGGGGGTGGCGTCTGGTAAGCCCTTGCTGCACCATAGCATGGCAGAAGGCATCACATGGGTGAGCGAGAGAGAGCGGGAGAGACAGAGAGAGGAGGTGGGGGAGAGAGAGGGGGGAGGAAGAGGGTGAAGACAGAGAGAAGGGCTAACCTCTTTTTATAAGGAACCCATTCCTGAGACAATGGCCAATGGCATTAATCCATTCATGAAGGCAGACCCCTCATGGCTAACCACCTCTTAAAGATCCTGCCTCTTTCTTTTTCTTTCTTTCTTTCTTTTTTTTTTTTTTTTTTTTTTGAGACAGAGTCTTGCTCTGTCACCCCAGCTGGAGTGCAATGGCATGATTTTAGCTCACTACAACCTCCGCCTCCCAGTTTCAAGTGATTCTTCTGCCTCAGCCTTCCAAGTAGCTGGGATTACAGGCACACATCACCACATCCAGCTAATTTTTGTATTTTTAGTAGAGGTGGGGTTTCACCATGTTGGCCAGGCTGGTCTCGAACTCCTGACCTCATGATCTGCCCATCTCACCCTCCCAAAGTGCTGAGATTACCGGTGTGAGCCACCATGCCCAGCCTCTTTTTCTGTTTTTTTAGAGACGAGGTCTCACTCTGTTGCCCAGGCTGGGGTACAATGGCACAATTATAACTCACTGCAGCCTCAAACTTCTAGGCTCAAGCCATCTTCCCACCTCAGTCTCAGCCTCCCGAGTAGCTGGCACCAACTACCTGCTAATAGCCATACTACAAACACCCAGCTAATTTTTTATGTTTTTACTTTTTGGAGATGGGGTCTCATTATGTTGCCCAGGCTGGTCTCAAACTCCTGGCCTTAAGCGATTTTCCCACCTCAGCCTCCTAAATAGCTGGAATTACAGGATGAACCACCGTATTAAGAGGCTCGCCTCTTAATATGGTTACAATAGCAATTATGCCTCCAACACATGCTTTTGGGAGGGACACATTCAAACCATAGCAAATACCTTCTGAAAAGTTGACCTGAACATTTACATAAGCTGTCACCCGGGAACTTATCTTCTAATGCAGGTGTAAATGACTATTAGAGATACTTTGCTGAAAACTTGGTGAAGAAGCAGAGAGCATGAGGATGTTAAGCCCCTTTAGAGAGTAGAGAAGGTGTGGCACGGGAAGGGAGAGCTAGCTAGGATACTGAGGAAAGGCTGAGTCTTCTTCACACAGCTTGGTGAAGGTTTCCTCGGCACCCAGATCCCAGCCTCTTTCTTGCAATGGATCAAGATGACTTGGTGACATTCTCTGCCACCCTAACTTCCATCTGATCATATTTTCCCCGCCTACACCATGTTTTAAGCTTAAGGAATAGTTTTAAGTGGATTCCTGCCCGCTCCCTCCAGCTTTCTCATTCTAGGGCCCCCCCTGGCTTTTTTTTTTTCCTGGGGTGGGGGAGGCGGTTGAGACCTGCTTAATTTATTCCAATGACACAACCGTGATCCCAAAGTGTGCAAAGTTAAAGCCTTCAATTGCAGCTGAGCAGAGGGCAGGAATGGTACACCTGGGGATGGTGGTGAGTCAGGAATGACAGGCAGGCGGCCATGACCAGGGCAGCCTCCTCCCCACATGGCCAGGGACAGGGGAGTGGCCTGAGGAGCAGGACCCAAGGGTAGCCCCGGGCTGGGGAAGGGGGCAGAGACCTCCCCTTGGCCTAGGGCCACTTTGATGGCCCTGTTCCGTGTGGCATGGGTGGGGGGGGCGATTCATCCGCTACTGTATGTGAAGAAGCTGGGAAGGTGGGCTTGGTGAAGGAGTAGTAAGTGTCACCTGGGCTGGGAGCTAAAGAGTAGATATTTTCTGATTTGAGAAGACATCTGAATGAGACCAGATGGAAAAGGCATCCATCTCTTGATTTGTACAGGTGAATTACCCACACTGCGGCTTCACTGGGGGCAAATTATCCACATTCATGTTGAGAGCATCCTCCCTTCTGTTTGTCCTATACTTTCAAGAACTCAGAAGAACCCACACAATCTCAAACAGTTCATGGAGTAAAAGGCAGTCAGTTCTAAGGGAAGCTGGCGCACCCATCGGGCTGTCCTTGGCATGGGTAGTAACATTAAGCAGGCTGATGGGAAGGAAGGTGGGGACCCCTTAAATTCTCCTATATTAACCCTCCAAAGGAGGTTCTTCATTCCAGCCTTTTGAGAGCCTGAGTCTGGGATCACTCAGGTTTATCCCGGGTCAGTCCTTCCAACACCTCTTCATCTCAAGTAGCTTGGATTAGCCACTTCAACACCCCACTGAGTTGGCTTCAAGCAATAATCTGGACAATGAAGAGAGGATCAGGGCCACTCCACAGCCTAGAAAGTGTGGTTTCTGGGCCCTACCCAGCTTCAGGGCCTAAAAGCCACTCTTAGCTCTTCCCAAGATATCTCCAGAATCAGAATGAGAGAGCTGCATGGAAGCGACCCCAGGCCCTGTGCGGTGTGGTCAGAGTCCAAGGCCAGGGCGCTTGCCCCAGTCACATAAATGGTTAGCAAAAGCCAGGGTGCGGCCCTAGTCCCACCCTCCCCCAGCCCCGAGGGGTCCTTCCAGAACTGCCACCTGAACAGGTGGCTGCTCCGGTGCTGAACCCCTGCCGAGCTGCGGGTGACCTTGGACATCCACCAAAGTCCCTGCGGCGGGGGGCGGGGTCCGCCCGAGCTCTAGCTCGGTATAGGGGGCTGCCGCAGCCTGATCACGTCTCCGCCTCCCTGACTGGGCTGGCTCGTCGCCTGCTGCTCCCTGGCAGCTGTCTGCCGCTGCCGGGAAGGTGATTGCCATGTTTGCAGCTCCTTTCCTTGTTTGGAAAGATCTGGAGGCAGGTGAGGCTGCCGGGAAAGCGCGACTGACAGGTTGTGATCTGCAGGTTTCGGCGCCGGGCTCCGAGCTCCAGGCAGTCTGGGGAAGGCTGTCCGTCTGCTGCGGGCTGCGTTCTGCCTCTGCGCCCCGTACGTGCCCCCTCTCGCGGACCGGGTGCCGGCCTTTTCCTCTGGGCCCCGCAGGCCCCCCACAGCCACCAGACCCCAGCCAGGGTCGCCTGGCCCTCCCTCTGGACCCGAGAGACCCCTAAACAAACCCCCAGCCCCACGAGCCGCCCTCCTCCACGGGCAGTCCTTCCCGGTGTCTGACTCAAATCTCCGGCTCTGGCACGACGCCGCGTCTCTGTAGGAAGGAGCATTGTGCGGTCGTGCCGGTTCCTTCCCGCGCACTTGGAGGGACCCACCTAGCAATCAGTCACGCTGGCATTTTTCTCCGAGCCGACAAGGCAATTTGTGAGGAGCAGGGCTTTCTCGCCGGCTGGATGCTAAGTGGGAGCAGAGGAGGTGGGCGTGGGGGGCGTTCTAAAGAGATACCCAAATTAAACATCCAATCTGCCATGTCCTGTGTCACTCAAGGCGATTCATTTTCTCCCTGGCTCCCGCTGGGGCGGCTCCCAGAAGCGCCAGGACGTGGAGCTGCGGTCGTTGGCGGCGCGTCGCCTCCTCCGCGGAGAACAAACGGACGTCCCGCGGCCCCCGCCCCACCGCAGCTCTAAGAGCCTGCGCCCCTGAGCTCCGCCGCGCGGAGCCGCGGAAGAGGGAATCGGAGGACACAATGGGCAGGAGGAGGGGCTTGGGGGTTTCTAGGCGCCCCCCCTCTTCCATTATCTGCCTCAATAACTCAGCAGGAGGTTGGGCCGGAAGCTGAGGGTTTGTGCGTGGCTGAGTTTGCACATTCCAGAACCTAGAAGTGGCTCCCATACTGCCTTCTAGGCCCCGCGTGCTGCTCTGCTCTGAGTTGGAGTCCTCCTCCAACCATCCAACTAGTGCCCAAGCCTGCCATTCCTGCATTCAGGCCAAGGAGGAGGGGCTAGGGGCTCAGAGGATGCAACTCTCACCCTTGCAAATGGCATTTTTTTTTTTTCTGAGACAGAGTCTCACACTGTCACCCAGGCTGGAGTGCAGTGGTGCAATCTTGGCTCACTGCAACCTCTGCCTCCTGGATTCAAGCCATTCTCCTGCCTCAGTCTCTCGAGTAGCTGGGATTACAGATGCATGCCACCACGCCCGGCTAATTTTTGTATTTTTAATACAGATGGGGGTTCATAATGTTGGCCAGGCTGGTCTTGAACTCCTGACCTCAGATGATCCACTCGCCTCAGCTTCCCAAAGTGCTGAGATTACAGGCGTGAGCCACCACACCCTGCCTGCAAATGGCTTTTTGATGAACCCCATGTGTGCAGTGTTGCTCCCCAAGGTCCCAAGTTTCTCTGGAGAACATCCCCACTCAGCCAGGAGGAGGCGCTCTGTCCAGGTTTGGAGAGGTGAAAACATTTCCCAGTGGAAAACCAAAGATGAGTTGGCCTCAGAAGACCAGGGAGGAGAGAGAAAGGAGGCAGATCCCAGGAGTCCTGACTCCCAGTTCCCGAGGGCTCACAGCTGGCTAATGGCTACTGCAACTGGGTTACCTGCAGCTCACCTCCCAGGTCCCACCTCTCCCCAGGTCTAAGATCAAAAGCCCTGGCTCTCTAGAGCTCATCCTGTCCAACCTTGCTGCATCCAGAGCAACCCTCCACTAGACAGGCTGCCAGCACCTGAGCAAGAGAAGAGGGGCAGGGAAACATGAGAAAAGACGAAGCATGAGGCTGGGTTTCCTTTAAGATTGCAGTTTGGGCGCAGTGGCTCATGTCTCTAATCCCAGCACTTTGGGAGACCAAGGCGGGTGGATCACGAGATCAGGAGATCGAGACCATCCTGGCCAACATGGTGAAACCCCATCTCTACTAAAAATACAAAAATTAGCTGGGCGTGGTGGCATGCACCTGTAGTCCCAGCTACTCAGGAGGCTGAGGCAGGAGAATCGCTTGAAACCGGGAGGTGGAGGTTGCAGTGAGCTGAGATTGCACCACTGCACTCCAGCCTGGCGAAAGAGCGAGACTCCATCTCAAAAAAAAAAATAGATCTCGGTTTGTGCCCAGGTAAGAGAAGGAGCAGACACCACATTAGATTCTGGGCTCCTTCACCCAGAATGGCAGCAACATATCTTTGGCTCTATACATCTTGTGCTGGCTTCTAGTCTCGTCTCTGACACTAGTTTTCTCTGTGAATTGTAGGAGACCAAAATATGACTGTAGGGGACCAGAATATACCACCCTAGCATATGCCTCTCTGGCATAAGGATTATTTTGAGTTAATTATTTTGAGAATCTGCAGACACAGGAGAAACTGAAAACAGAGTAGAAGTTACCCTTTCATATGGGAAATTTACATTTACAAAGGAAATCTCCCTTTGTAAGGATGTCTCCCTCTCTGTACCAGGAAGAGAAGGATGTCTCCAAATCACTAGAGACTTATCAATGGATAAGCACTGACTTTAATATGCATAGCAAACCTTACCCTTGTTTACTGTGCTTTTCCTGGTCACCTCCCCATAACTGGCCTCCCTCATACCCTTCTTTCTTCGTTTCAGCTGAAGATGGTATTTCAGCCTGAATTCTAAACCACTTCCTTGAGATGTACTCCTTTTTCCCTGGGCATCTCCCATGTGTACATGAGGTATAGAGGTTAATAAACTTCTGTTTGTTTTTCTCTTGTTAATCTGTCTTTTGTTACAGGTGTTCCAGCCAATGAACCTAAGAAAGGTGGAAGGAAAAGGTATTTTTCCTCCTCTACAGAATCTGGATGACCCAGGGGCTCCTGTCTTCCTTAGTTTCCTATTTCTAAACAAGGACTTTGAATATTGATGCCTGAGCGTTTTTTCCAAATTCTTTTCTCACTGAACTCCCTCTGAGCCCTTGCCTCATGGTGTGGGGCAGTAGAGAACATGGTGAGAAAAGAAAAATAGCTCAGAGCGGTCTAAGCCCTGCAAAACTGATCAGGCCCTGAGAGACAGGAGTTTGGGAATTCAGTCATACACATCCCTCCTCATACTCCACCCAGGCCCAGGAGCAATTGTTCAAAGGGATTCTGTTCCTGACTAGCTGCCTCACCCATTATCTTCAGGTTCCTAAATTTGTGATACAAAGAATAGCAAATGACGAATGAACAGCTTATGTTGTTGTTATTATTATTATTACTTGTTTTTTAGAGACAGGGTCTCACTCTGTTGTCCAGGCTGGAGGGTAGTAGCATGATCATTGCTTACTGAAGCCTCAACCTCCTCTACTCAAGCAATCCTCCTGCCTCAGCCTCTGGAGTAGCTGGGACTACAGCCAGGTACTACCATACCCAGGTAATTTTTTTTTTTAAGACCCAATCTCACTCTGTCACCCAGGCTGCAGCACAGAGACACGATCTTGGCTCATCAAAACCTCTGCCTCCCAGATTCAAGCAATTCTTGTGCCTCAGCCTCCCCAGTAGCTGAGATTACAGGCGTGTGCTACCACGCCTGGCTAATTTTTTGTATTTTTAGTGGAGACAGGGTTTTTGACATGTTGCCCAGGCTGGCCTTGCTCTCCTAGGCTCAAGCAATCCACCAGCCTCAGCCTCTCAAAGTGCTGGGATTACAGGTGTGAGACACTGTGCCTGGCCTTTTTTTTTTTTTTTTTTTTTTTTTTTTTTTATAGAGACAGGGGTCTCACTCTGTTGCCCAGCTTATCTTAGTGTAGATTCTTGGTAAACAACCTGTGAACTGCCTCTTCTTTTCTTTTGAAAACCCACTTGTAACTGCTGCTAATTAAGCTTATATTCAGGGCAACTTAAATCTATGCTCCCTGATTGCAGTCTTCGAACTTGGTGCAAACAAACTCTCTTCTTATATTAATTTTCCCTCAGTTTTTACCTTTAGGGCAACAATGGGGAAGAGAATCCTTGAGGTCAATGACACCAGGACAGCTCAGTTGCAAATTCCTTGTCCCTTCATCCTTAGAAATGCGCCAGTAACCTCTCTGTGCCTACTCGGGCTTGGGAGCCTGCCTGATTTAAAAAAGAAGGAGAAGGAGAAGGAGATGAAGAAGGAGAAGGAAGAGGAAGAAAGAAGAGAAAGAAAGAAGAGGAAGAGGAGGAGGAAGAAGAAGAGAAAGAAGAGGAGAAGGAGGAAGAAGGAGGAGGAGGAGGAGGAGGAGAAGAAGAAGGAGAAGGAGAAGGGAAGAAGGAAGAAGAAGAAACAACTTGTCAGACTGAGAGACCTGACTTTTGCTTTGGAAAATTGGTCCTGGAAGTTCAGAGCATTTACTGTAAACCTCTCCTGGGTGATCAGCGAGGAGTTGGGAGCCTCTTGCTCCCAGCATGTATGTTGACTCCAAGGGAGGTGGTGAGTTGCTTAAGGCTGGTGGTGGCTAATCAGGCCCAGAGACAAGGCACCCTGTCTCCCAGGCCAGATGCTTCTTCTACAGTGTTGTAACTGCAATAGGTCCATGGCCTGATGCATTCAGCAAGTCACCATGTAATTGCCCAGTGGGTTCTTTCTGCCTGCTGCACAGACAAAACCCATTCACTGATACTGTGGTATTATAGTAAAGAATTTAATTAATGATAGGCCAGCCACATGGGAGAACTGGAGATTGCTCAAATCAATCTCCTTGAAGGCTTGGAGGTTAGAATTGTTCAAGGATAGTTTGGTGGGCAGGGAACTAAGGAATGGGTGCTGCTGATTGGCCAGGGATGCAATCACAGTGGGAAACTGTCCTCATCCACTGTGTCTGCCTCTGTTTGGGGTGAGGGCACAGGACTGGTTGAGTCGTGAATCATTAAGTCCAGGTGGGCTCAGTTGGTTGCCAGAATGCAGAAGTCTGAGATACATCTCAGAAGACTAATCTTAGATTCTGGGATCGGTAGTGGTGGTATCTGTAGGAGCAATGGGGAAGTCACAAAACTTGTGACCTCTAGCCACAACAATTCCTTAGCAATAAGAGATGATGGAAACTATGCCCTACATTTTTTTTTGTTTTTTTTTGAGACGGAGTCTCACTCTGTCACCCAGGCTGGAGTACAGTGGTGCAATCTCAGCTCACTGCAACCTCCACCTCCCAGGTTCAAGTGATTCTCCTGCCTCAGCCTCCCAAGTAGCTGGGACTACAGGCATGAGCCACCATGCCCGGCTAATTTTTTTTTTTTTTGTATTTTTAGTACAGACAGGGTTTCACCCCGCTGGCCAGGCTGGTCTCAAACTCCTTACCTCGTAAACTGCTGCCTCAGCCTCCCAAAGTGATGGGATTACAGGCATGAGCCAACGTGCCCGGCCCCGCCCTACATTTAAGCAGAATTCAGGCCCCTTCTATATTTGTAATCTTGTGGCCTTCCATTGGTCTTACAAAGGCAGTTTCAGCCCCCTAACAAGGAGGGGATCAGTTTTAGAGAGGGACTATTATCATCCTTTCTTCAAAGTTAAACTGTAAACTAAATTCCTCCCATGGTTAGCTTGGCCTATGCCCAGGAATGAGTGAGGACAGCCAGCCTGGGGGGCTAGAAGCAAGAGGGAGTCAGCCTTGCTAGACTTCTCTCACTGTCATAATCTTTGCAAAGGCAATTTTAAATATGCCCAAGACACCAGACTGCAGCAGAGAAAGAGGTTTAATTGTAGGGCCACCAAACAAGGAGACAGGAGGAAACCTCAAATCCGACTCTCTGAGGAGTTTGGGGATAGTGTCTTTAAGGGTTTTGGAGTGTGCCAAAGTGTGGAGATTGTTGATTGGTCAAAGAGTGCAGGTTGGAGCCATAAGACAGGCAGGTGAAGAAACTGTATTCTCATATTGATTCTGTTCTTCTCTGGGGGTCTTCAAACTGGTTGGCATAAGCTGTCTTACTGGAATTGGGGATCTGAAAGACATTGTAAGCAATTTTTAAATGAGAGCCCTGTGATTCTAATGTCAGAGATCCTATCTAGCTTAAACAAAAGTCTTGTGGTTCTAACATCAGAAATCCTATCTATAGGAACCATGGGGATGCAAACGGCCAGTATCTATCTAGTCCTACCATGACTGTTGGTTACAAGGAAGCTGGTCAAAGTGCGGCCTGATTAATGCTTAATCATAACCATATTTCTGTTCAGAATTCTTGTTAACCCTGTGAAGACAGCTTCAATGTCACAGAGCTGCCTGTAGGAATGAACGCCTTACACTTCAGACCTGGCCCTCTTCACCTGCCCTTTCCATGCTGCCAACAGGGCCTTCCAGTGGCAGCGGTGACCAGTCACTGGGAAAGCCCAGCTGAGTCAATGTTTGCTGGCTAACTGCAGAAGGAATGATGAACTGGTCCCCATGAATGGAGAGGTCCAACACAAAGCTATGCTAATTTTTCATAAGCTCTGCCTGCCGCCTTTTATATATCAACCTGAAATGTAATTATCTTTATGGCTGGTGGAGTAAATCACCAGTATGTGTCAAAGAGATTTGCTTCTGTGTTTTATTACGTAATATATTAGCTCTACAGTTTTAAGATGTCATTACTTGGCTAATCGCATGAAACGTTTTTGTGAGCAAACAGTGATGCTGGCGGGAGCTGGGGCCAGAGACGCATGGCTAAATCCTTCAGAGAAATGCTGAGAGGCCTCGGGGGATCACCTTGTCCAACCCCCTGCCTCCAGGCTTAGAGAGCTCTAGACAGGCAGGAGTTCTGCACTATCTGAGGGGCTTTGAGAGGTAGAAGACAAAGAACAGCCAACGATGAATGGGGGACATCTGGATGACCCAACAATTTTTTTCCTGAGTGTATCCAACAGAAATGCATGCTATGGCCACCAAAGGACATGCACAAGAGTGTTCATAGTGGCTTATTCCTAATAGCAAAAAACTAGAAACAACCGAAATATCGTCAACAACTGAATGGAGAAAATAATTATGGCATATTTCCTGTAGTCCCCGTTACTTGGGAGGCTGAGGCAGGAGGATCCCTTGAGCCCAGGAGTTCAGGCCACTGCATTCCAGCCTGGGCAACAGAATGAGACCCCATCTCAAAAAATAGAATTATGGCATATTTATACAATGGAATACTACATAGCAATCAAAAAAGAAAAACCATCAATAATTGATGAACTATTGACGCATGGGTGACCCTCACAGACTTGATGTCCCCCTCCCTCTTGGAGACACAGCAGCTGTTTTGGTGGATTAGGTCACCTGATTCACCCACTTACTGGGCTCTTCCGGAGCTCCTGGAATGTCCTCCTTCTCCAGTCCCAGAGGCGGATCTGAATTTCTCAGGGTGAATTCCCTACAACATCCTCTTTAGGTTTATTCTCTCCTTTCTCCTCCACTACCTCCTCTAAATCAGCATCTTCATCAACAAACTCATTTTGTTTTTGCACCTAACAGTGGTGTGTGTTCAAACTTTCTTCTCTGGCTGTGAGTCTGGTGGACAAAGGCAGCATGGTGTAATAGAAATAACACAGGCACTGCAATGAAACCCACCTGGCTTTGAATCCTAGCTCTACTGCTTTTTGTTCTGTCATCTTAGATCACTTAAACTCAGTCAGCCTCAATTTCCACACCTGCAAAATGGAATATCTTCTTTGCAGTGGGAAGTGAGAAAACATGAGTTTTGTTTGTTTGTTTTGTTTTGTTTTTGTTTTTGTTTTGAGACAGTCTCACTCTGTCGACAGGCTGGAGTGCAGTGGCACAATTTCGGCTCATTGTAGACTCCGCCTCCCAGATTCAAGCAATCCTCCCACCTCAGCCTCCTCAGTAGCTGGGACTACAGGCGCACGCCGCTATGCCCAGCTAATTTTTGTACTTTTAGTAGAGATGGGGTTTCACCATGTTGGCTAGGCTGGTCTTGAACTCCTAGCCTCAAGTGATCCACCTGCCTCAGCCTCCCAAAGTGCATGGATTACAGAGGTGAGCACTGCGCCCCGCCAACATGAGCATTTTACTTGGTGCCTAACATGTTTTCTTGCATTATTCATACGATTATTCAACAAACATTAACTGAACTTCTACACTGTGCCAAAGACCATACTAGGAGCTGGCACACAACATTGTCACGGTCTATATTTGTGTTTTTGCAGACTTGGTATCTGAGATCTGAGGGTTCACATTCTGACTTCTCTTTTGGGAGCCACCCTTCCGTCACTTGCAGCTCAGGTGGTTCACCCTCCACCCTACCTGCTAGTTCAGGATAGTGCATCCCCCTGGCCACAGAGATTGGTTCTGGGATAGGCTCATATTCCAGATTGTTTCCATGAGATTCAGCCCTGGAACTTTGGCTGACGCTACTGAGAAAGAGGTGATCCTTTTCCATCAAGCATGATGAGCTGGTCAAATGGAGCCCTAGATCTGCTGAGAGATTTTCTTGCCACCTCTCTAGGAGAGTGTGCCTAAGGATAAAGACAATGAAGAAAGCTGGGCGACAAAGAAGGAAAGGTCCTCCATAGCCTCATTTGAGCACCCAGATCCAGCCACACAAGGACTGAATTGGGTTTCTGACATTCATAAATAAATAAAAATAATGCTGATTAATTTACTGTCCTAAAAATGACTAACATTCAATGAATTTTACTATGTGCCAGCCATTGTGCCAAATGCTTCACAGGCATCATCTCATTTAATCCTCACAATGACCTGATAAGATAGGTGCTGTGGGTTGAATAAGTGTCTTCCAAAAATTCTTGTCAACCCAGAACCTCACAGTGTGACCTTATTTGGAAATAGCGTTTTGCAGATGTAATTAGTTCAGATGAAGTCACACTGGATTAGGGTGAGCCCTAAACCCAGTGACGGGCCCACCATGGTGGCTCGCGCCTGTAATCCCAGCACTTTGGGAGGCCAAGGTGGGCTGATCACCTGAGGTCAGGAGTTCGAGACCAGCCTGGCCAACATGGTGAAACCCTGTCTCTACTAAAAATACAAAAAAATTAGCCAGGCGCAGTGGCAGGCACCTGTAATCCCAGCTACTCAGGAGGCTGAAGCAGGAGAATCACTTGAACCCGAGAGGCAGAGGTTATAGTGAGCCAAGTTAGCGCCATTGCACTCCACCCTAGGCAACAAGAAACCCTAGGCAACAAGAATCCCTAGGCAACAAGAGTTTCATACAACAACAACAACAAAATCCAGTGACTAGTGTCTTTCTTAGAAGAGGAGAGGACACAGAGCGATACAGAGAGCATAAGAGGGGATGTCTTGTAAAGATGGAAGCAGAGCTTGGAATGATGCAGCTACAAACCACTGAACACCTAGAGCTGCCAGGAGCCGCCAGAACTAGGAAGAGGCAAGGAAGGAGTTCTTCCCCAGAGCCTTCCCAGGGAGCATGGTCTTGCTGACACTTTGATTTTGGACTCTGGCTTCCAGAGCTTTGAGAGAATAAATTTCTGTTGTTTTAAGCCACCCGGTTTGTGATTTGTTACGGCAGCCCTGGGGAGCTAATACAGTAGGTAATGATCATTACTATTTTTGAAGATGAGAAAACTCAGGCTAAAGAAGTTAAGTAACTTGCCCAAGGTCTTGTAGTTAATTTAACACCAGAGATGGGATTCAACCCCAGGCAGACTCCAGAGCTGTCTTTCTTTCTTAGTCATTAGATGACACATAGCAGGTGCATATAAATCCTATTTTTTCCCAGGTCATATTTTACTGTTCTTTGCATCCCTAGTGCTTAGCATGGTGTTTGCTATTTAGTAGGTGCCCTGTAACCATTTGGGAATTAAAGTCATTAGGAGCCCTACAGAGTAGGGCACTGAGAGGGCAAAGAAGAGAAAGATATAACCCTTGATCTCCAAAGGTTATAGTTTAGTAGGGGAGACAAGAAAGCCACCCCAAAAGATGGATTGTTGGGCTGAAGGCAGTTTAGAAGCAGATGCAGGAAAGCTCTCTACTCTGCCTCTATGTGCCCGAAAGCAGGACATCGATTTACAAAGACGAAAGATATCCCACTCCCTCTTCTACCTAAGAGAATGCAAGCTAACCATGGAGGACAACTTTAGACCCTTACCAGCCAGAAGATGGTACCACAGGAATCTATATTAACAAGCTTTACTAACTAACCTTTATCTGCCAGTTATTTGCCTACCCACAAGTTGCTGCCCCTGGAGAATCAAAGTCCTTTTTTTTTTTTTTTTTTTTGAGACAGAGTCTCACTCTGTCACCCAGCCTGGGGTGCAGTGGCACAATCTCTGCTCACTGCAACCTCCACCTCCCAGGTTGAAGTGGTTCTCCTGCCTCGGCCTCCCCAGTAGCTGGGACTACAGGCACATCGCCACCAGGCCCAGCTAGTTTTTGTATTTTTCGTAGAGACGGGGTTTCACCATGTTGGCTAGGCTGATCTCGAACTCCTGACCTCAAGTGATCCACCCACCTTGGCCTCCCAAAGTGCTGGGATTACAGGCGCAGCTGCACCTGACCATAAAAACTGACTGTTCTGGTCAGGTGCGGTGGTCACACCTGTAATCCCAGCACTTTGGGAGGCTGAGGTGGGCGGATCATGAGGTCAAGAGTTGGAGACCCAACATGGTGAAACCCTGTCTCTACTAAAAATACAAAAGCTAGCCAGGCGTGGTGGCGGGCACCTGTAGTCCCAGCTACTCGGGAGGCTGAGGCAGGAGATTCGCTTCAACCTGGGAGGTGGAGATTGCAGTGAGCTGAGATCGCACCACTGCACTCCAGCCTGGGCGACAGAGCAAGACTGTGTCTCAAAAACAAATAAACAAAACTGACTGTTCTTTGTTGAAGATGCTTATAAGCTGGAATTCAAAGCTGCCTCTTTGAGAACTACTCATTCTCTGGGTGTCTCCCATGTATATATGAAATATACAGGTGAATAAACTTTATTTTCTCTTGTTAATCTGTCCTCTGTTACAGGGGTCCATGCTAACAAAGAACCTATGAAGGTTGAAGACAAAATTATTTTTCTTCCCCTACACTAGAGAGGACATATAGAAGGAGTATATGCTCAGGGCTGACTGAGAAGCTTAAAAATCAGCCCTGGAGGAGCTCAAAGAAGGGATAGCACTAAGGGATAAGCCAAAAGGAGGCTTTGAGGAAGAGATTGAACTTGATTTGGGCCCTGAAGAACTTAGGAAAGAGGAAGGAAGTGGTGACAGTTGATAAAGCAGAAGAAGAGCATGAATAGGGCTGGGAGGAAGGACTTTGCAAGATGTATTTGAAGAGAGATGGGGGTGATGGGCTGGGAGGCATCAGCCAGGCCAGATCATAGTTATCGAGGACTAGGCAGGAACTTGGATATGAACTGGTAGCATGGTCCTATAGGCTTTTAGCAGACACAGCTACTACATTTGTTACTGCTACTAACAGAGGCTTGACTGCAGATACTCAATCTGTGTGTTCCCTGCATTTCCCAGGGCCTGCAGGTCACAGAGCTGTGCGCCTTGCTCTGACTAGCAGGCTATGGGTCTAAGTGTTACCTCCAGACTGAAGCATAGAAGAGTAGATATGAGGCCCTCATTCTCTCTTCACTCTTTGAGGCAAGCGTTGAGGTGGAGGCTTTATCAGATCGACAAGCTTGGATCCAGGGAGAGCTGTCCCAGAGAGGCATGGGAATTTCATGAGAACAAGAAACAAATGTGGCCGGGCATGGTGGCTCATGCCTGTAATCTCAGCACTTTGGGAGGCTGAGGTGGATGGATTGCTTGAGGCCAGGAGTTTGAGACCAGCCTAGTCAACATAGCAAGACCCATCTGTACAAAAAATAAATAGATTAGTCAGGTGTGGTGGCATGCACCTGTGGTCCCAAGCTACTCGTGGGGCTGAGGTAGGAGGATCGCTTGAGCCGGGGAAGTTGGGGTGAGGACGCTGGGGAGTGCTGGTGATTTCGGGTGTGTGGACAGGTGAAAAATCCTGAAGGGGGATCAGGAAGCTGTGGGAAAGGTGAGAGCAACAGAGCACCCACACTTCTCCTCCTCCGGGCCTCTCCGACAGCACTCAGGCCGCCCCTGCTGGTGGCAGCAAGAACTCCCAGGCAGTCTTCCCTTGTTCTCCCAAAATCAACAGCTGGAACCTCCTAAGGCTTTCCTAGATGCAACTTCTGTCTGTTAGCGCAGCAGCCCTGGGAAGCTACTCTTGTTGCCCAAGGCTCAGAGATTCAAGCCAGTTAGTCAACGCCAGCCAAGGGTGAATTGGCCAAAGACCCAGAGGGCTTCTGTCTCCCAGAGTAGGGGCTGGGCTCCCTCCCAGCTGTCAGCTCCCACTCACAGGTGCAGCCCCTTGTGGGGAGTCCCCAAAAGCTGGATATGGCCTGAGATGGCCAGAAGGCAAGGAGGGGATGGGGAGGGCTATGGTGCCTTCTGCTGAGATTTGCTACCAGGAAGCTCTGTTTTTTAGGAACAGGCCCTGCCTCCAAAGTTCTGAGACTATCAGAGAACTTATCTATCCCCTATCTCATCAGCAACCTCCAGCATTCCATCACACCAACACCATAAACTCTACATGTCTTGCCCCTTTGATACAAGGTGTGGCCCTATGACTAAGTTCTGGGCAATGAGGTATAAACAGAAGACTGTAGGTGAGACATCCGAGAAAGTTCCTTAAAAGGGAGATGAACAATTGGCATAGTCCCTTTGGCCTCACCTGCCTTCTCCTACTTCTTGCCTGAAACTCAGGCTTGATGGCTGGAGCTCCAGCAGACATCTTGGACAATGAGGTCTGGGAAAGCCACGTGTTAAGGAGGTTAAAACCGAAGCACATAAGAACGCCCCTGGAGCTGCCCTACTGGCCCTGAAATGCCCAACTCTAGGCTTCTGTGTGACAGGAGAAGCTCCTGATTGGAATACACATCTGCAGTCAAGTTGTTTTCAGCAGCAGCCAGACAGTCTTGAACACTGGGGTTATGGTGGTGGGCCCAGGCAAGAACAGCTGCTGCCCCAAGCTCCACTTCTTGAACAACGTAACAATGACAGTCAGAGGAGTGGCACCTGATGGCATTTCAAATTGGAAGCTAAATAATGCATTTTCAACAAACCGTGGGAGGATTTTTAAAATAATAATACAGATGTGGGAAATAATATTTGTTTTGGAGGTTTTTGTTTGTTTGTTTGTTTGTTTGTTTCGAGACAGAGTTTCGTTTCATTCTTGTTGCCCAGGCTGGAGTGCAGTGGTGCGATCTCAGCTCGCTACAACCTCCGCCTCCCAGGTTCAAGCAATTCTTCTGCCTCAGCCTCCTGGGTAGCTGGGATTACAGGCATCCACCACCACACCTGACTAATTTTTTTGTATTTTTAGTAGAGACGTGGTTTCACAATGTTGGCCAGGCTTGTCTCGAACTCCTGACTTCAGGTGATCCACCTGCCTCGTCCCCCCACAAAGTGCTAGGATTACAGGTGTGAGCCACCATGTCTGGCAGGGAAGTAATATTTAAGGTTTTTCATTGCATGATTGAGGAAGATCTTTCGGCACAAGCCCCGAAGTCATAAAATAAATGAGTAATCATTTTAACCTCATCAAAATAAATTTTTTTTCAAAAGTCTTTGTGGCAAAAATCAGTCTGGATAGGCTGGTTATACTGCAGCAAGAAAAAAAGCCAAAATCTGAGGGGTATAAAGCAACAAGTGGTTATTTCTGGCCCACAGTACACATCCTTTTGTGGATTGGCTGAGGCCTCCACTCCCATGTTGTCAGTATTGTCACTTTCACTTTAGGCTCCCAAGTTGAAGGCACAGCCATCATCTGCTGACGCCAATTCCCGAGTCAGAGAGAAAGAGGGTGAGCAAAGCACCAGCACTTCAAGCTTCAGCCCAAAGTGTCACACGTGCTTCTGCTTGCATTTAATTGACCAGAACAAGTCACACAGCTGCACCTTGGTTCACAAGGGCAGGGAATGTAATGCCTTTTCAGGGAGGGATCTGGGTATTCATGAACAGTAGTACACAAAAGCAAAAGACTCGACCCTTTGGGAGAAGTTTTAGATACTCATATTATAAACAAAGGGTTAATTTCTCTGATAAATAAGAATACTCCCAAATCATCAAGAAAATGATCATATCGATTGAAAAAGCAGGCAGAAGATATGAGCAGGCATTTTACAAAAAGGAAATAAAAGACGCTGTAACTCACTCATAATTTCACATTAAAATGACGTGGAGATATCATTTTCTACCCATCGAAGTGGTGAGGGCATGTGCAAACAGGTCACACATTGCTGATGGGCTGTAAATTTGTATAACCTCTATGGAAGGCAATTGGCATATGTGTCAAGATTTAAAGTTCACATACCTTTCTTTCTTTCTCTTTTTTTAATAGAGATGGGATCTCACCATGTTGACTAGGCTGGTCTTGAACTCCTAGGCTCAAACGATCCTCCCACTTTGGCCTCCCAAAGTGCTGGGATTACAGGCATGAGCCACCACCCCCCACCAAGTTCACGTACCTTTTGATACTGTTCTTCTACTTCTAGAAATACATCCTATGATGAGCTCACACATGTGGGAAATAATATTTGTTTAAGGTTTTTCATTGCATTATTGTTTATAATAACAAAAGATTGGAAACAAGGCCTTTTAATTAGGGACTGGTTAAATAAATCATTTAAATTAAATAAGCTATTTCTTTCCATTCAAGGGAATGCTACATAGATACAAAAATGAAAAGCTTCTTTTGTAATGATATGGAGCAATCTCTAAGATTTAATGTTAAACAAATAAAGTAAGGTACTGAACAGTGTATATTGTATCACTGTTTGTGATAGAAAAAGGAAGAAGAAATATTCATAATTGTTTATATATGCTAGAGATATCTCCAAAAATACACTTAAAGTGGGAAATATTGCTTGTGATTAAGGAGAGAATAGAAATTCTCCATTTGTACCTTTTAAATTGTGAGATAGCATGGGAATGTATTGTCTAACCTAACAGTAAAATTAAAAATTAAAAGAGGAGCAAAATGAACCAGCAGTTCCACTCCTAGGCATATAAAAAAGAGAAACCAAAACATACATCTGCACAGAAAGAAATTTGTACACAAATATTTATAGCAGCATTACTCTTAATAACCAAAAGGCGGACAAAACTGGGATGTCCATCAGCTGATTGATGGATAAATAAAATGTGGTATATCCATACAATGGATTATTATTCAGCCATAAAAATGAATGAAGTCATGCCTGTTATCCTGCACTTTGGGAGGGCAAGGCAGGAGGACTGCTTGAGTCCAGGAGTTTGAGACCAACCTGGGCCACATAGCCAGACCTTGCCTTTACCTAAAAAAAAAAAAATTTATATACATATATATATATATTTTTTTTTTAATAGCCAGCATGGTGGCACAGTGCCTGTGGTCCCAACTACTTAGAAGGCCAAGGCAGGAGGATCACTTTAGCCTAGGAGTTCGAGGCTATAGTGAGCCATGATCGTGCCATTGCACTCCAGCCTGGGCAACAGAGCAAGACCCTGTCTCACACACACACAAAAAAAAGGGAATGAAGTACTGATACATGCCACAATACGGATTAACCTTATGCTGAGGTTCCTTCATTCCTTCGTAACGAAAACATTAGGCTGAGTAAACAAGCTAGACACAAAAAGCCACATATTATACATATTCCATTTAAGTGAAATGTCCACAATAGGCAAACAAAAAGTAGACCAGTGGTTGCCTAGAGGGATGAGGTTGTGGGAGAAATGGAGAGTGATTGTTAATGAGTACTGTGTTTCTTTTAGGGGTGATAAATATGTTCTAAAATTGATGCAGTGATGGGTGCACAACTCTGTAAATATACTAAAAACCACTGAATTGCACACTTTATTTTTTTTTATATATAGAGATGGGGTTTCACTGTATTCCCCAGGCTGATCTTGAACTTCTGGACTCAAGCAATCCTCCCACTTCCACCTCCCAAAGTGCTGGGATTACAGGCATGAGCCATATGCCTGGCCAAATTGCACACTTTAAATGGGAATTATATGGTAGGTGAGTTATATCTAAAAAAAACTGTTTTTTAAAAAAGGGGGAGAGAGAGCAAAAGAGATGGCCCATATATATGATGCCACGGGACACTATGAATTCCTATGACCTAGTATCTCAATAGACTCCCCCCAACTCCGTCCTCAAGCTCTGTTGAAATCTTACAAAAAATTCAGCAGGGCAGCTGTCCTTGCCTGGGTTCCCCCACATAAAGAGCCTTTGGTTCAAGTAGCTTATTTTGGAAAGAGATTCTAGGGAAAAGCAATGGTTCCCTAGAATCCCAAGGGGGATTGGGAAGCATAAAACAGGGAAGCAGAAAGGCCAAGCTAAGTTTTCTTAACTGAGCTGGTCATCACTGTGGGTCACTGAGGCTCCATCCTGCTAGGGAACCTCTGAAGAACCATGCAAAATGCACCTGAGACAAGGAAGAGGCGGGCATGGCCTTGGTGTCAGAGAAACCCTGGGCGGATGGCAAGAGAGTGAGGTGTCTGGCCACATCTGCCATGGCGACTGGGGGAGCTATAGAAGGGAAGTGGTAGCTGAGCCCTGAGATTGAGGAGGGTGGTCTGATGCAGTGGTCTAAGCAAAGAGCTCTCCCTGCTGCATAATCCTCCAGACTTGACTCAGAGAGCCTCAACATCATTGCCAAAAATCAAACCCATCCTCGAATAACAAATACTTTCTGCCTTGATGAATTCTCAAGGGTATGTGCTCTAGGCCACTAAATGGACCAGATGTGATTTTTTTTTTTTTTTAAATAAGAGTCATTCTGAGAGAAGTCTGGCACATGGGCAATGATCAAGCTGCAGGATGCTGTTTTGGGTCAACAATGAGGAGTGATTGTAAAGCCAGGCGTCTGGTTATTGTAAACTGACTCTGATGGTCGTGCCCGAAGGGAATTAAAGAGACATGCTGAGTCATACTTGTGCTGGCTCACAAGCGGAGATTTTTCACAGGACAGCAGTCATGCAAATGTAGAGGACGATAATGAGGCAGAGTGGCCTCCAACCCATGTGGGAGAAAAGAGCGAATGCTCAAGCCTCCCCCATCCAGTCCCTGCTTGGGTGCATCCAGGGTTCCCCCAATGCTTCCTAGTGTCTTAGAGGAAACTTAGAGGTTGGCTCAGCCCCCTCACTGGGATGCCTAGCACAGACGATTTCTGGAAAATGGAGCCCCGTCTCCTCTTCATGCAACAGCCACAGGGGCCAGCAGTGGTATGCACTGAGTGACGTTATCCAGGGTGGCTGCCCACCCCCCACCCCCAATGCCATGATTGGTGGGAGGGAAAAGCTCCCCTTGTGAGTCAAGATGTCCCTGAAACTCAGGCCAGAGTCCATAGACAGAAGGTGCCTGGCCTAGGCCCCAGCTGATGCCACCACCTTATTGTGGAGCCCTTTCAGAAAAGGGAAATTCCCCAGCAAAATGCTCAGATCAGCAGAACCCTGGGGACCCACTAGGCCTAAGGCCAAAGAGCCAAAGCTGTCATCAGTGGCTCATTCTGCTCAGCTACCAGCCACTTCCTGGGTGCAAGCTGGCCCCAGCAGTACTAGGTCCCCCTTTACTTGCAAAACCTAGAATCAGCTTCTTCCCACCTAATTTTCAAAACCCCAAGGGGTGGGGAACAGGTGCTTAATCTCCTAAATTCTCAAAAATGCCGAGTGCGGTGGCTCACACCTATAATCCCAACACTTTGGAAGCCTGAGGCGAGTGGATCACCTGAGGTCAGGAGTTCAAGACCAGCCTGGCCAATATGGTGAAACCTCATCTCTATACGAAAAATACAAAAATTAGCCGGGCGTGGTGGCACACGCCTGTAGTCCCAGCTACTCAGGAGGCTGAGGCAAGAGGATCACTTGAACCCAGGAGGTGGAGGTTGCAGTGAGCCAAGATTGTGCATTGAACTCCAGCCCGGGCGATAGAGTGAGACTCTGTCTCAAACACACACACACACACACACACACACACACACACACACACACACACACAAAATCTCAAAAATCAAGAGTCTGGTTCACTTCTTTTCTGGACATTTAGGCTAGTCCATCCCTCTGGAAAGGCCCCACCACAATGCTCATGGCTTTTACTTTAAGAGCACTTTCTATGTGTTAAGTGCCTCACATGGAGTTTCATTGAGTCCTTTGAGTGGCCCAATGAGGTGAGTACTTTCCATTTTACTGATGAGGAAACAGCTTCCAAGAGGTTAGGAAACTTGCCTGAGCTCACACAATTAGTAAGTTGAGATGCTTGCTAATACCCTGTACATAGATAGCACTTCATGTTTTTCCAACATCTTTCATTGCCTTAGGTCATTGTCTTAGTCCATTTTGTGCTGCTGTACCAGAACACCTGAGACTGGGTACTTTATAATGAGCAGAAATTTATTGGCTCATGGTTCTAGAGGCTGAAAAGTCCAAGATGAAGGGGCTGGCATCTACCAAGAGCCTTCTTGCTGCATCTTCCCATCGTGTAAGAGCAAAGAGAGAGCAAGAGACCAAACTTGCAGCCTCAAGCCCTTTTATAATAATCATTAACCCTTTCATGAGGGTGGTGCCCTCATGACCCAAACACCTCTCATTGGCCCCACCTCTCAACACTGTTACACTGGAGATTAAGTTATAACACCTGCGTTTTGGGGAACACATTCAAACCATTCAGCCATTTAACCTTCACCACAATTCCATGAGATAACATATCATGGTAATTATTATACCCATGTTAAATATTGTAACAATGAGAGCATTAATGACCTGCACAGTCACCCAGCCAGGTGATAAGGGTTGATGACAGAGCAAGAGCTCCAGCCCTAGCCTGTCTGACTCCGGCATGTGGGCCTTGCTTCACTTTGTATCCTGACACCACCCAGTGTTGCTAAAATTGGCTCCTGTATTGGATTGAATAGTGCCCCTAAAAAGCTATGCCCAAATCCTAACCCCTGGTACTTGTGAATGTGATTCTGTTTGGAAATAGGTTTGAGATGAGGTTAAGGGAAACCAAAATATTTCACCCCAAAATATACTTCTTTTTTTAACTTTTATTTTAAGTTCACAGGTACATGTGCAGGTTTGTTATATAGGTCAACTTGTGTTAAAAGGGTTTGTTGCACAAATTATTTCATCACCCTGGTATTCAGCTTAGGACCCATTAGTTATTTTTCCTGATCCTCTCTTTTCTCCCATCCTCCACCCTCCAATGAGCCCTAGTGTCTCTTGTTATGCTCTTTCTGTCCCTGTGTTCTCATCACTTAGCTCTCACTTATAAGTGAAAGGATGTGATGTTTAGTTTTCTTTTCCTGCATTAGTTTGCTAAGGATAATGGCCTCCAGCTCCATCCATGTTCCTGCAAAGGACATGATCTCATTCTTTTTTATGGCTGCATAGTATTCCATGGTGTATATGTACCACATTTTCTTTATCCAGTCTACCACTGATGGACATTTAGGTTGATTCCATCTCTTTGCTATTGTGAATAGTGCTGTAATGAATATATATGTTCATGTGTTTTTATGAAAGAACAATAAATATTCCTTTGCATATATACCCAGTAATGGGATTGCTGGGTTGAATGGTATTTCTTTGAGGAATCCCCACACTGTTTTCCACAATGGCTGAACTAATTTACACTCCCACTAACAGTGTATAAGTGTTCCTTTTTCTTTGCAAACTTGTCCATAGCTGTTTTGTTTGTTTTTGTTTCTTTTTTACTTTGTAATAGCAGCCATTCTGACTGGTGTTAGATGGTATCTCATTGTGATTTGTTTACATTTCTCTAATGATCAGTGATGTCTAGCTTTTTTTCATGTGCTTGTTGGCCGCATGTATGTCTTGTCTGTTCATGTCATTTGCCACTTTTTAATGGGGTTGTTTTTTTCTTCTTGTAAATTTAAGTTCCTTATAGATGCTGGATATTAGACCTTTGTCAAATGCATAGTTTGCAAATATTTTATCCCATTCTGTAGGTTGTTTGTTTACTCTGTTGATAATTTATTTTGCTGTGCAGAAGCTCTTTAGTTTAGTTAGATCCTATTTGTCAACTTTTGCTTTTGATGCAATTGCTTTTGGAAACTTCATCATGAAATTTTTGCCCATTCCTATATAGAGAATGATATTGCCTAGATTTACACTTAAATGTAAAACCCAAAACTATAACATTTAAATCTTTAATCCATCTTGACTTGATTTCTGTATATGATGTAAGGAATGGGTCCAGTTTCAATCTTCTGCATATGGCTAGCCAGTTATTCCAGCACCATTTATTAAATAGGGAATCCTTTCCCCATTTCTTGTTGCTGTTGGCTTGGCTGAAGATTAGATGGTTGCAGGTGCACAGCCTTATTTCTGGGCTTTCTATTCTGTTCCATTGGTTTATGTGTCTGTTTTTATCCCAGTACCATGCTGTTTTGGTTACTGTAGCCCTGTAGTATAGTTTGAAGTCAGGTAGTGTGATGCCAGCTTTGTTCCTTTTGCTTAGGATTCTCTTGGCTATTCGGCCTCTTTTTTGGTTCCATATGAATTTTAAAATAGTTTTTTTCTAGTTCTGTGAAGAATGTTATTGGTAGTTTGATAGGAATAGCATTTAACCTATAAATTGCTTTGGGCAGTATGTCCATTTTAACAATATTGATTCTTCCTCTCCATGAGCATGGAGTGTTTTTCCATTTGTTTGTGTCATCTCTGATTTCTTTGAGCAGTGGTTTGTAGTTCTCCTTGTAGAGATCTTTCACCTCCCTGGTTAGCTGTATTCCTAGGTATTTTATTCTTTTTGTGGCAATTGTGAATGGGATCATGTACCTGATTGGCTCTCATCTTGACTGTTTTTGGTGTATAGGAATGTTAGTGATTTTTGTACATTGATGTTGTATCCTGAGACTTTGCTGAAATTGTTTATCAATGTAAGGAGCTTTTGGGTCAAGACTATGGGATTTTCTAGATATAGGGTAATGTCATCTGCAAACAAGGATAATTTGACTTTCTCTCTTCCTATTTGGGTGCCCTTTATTTATTTCTCTTGCCTGATTGTTCTGGCCAGGGCTTCCAATACTATGTTTAGTAGGAGTGATAAGAGAGGGCATCATTGTTTTGTGCCATTTTTCAAGGGGAGTGGTTCCAGCATTTGCCCATTCAGTATGATGTTAGCTGTGGGTTTGTCATAGATGGCTCTTATTTTCAGGTATTGTTCCTCCAATACTTAGTTTATTGAGAGTTTTTAACATGAAGTGGTGTTGAATTTTATCTGAAGTCTTTTCTGCATCAATTAAGATAATCACATGGTTTCTTCTTTAGTTCAATTTATGTGATGAATCACAGTTATTAATTTGTGTATGTTGAACCAACCTTGCATCCCAGGAACAAAGCTTACTTGATCATGGTGGATAAACTTTTTGATGTGCTGCTGGATTTGTTTTGCCAGTATTTTGTTGAGGATTTTTGCATCAATGTTCATCAAGTATATTGGCCTGAAGTTTTCTTTTATTGTTGTGTCTCTACCAGGTTTTGGTATCGGGATGATGCTAGCTTCATAGAATGAGTCAAGGAGGAGTTCCTCCTCCTCAATTTTTTGGAATAGTTTCAGTAGAATGGTGCCAGCTCTTCTTTATACATCTGGTAGAATTCAACTGTGAATCTGTCTGGTCCTAGGCTTTTTTATTTTTGGTTGGTAGGCTATTTATTACTGATTCAGTTTTGGAGCTCATTAATTGCCTGCTCAGGGGTTCAATTTCTTCCTGGTTCAGTCTTGGGAGGGTGTTTATGTGTCCAGGAATTTATCCATTTCTTCTAGATTTTCTAGTTTGTATGCATAGAGGTGTTCATGTTATTCTCTGATAATCATTTCATTTTCTGTGGGGTCAGTGGTAATATCCCATTTGTTATTTCTAATTGTGTTTATTTAGACCTTCTCTCTTTTCTTCTTTATTGGTCCAGCTAGTGGTCTATCTAGTTTTATTACTTTTTTTAAATAACCAACTCCTAGGTTTATTAATCTTTTGGATGGTTTTTCGTGTCTCAATCTCCTTCAGTTCAGCTCTGATTTGGGTTATTTCTTGTCTTCTGCTAGCTTTGGTGTTGGTTTTCCCTTGGTTCTCTAGTTCTTTTAGTTGTGATGTTAGATTGTTAAATTGAGATCTTTCTAACTTTTTGGTGTGGGCATTTAATGCTATAAATTTCCCTCTTAACACTGCCTTAGCTGTGTCCCAGAGATTCTAGTATGTTTTATCTTTGTTCTTATTAGCTTCAAATAATTTCTCAATTTCTGCCTTCATTTCGTTATTTACCCAAAAGTCATTCAGGAGCATATTATTCAATTGTCATATTATTGTATGGTTTTGAACAATTTTCTTAGAATTGATCTCTAATTTTATTGCACTGTGGTCTGTGAGAGTGGTTGTTATGATTTCAGTTCTTTTGCATTTACTGAAGAGTGTATTGTGTGTGATTGTGTGGTTAATTTTAGCATATATGCTATGTGGTGATGAGAAGAATGTATATTCTGTTGTTTTGGACTGGAGAGTTTTATAGATGTCTTTCAGGTCTATTTGATCCAGTGCTGAGTTCAGGTTCTGAATATCTTTGTTAATTTTCTGCCTTGATGATTTGTCTAATACTGTCAGTGGGGTGTTGAAGTCTTCCACTATTATTGTGTGAAAGTCTAAGTCTCTTTGAAGGTCTCTAAGAACATGCTTTATGAATCTGGGTGCTCCTGTGTTGGGTGCACATATATTTAGGATAGTTAGGTCTTCTTATTGAATTGAACCCTTTACAATTATGTAATGCCTTTCTTTGTATTTTTTTATCTTTGTTGGCTTAAAGTCTGTTTTGTCTAAAATTAGGATTGCAACCCCTGTTTTTTCCTGTTTTTCATTTGCTTGGTAGACTTTTCTCCATCCCTTTATTTTGAGCCTATTGCTGTCATCAAATGTGAGATGGGTCTCTTGAAGACAGCATACTAATCAGTCTTGGTTCTTTATCCAATTTGCCACTCTGTGCCTTTTAATTGGGGCATTTAGTCTGTTTACATTCAAGGTTAGTATTGATATGTGTGGATTAGATCCTGTCATCATGATGTTAGCTGGTTATTATGTAGACTTGTTTGCGTGGTCACATTATAGTGTCACTGGTCTGTGTACTTAAATGTGTTTTTGTAGAAGCTAGTAACGGTCTTTCCGTATTTAGTGATTCCTTGAGGAGCTCCTGTAAAGCAGGTCTGGTGGTAATGAATTCTCTCAGCATTTGTTTGTCTGAAAAGAATCTTATTTCTCCTTTCCTTATTAGGTTAGTTTGGCCAGATATGAAGTTTTGAGTTGGACTTTCTGTTTTTTAAGAATGTTGAGGCTGGGCATGGTGGCTCACACCTGTAATCCCAGCACCTTGGGAGGTCGAGGTGGGCAGATCACTTGAGCTCAGGAGTTCAAGACCAGCCTGGGCAACATGGCAAAACCCTGCCTCTACAAAAAGTACAAAAAATTAACTGGGCATGATGGTGTGTGCCTGTAATTCCAGCTACTCAGAAGCCTGATGTGGGAGGATGCCTTGAGCCCAGGAGTTTGAAGCTACAGTGATCCACTGACTCTGTTGAAATGAGAAAGAAGAAAGAGAAAGAAAGAAAGAAAGAAAGAAAGAAAGAAAGAAAGAAAGAAAGAAAGAAAGAAAGAAAGAAAGAGAAAGAAAGAAAGAAAGAAGGAAAGAAAAGGGAGGGGAGGGGAGGGGAAGGAAAAAGAGGAAGGGAGGAAGGGAGGGAGGGAGGGAGGATGGAAGGAAGGAAGGAAGTTAGGAAGGAAAGAAGGAAGAAAGGAAGGAAGAGAGGGAAAGAGAGAGAGAAAGAATGAGCTTCAAAGAAAAGCTGTAGTTGTTTTGGACTGTGCCCTCAGACTCCCCCACTGCAATGATCACCTTTGGGGTATTCATATTCACCCCCATGTGGGGGAAGGGTTCCCAAGAAGGAAAATTTGAAGGTGATTTCCCAGATTCAAGAGCTCAGCTGTTGGAACCTGCTGGGCCTCCCGGACATCTCCTCAGCTGCAAAGGCTCTTGAGTGTCCTGAGGTAGGTGGGGCTGGCTGGGGACTGCACAGAGGAAGAGCTCACCTGCCCTCCAGGCCCTGAGCCCCAGCCCCGCAGACCCACTAGCCTTCTGCGTCTGGTCTTCCGGTTTGTGTCAAAGGGCCACAGGTCCCAGCCATATTTGGCCCAAGTGCCAGCAGGACACTCTCCTTCAAATGTCACCAGGACTTCTTCCCAGGTGTAGTGGGAAAGAAAAGCTTTCCCTTCACCTTTGGAAGGTTCACTAAAAGATCAGCTCACAAAAGGCAGATTAATTGGAGAAAAGACATACAATGTTATTTGATCATAGTTTTATGTGACACAAGAGCCTTCAGAATGAAGACCCAGCCCCACGATGGGGTGCAGAAGCTTATCTACTGCCTTGAGGACGAGGGAAGGCTGGGCTGCATCAATGCAGATTCTCTGCAGATGCAAATCTCTCCCCAAAAGACAGCTTTGCAGATCCACTTCTGTTTGCTGGCCCTCTGACACCCAACTCGAAATATGTCTAAGAAAAATATCTTGATTTCTTTTCCAGGAGAGGGAGTGGGAAATTAGGGGAGGGCAGGGGCCAGGCTAGAAGAGGAGCTGTTCTTTCCTAGGATGAGGGATAGGGAGAGGAACTTCCCCAAGGTCCTCTGAATTAGGGGAAGCAAGGGAAGTCCCGTCCCCAACATGGGTGTCCCCAAGTTTCTGCCAGGGGGATATGCCTCAGCCTTTGCTAGCTCTGAGCCCCGTCCTGGCCTGCCCCAGGGCTCAGGGCAAGACCCAGGGCAGGTGCAGTGGTGACGGCCACAGGTCTCCCTCCTCGAGGGCCCACTCCAGCTGCTCCTCTCACCAGGCCTGTGTTGCAGGGAGGCCGCTCTGAAATGGTGCTGGGTTCTGAAGTTAATAAATGTTGACATTTAGCAAGTGGGAGCTGTAGGGGTGTTTTATTGGTGTTAACGTGATGTTTGCAGGATTAGCGACTCCCCAAATTGTTCTCTGGAATAGAGCAAGTGAAGGCAGAATGGATCTCCTCTCCCCCACCACTCAACTTAGGATTTGATTAAAAGCTCCTTCCCACTGGTAGAGACAGGATTGAATTAGTGGGCTCTTTTCCTGTGCCTGAGGTCTAGGAAGGGAGGCCTCAGGAAGGGGATGCTTGTTCTCTCTGCCCTGCTTCCTTGGCATCCCTTCCTGGGAGCCATGGGTGCCCAAGCATGATACCCCAAACTTCTGTCTGTACACCCTCGCCTCCCTCACACCTGAGTTCCAGAAGCTTCTTCAGAGAGGAAGGGTCTCAGGAGGCCTGGCTGGCTTACATTTCTCTGGCCTGACCACAAAGAAAGAACCCTGTGGAGACATGTGGGGGCTGCAGGAGCAGCAAGGGGCCTGTGAGGTTGTCCAGCTCTTGGCAACTCAAGGTTAGCAACTTGAGGGCTCTAAGCAGGCCCCAGGAAACTCAGCCACTCTCATGGGGCTTGCAGTTTTGGTGATGCTCTCCCTCATATTTAAAGACTTTCCAGCCAGGCCCTCCCCATGCCCCAGCCTGTCCCTTTCTGGTCAGGACAGCACCTCCTCAGACCCTGGCTTACCCCTTGGTGCTGCCCTTGTGTCTAGCTGTGTTCTCCCATTTGGGCTCACCAGGTGCCCAGGCTTATCCTTGGGCCCCTGGCTGAGTCTCCTCTGAGCATCACCCTCCGTCACCTCCATGCTGGGTCCTCTAGGGAGGACCATCCACAGCCTTTCCTGAAGGCCAAGCTCTAGGCCTGCTCAGGTCTGCCATGAGGAGCCCCATCCCCACCTTGGAGGGATGTCTGTGTGTGTGTGTGTGTGTGTGTGTGTGTGTGTGTGTGTGTGTGTGTGTGAATGTAGCCACAGGTGCGTGCACACGCATGATGATGCACGTACTTCAACATATGTATCAGCTCTCAGCTTTCTAGATACTGGAGACCAGTCCCAAGAGGGTCCAGAACCCAGTCCTGCTGTGCCTCAGTGCAGCCTGTGTCATGCCTCTGATGGCTACCAGGAAGGGAGCAGTGACCCTCACCTGGCATTGAGCTCTGGGCTTTACATGCACCATTCTATTTAATGCTTGTAACAAGCTGATATAGTTTGGCTCTGTGTCCCCACCCAAATATCACCCTGAATTGTAATAATCCCCACCTGTCAAGGGTGGGGCCAGCTGGAGATAACTGAATCATGGGGGTAGTTTCCCCCATACTGTTCTCGTGATAGTGGATAAGTTTTATGAGACCTGATGGTTTTATAAATGGGAGTTCCTCTGCACAAGCTCTGTTGCCTGACACCATGTAAGACGTGCCTTTGCTTCTTCTTTGCCTTCCACCATGATCGTGAGGCCTCCCCAGGCCATGTGGAACCGTGAGTCCATTAAACCTCTTTTCTTAATAAATCACCCAGTCTTGGGTATGTCATTATTAGCAGCATGAGAACAGACTAATACACAACCCAATGAGAAAGCTACTGCAAGTACTCCCATTTCACAGCTAAGAAACAGAGGATCCACCCAAGGTAGCAGAAAGCAACTGGCCAACTTGGGGGTTGCCCTGGGTCTGTCTGACCCCACTACTCACAGTCAATCTTCTCCATTGCCTCTGACTGGGGGCAGGCTGGGCTCATGCCTGGGGGCAGTGAACAGTGTCCGTAGATGGCCCCCTATCACTTCCTCCCCCATCAGTTCACAAAGTGTCCCCACACATGTCATCTTCCAGACCACAGTCCTCACTCCATCCTTAGAGTCCCACCCTCTCGGACTGGTGCCAGGGTGCTGCACATGGTGGACACCACATACCCCACCACAGAAAACCGAGAACTTATTTTTTTTTTTTTTTTTACTTTTTAATGGAAAATTTCAGAAACTAGTATAGTGAACTCTTATGTACCCATCACCCAGCTTCAAAAATTATCAACATTTGCTAATCTTATTTCATCTATTCTCCCCCATGCACTTTTTTCCTGAAGATGTTAAGCAAATCTCAGACATTATTTCATTTCACCTGTAAATATTTCACTGTGCATAAGGACTTCTTTTCCCTTAACCTAATTACACCATTAACTCACCTAACAAAATGAGCAATGTCTTTTTAATATTATGTAATACTCTATGTTCAAATTTCTCCAGTTGCCTGATAAATAGCTTTTCACAGTTGATTTGTTCAAATTGGGATCCAGGCCAGGTGTGGTGGCTCATGCCTGTAATCCCAGCACTTTGGGAGGATGAGGTGGGCAGATCACTTGAGGTCAGGAATTGGAGACCAGCATGGCCAACATGATGAAACTCCATCTCTTCTAAAAATACAAAAATTAGCCTGGCATTGTGGCAGGTGCCTGTAGTCCCAGCTACTCAGGAAGCTGAGGCAGGAGAATTGCTTGAACCCGGGAGGCAGAGGTTGCAGTGAGCCAAGATTGCACCACTGCACTCTGGCCTGGGAGACAGAGCGAGATTCTGTCTCAAAAACAAAACAAAACAAAACAATACAAGTCGAGATCCAAACGAGGCCTGTCCATTGCATTGGGTTGATGTCTCCTGAGTCTTTAACTGCCCCGACTTCTTCACCCCACTCCCTCCTGCCTCCACCACCTTAAATAGGTCATTGTCCTGTGAAATGTCCCACATTCTCAGTGACTGATTGCATTCTCATGATGTTATTTAACATCCTCTTCAGTCTCCCTAAAGATCTTTACAGAAGTATAAAATGGTTATATTATTCCCCTGCTTGAAACCCTTCTACAGCTTCCTGTTGCCCTGAAAAGAAAATCCATACCCTTTTCTTGGCCTTTGCAAGGACTTGCCCTTATGATCGGTCAAACCTCACCTCCCACCTCTCCACCCTCTGTCCTGTCCCCTCAGCTTTGCTCCAGTGCCCTCTGTCTCCTTTCCCTACTTTGAAACTGTAACCGGTGGAGGGTTTTGACTATGAGTTGTCCAGGTTCTTGGCATTTTGAACAAAGAATTGGACAAAATGCTGTAACAAAGCAATGGAAGAATAAAGCAATGAAAACATAGATTTATTGAAATGAAAGTACACTCCACAGAGTGGGAGTGGGCTCGAGAAGGGGGCTCAAAAGCACTGGTTACAGAATTTTCTGTGGTTTAAATACCCTCTAGAGGTTTCCCATTGATTTCTTGATTTACATCCTATGTAAATGAAGTAGTGGCCTGCAACCAGTCTGATTGGTTGTGGAAGGTGACCAGTCAGAGGCTGAACTGAAGTTACAAAGTTATACCCCTATGCAAACATCCAATTGGTTGTGGGAGGGGACCAATGAAAGCCTGAAGTGAAGTTACAAAGTTATACCCCTATGCAAATGCAGACTAGGCCTGTGACCAGTCTGATTGGTTGTGGGAGGGGACCAATCAGAGGTACTTTCCATTTCTCACCTGGGACACAAAAAGATGGAGGGTTGCAAAGGGAGTAACCTTTTGTTACTTTTGTTCTTTTGTTACTTTGGTGTGGAGTGTTGGGGTTTTCCTTTTGACTTAGTTTTAGGAAGTCAGTGTAATTGGCCTTAGGTTCCCTGCCTCCGGACCCTGTTCTCCTGCCTCAAAACCACAGGCTGCTTGCTGCCTCTGAGCCTTACAGAGTGTTTTTTCTGCCACAGACGCCACTCTTTCCCACCTCTGCCAGCAGCCACCAGCCATCTCTTCCTAATTGCCAGCTCTCCCATTAAAGTGCCCTCCCCAAGCAGTGGCCTGGCCGCCCCGCTTCAGTAGATCCCCTCCCCTAGTTGCCTCCCAGCTTAATCTTTTTTTTTGTATCCATTGTGCTTCTCAAAATTTGTAGTTGTTCTTATCTATTTGTTTCTTTTTAAAGTGTTTAACTGCCTTCTCCCCTCTCTGCCACCAAGAATGTAGGCTTCATGAGGACAAGGCTGTGTCTGTCTGGTATCTCTGAGACCTACGGCAAGGTTTGTAACATAATATTAATAGATGCCCAAGTATTTGTTGATTGATAGGATAAATGGAAGGGAGGGAGGAAGAAGAAGAGGTTTGTCTTTCCAAGAGTTCGCTATCTGGTTAGGGAAGCAGGAAAACAAAGAGAATAGAAGACCTTTCAATCAATCGATTAATATCTATTAAGCACTAACTAATAACCACCACACTTTTCCAGGCATACAGGGAATATCTTAGGTGTTAATAGTATTATGTTAAAATATAAACTGGTACACTCTAAGTGCTCCAGAGCCTGGGCGAGGGGTTTGGGTGGGAGAATATTGAAGAGGCCTGAAGGCTCTTTCCTTCCTGGAGGGCTTCAAGGGGGAGGCCATCTTGAACTGAGCCTCCATTCATAAAAAGCCCTCCCATTTCCATAGGACCCTAGGATTCCAAAGAATGCTTGTGACAATTCTCACCTTTATAGAGAGAAGGAAGTTGAGACTTGGCCATTTTCCCAGGTCCCACAGCTAGCAGGTGACAGAAGTGGGAGTCAAGCACAAACGTTGTGGCCCCTCCCCGCTCCATGCTGAGTGGACAGGCACAGGGAGGAGGAAGGCAGATGGTAGGCAGGCACAGAACCAGCAGGGGCCCAGGAGGGTGCCTCGGGAGGTGAGAACTGTACTTCCAGCCCAAAACTGTAGACCCAACCTCCACCTCCCAGATTCAAGTGATTCTCCTGCCTCAGCCTCCTGAGTAGCTGGGATTACAGGTGCCCACCACCACACCCGGCTAATTTTTGTATTTTTAGTAGAGATGGGGTTTCACCGTATTGGCCAAGCTGGTCTCAAACTCCTGACCTCAGGTGATTCTCCTGCCTTGGCCTCCCAAAGTGCTGGGATTACAGGCGTGAGCCACCACGCCCGGCCGATCCCTACCATTTTATTAAGTCTTCCTTTAGCTTAAAAAATATTTTTGGTCTTACTTACTTTTCTTCTTTTTTATTTTTGCTTTTACACGCAAGTAGGGAGACAGCAGAATCACAAAGGAGAGGCCAAGAGGGAGGTTCCCGGGCTAATGAGGCTGGATCTTGAGGCCGGGGACCCCAGGGCATGAGCTTTGGCCGCAGAATGGTCCTCCAGGAAAGGCTGCCATTCCCACTTTAAAATGACTCATTACAGTAACACAGAGATTCACAGGGCAAATGACTCTCACAGAGAAGATAAGATTCGCCCCTCCATAGCCCAGAGGGCTTACCATAACAGGGCTTTTAACTTATTTCTGGGAGAGCAAGTGACATCTTTATGAAACCATTTTGACATGAAGATACTTGATGTGGCCTCTAAAGCAGCCATTAAACTTATAGTTTGCTCTTACTGCCAAGTTACAGCAAAGCAGACTCCTCACCCCATCCCCAAATCCCACCCTAGGGGCACAGGGAGAGGCAAGCATCTCTATAGCAAACAGTTCTGGATAATAAGCCACCATCAAAATGTCTCCTGTGTCAAACTTGAGGGGTCAAAACATTCTTTCATTCAAATGTTTGGGGTTTTGGTTATTTAGACATATGAATGCTCTTTAAAAGCACAGTGCTGTTTGTGTTTTTGAAATTTAAACAAATGGATTCCTGGTATCAATTCCATTCTGTGTCTTACATTTCTTCCTTCTGGATTGCCTGTGAGATCTTCCCAGTTGCTCAATGAAGACCCAGTTCATTACTTCTGACGGCTGCGTGGTATTCCACCCTACACAAACATGTTTTATTTACCCATCCCCTAGTGAAAGACACCAGGCTGACACAGATCCAGACCAGCAGGACTGTCTCATTTTTGTACACGTCTCTCATGGGCCTCTGTGCAACTCTCTGAAGCTGTGCGCCAAGGATAAGTACCAGTGATGGGGAAGGTTCACGCATAATTTTTTTTTTTTTTTTTTTTGAGACCAGGTCTCGCTCTATCGCCCAGGCTGGAGTGCAGTGGCATGATCTCTGCTCACTGCAGCCTCCGCCTCCCGATGCGTAACTATTAATAATACAGGTTTCTCTGCAACCTGCTTGTCCTGGTTCACATTTCCTAACAACAGGGACTGAAATGTTTTCCCTTTCCCACTTCCTCACTAGTACTCGATATGATTCCAATTTTCTAATTTTTGCCAATCTAAGGGGTTAAAATGGTACTTTTTTCTTTTTTTTTTTTTTTTTGTAGAGACGGGGTTTCTCCATGTTGAGGCTAGTCTCGAACTCCTGACCTCAGGTGATCTGCCCGCCTCGGCCTCCCAAAGTGCTGGGATTATAGGCGTGAGCCACCGTGCCTGGCCAAAATGGTACCTTCTTATTTTAATTTGAATTAAAGAGATTGGGCAATTCTTTTTACAGTTATTAGCTATTCAATTGTCCACTTCAGTGAATGGCTGATTGAAATCCTCTTCCTTTTTTCCCGCCATTGGATTAATGTGTTTTTCTTATGGATTTGCTTTTATTTATAGAAGCTGGAGCATAAACCGTTGTCAGTTTTAGACTTTTCAAAATATCCACTTTCAGCGGGGCACAGTGACTCATGCCTGTAATCTCAGCACTTTGGGAGGCCAAGGTGGGTGGATCACTTGAGGTCAGGAGTTTGAGACCAGCCTGGCCAACATGGTGAAACCCCCTCTCTACTAAAAAAATACAAAAAAAAAAAAAAAATCAGCCAGGTGTGGTGGCAAGTGCCTGTAGTCCCAGCTACTTGGGAGGCTGAGGCACGAGAATCGCTTGAAGCCAGGAGGTGGAGGTTGCAGTGAGCTGAGATCACACCACTGCACTCCAGCCTGGGTGACAGAGCCAGACTCTGTCTAGAAAAAACATTTAAAAATCCACTTTCACTCTGTCATCCCACTGTTAACTTTGTTTATACTGGTTGTCATTTGTCTTTTTTTTTTAACAGAAATCTCTAACGTTGATGTAATCAAATCCATTTATTTTGTGTCTAATGGTTTGTGTATTTTTTTATTTTTAATCTTTTCAAAGAAATATTAACTTGAATCTTGACTGATAAAGAAAAAAAGAATAAAAAAATACTAACTCTGAGGTTCAGAGTTATTTTTATTTTTAGTTATTTATCTATTTATTTTTTGAGACAGGGTCTTGCTCTGTTGCCCAGGCTGGACTACAGTGGTGCAGTCTTGGCTCACTGCAGCCTTGACCTCCCAAGTTCAAGCGATCCTTCTACCTCAGCCTCCCAAGTAGCTGGGACTACAGGTGTGCCACAACACCTAGCTAATTTTTTTTTTTTTTGGTTGAGATGGGGTGTCATCATTTTGCCCAGGCTGGTCCTGAACTCATGGGCTCGAGAGATCCACCTGCCTTAGCCTCCCAAAGCACTGGGAATACAGGCCTGAGCCACCATACCTGGCCAGAGTTATTTTTAATACATTTTCTTTTATTAATATTATTGTTTATAATTTTACTTTTCGCATTTAGGTCTTTCTCCAGTTGGATTTTTTTTAAATGTTGTATCAAGTAGGAGCCCAACTTAACTTCTTTCCAAAACTGTGAACCGCTCTTCCTGACACTCTGTACTAAGCAACTCATCCTTCCCTCACTGATTTGTGATGTGTCTATCCCGTGCTGCATTCCCTTGTAGTTTTTAAATTCAGACTTGTTTTTGTTTACTAAATTTATATATGCATGTCTACATCTGTCCCTAGTCTCTTACACTGTTTCTTCAGCCTGTTTATCCCTATGCCAATTACACACTGCTTTTACTATTATGACCTTGTCATCATAGTTTGATTATCAGCAGAACAAATGTTGCCTCTTTGTTTTTCCTTTAAAATTGGATTTGCTATTTGTGGATCTCAATTCTTCTCTACAAATTTTATAATCAAGTTGTTTAATTCTCCAAAAACCCTCCTGGAATTTAATTAAATGTAGAAATTCATTTGGGGCTAATAGGCATCTTTCCAAGATTAAATCATCTCAAACATGGATATAGTACTTCTATTTATTTAGGTCTTTTATATAATGGCCTTTAGTAAAGTTTACTTTTTTTTTTCCTTTATGCTCTTGGGCCTTCTTTGTTATGTTAATTCTTAGGAACTTTGTGGTCTTCATTGCCATTATCAGAGGCAAGTTTATTCTCCTTTCCAGGATCCTGGGAGGGGCTAGAAAAGTGCCTCTATCATTGTAAAAGTAAAAGTAAAGTATTTTAACTACAATTTAAAAAGTAAAGTATTTTACTTTTAATTAAAAAGTAAAGTATTTTAACTACAATTGGTTAAGGCTGCTGTCTCTTTCCATCCCAAGTTCCCCTCCATAACATCTCCCCTAAACGTCGGACAGCACTGGAGTGATCACAAGTGCTTTGGAGCTCCAGCTAAGAGGAATTTGAGATGGGGATACACTAACTTGGGGTTGATGGGATGTATTTATGTGCCTCAGGATCACATCCAAGTCTCGTTAAGTCACGGCTAGATGTCTTGGTGTCAGAGTGACTTTCAGAAATTCCTGGAATTCATTCCAGCCACTCTCCTGACTCACTGGATATCTGAACATAAAAGTGCAAAGATAGCATTTAATTTTTTTAATGTTGCTTTTCTGTTGTCATGCTCATTATATTTTTCAGTTTTTAGAAATTATAATTAGTTGTGATTTCTATCTCTAAATAAACATTTATTTTATACCTAATTTGAATCTGTAGTTTTATTTTATTTTTCTGAAAGACAGCTCCCCAAATTGCACAATCTTCCACTCCTCCAAACTCGGATTTGAGCCAGGCCTGGTGGGTCACACCCATAATTCCAGCACTTTGGGAGGCTGAGGCAGGCAGATCTTTTGAGGTGAAGAGTTTGAGGCCACCCTGGACAACATAGTGAGATCCTGTCTCTATTAAAAGAAAAAAAAAAGACACCTGGATTTGTCCATGGATATTATCAATGATATTAATGTTTTCTGTATTCAAATTTCTATTTTGATTTAGAATCCGGCAACCTTACTAAACTCTCTGAATAGTCCTAAAAGTTCATCTGTTGACTTGTTTGGGTTTTCTCATTAAATTATTGTATCATCTGCAAATAGTGACTATTTTATCTTTATTTCTAATATAATATATATATATTAATACAGGGTCTTGCTCTGCCACCCAGGCTGGAGTACAGTGGCACCACCTCGGCTCACTGCAACCTCCACCTTCCGAGCTCAAGCGATCTTCCCACCTCAGCCTCCCGAGTAGCTGGGATTACAGACTACAGGCACATACTACCATGCCCAGCTAATTTTTGTATTTTTTGCAGAGATGGGGCTTTGCCATATTGCCCAGGCTGGTCTCCAACTCCTGGGCTCAAGCAATTTGCCCACCTCAGCCTCCCAAAATGCTGGTATTACAGGCATGAGCTACCACACCTGGCACCAATATTATATTTTTCATTTCTTTTTCTTGACATATTGCATGGGTCATGACCTTCATTATTCTGTTGAACAGCATAGCAGTGACAGTGGATGTTACTTTCTTGTTCCCGACCTTAATAAGAATACATAAAAAGTGTCTTCTTTAAGCATGATGTTTGCTGCAGGGTTTTGTTAGCTAATTTTTATGAAGTTAAGAAAGCTCCTAGTTTCCTTAGAGTTTTTTAAAAGCTCAACTTTTAGTGTTGAACTTTATCAGAAGTTTTTTGCATCCGCTCAGGAGACCCTATAATTTTTCTCTTTTATTCCTTTAAATCAGGGTTGACAAAATGTAGGCTGTAGACCAAATTGGGTTGCTGCCTGTTTTTCACAATGCTTAACTGGAACAGAGCCACACCCATCATTTACATATTGTTTATGGCTGCTTTCACACTACAGTGGAAGAGTTGCATAAGGAGACAGACACCAGCTAGCCCACAAAGCCTAAATGATTTATTATCTGGCCTTCAACAAGAAAAACTTGTCTAACTTCTGCTTTAAAGTGATGGATTACATTGATATACTATACTTTCTAATACTGAACTACTTTCACATTACTGAAATAAATCCTTTCCATTCAGTCTATTTTTTTCATTGTAGCATAAACTACTTCAGGAAATTACACAAATCTTAGATGTACAACTTGATGAATTTCTACATATGTATACACATTTAAATATCACTCAGACCAAGATTCTGAGTATTTCCAGCAATATAGTAGGCTTTCTCATGCTCTCAGCCAGTTTACACTGCCAACCCTCTCACCCTCAAGGTAACAATTCTGAACTCCCTCGCTACAAATCCATTTTCCTATCTTAAAATTCTTAGGAATGGAATCATATAGTATGTGGTCTTGTGTGACTGACTTTTTCACTGAACAGTAAGGATCCAATTATACTATGTATGTCAGTAGTTAGATGTTTCATGTTATTTAGTATTATATTATTTGAAAAATTATGTATTAAAAATAGTTTTAGATTCAGTTGATACCTTACTGAAGCTTTTTATACCTATATTTGTAAATAAAAGTGGCCTAGGCCGGGTGCAGTGGCTCACGCCTGTAATCCCAGCACTTTGGGAGGCCTAGGCGGGCGGATCACAAGGTCAGTGGTTTGAGACCAGCCTGGCCAACATGGTGAAACCCCGTCTCTACTGAAAATACAAAAATTAGCTGGGCGTGATGGCGGGCACCTGTAATCCCAGCTACTCGGCGGGGCTGAGGCAGGAGAATCGTTTGAACCCAGAAGGCGGAGATTGGGTTGCAGTGAGCCAAGATCATGCCATTGCACTCCAGCCTGGGCAACAAGAGCGAAACTCCATCTCAAAAAAAAAAAAAAAAAAAAAGGGGGCCTAACATTTCCTTTTTATATTGTATCTTTTTCTTTTTTGGAATCAAGTTTATACAAGTTATATCAAGTTCATGAAACAGCCTGAACAGCTTTCCTTCTTTTCTATTTCTGCAACAATTTGTGTTACATACCAATTAGTTGGGTTTTTTTCTTCCTCTACCTCAGCTTTATTGAGGTATAATTGGAATATGAAACACTGAACATATATAATGTGCATAATTAGCTGTCTCTTCAAATTTTGGTAGACCTTACCTATAAAATATCCTGAGCCTTTGGACTTTCAAGGTGGCAGGGAGATTTTTATAATTACCATTTAAATCTGTCTATTTTGCTATTAGTTTTCTGTTTATCTTGTATCAATTTCAGCATTATATATTTTCCAGAAATTTGTGCATTTCATCTAGGTTTCCAATGTATATAGTTGTATATGTGTATAATTTTTCTAGTATTATTTTATGTTTTAAAATATTAGTTTTAGCCCCTGTTTAATTCTGTAGTTTGGTTATTTGAAATGCTCTCTTGTGTTCTTGATGTTTCTTTTATCAGCATTTTTAAGAAGTTTATTTTGTGAGTGTTTTCAAAAAAAATTTGTTTTTACTCATCATTCTTATTGTTTTTGTTTTTCTTGATATCGTTCTCTACTTCATCAACTTCTGCTCTTACCTTGTCATTTCCCCTTTTCTTGTTTGTTTGGGCCTTCTCTTCCAGGTTTGAGTACATATTTCTTTTGTTTTCAGCCTTTTTTGTTTTCTGAGAGATTTACTTAAAGCTATAAATTTTCCTGTTGCTATGCTTTAGCAGTATTGTTGACATGTAGAGTTTTTTTTGACATTCAATTCTAAGTAATTCATAATTTCCGTTAAGATTCCCTCTTTAATCCAAAGGCCAGAAAGTAGTATGTTTTTATTTTTCAGACATAGAAGATATTTTGGCTATTCTTTTCATCTCTTCCCACCTCCTGTCTCTCTCGACTACTATCATGTTGATATTATTTGGATTTTTGCTTTAGATGTGATATATATGCATCATTTATTCAAGCATCAATAAAATTTAATAAGTTCTTTTCCTTGTTTTTTCTTTTATTTATTTATTTATTTATTTTGAGACAGAGTTTCACTCTTGTTGCCCAGGCTGGAAAGCAATGGTGTGATCTTGGCTCACTGCAACCTCCGCCTCCCAGGTTCAAGCGATTCTTCTGCCTCAGCCTCCCAAGTAGGTAGGATTACAGACGTGTGCCACCATGCCCGGCTCATTTTGTATTTTTAGTAGAGACGGGGTTTCTCCATGTTGGTCAGGCTGGTCTCGAATTCCCGACCTCAGGTGATCCACCCGCCTTGGCCTCCCAAAGTGCTGGGATTACAGGCTTGAGCAACCGCACCCGGCCAATAAGTTCTTTTCCAATCGTATTTTTCTTGTACTACCTCTTAGAGTCACCTTATATTATTATTATTATTATTTTGAGGCAGAGTTTTGCTCACCAAGGCTATAGTGCAGTGGTGCGATACTAGGTCACTGCAGCCTTGATTTCCAGGGCTCAAGCAGTCCTCCCACCTCAGCCTCCTGAGTAGCTGGGACTACAGGAGTGCACCAGCCCACTTTTTTTAAATTGCTAAAATACATTTTTCATGCAATCTTTGTGCCTGCAAATAACTTTACTTTGGCTTCGTATTTAAATTAATATTTAGCAGTGTTATGGAATCTTTGGGGTATCATTTTTCTGGCCAGAAACCTCTGTGGCCAGTGGCACCTTTGCCCAAGTTTTGTTCAAGAATGCTGGGCCTGTTTCACCCTCTTGGCCTGGTGGGCTGTGCTCAGCTCATGCTACTGGTCTGGGTCCCATGCCTGCCAAGAGCAAGTCAGGCGTGGAATGGTGAAAGGTGTGTGAGCGAGTATGGGGTCCAGCCACTGCTCACAGTCAGACATGCCAGCTGCTGCAGTGGGGTGAGCAGCTCCAGGTGCTGTCATGGGCATCGGCTCCCTACGAGGCTGCAACTGGACCAGGTGCACAGCAAGCAGCTTCCACACTGGCACTGGGGAACACAGTGGCACCTGGACACTTGAAGACACCAGGAATCGCAGGGCCCCAAAGAGACAGTCACAGTCCTGGCTTGGGTAGCTCCCAAGTCTGGGCTACCTGAAGGGCCGCAGCTCTTCTCTTCTTTTCACTCATAATGTGGCAAGCAAGAGGCATGTTTCAGCCCTGTTTGTGTTACAGTTCTTTTAGCCCCACCATTTGATGGGTCCTGAGTTCCTCTCCTGTGACCAGGAAGAATGGGGTACACAGACAAGTGGAGGGTGAGCTAGATGAAGAGGAGCTTTATTGAGTGATAGAACAGCTCAGTCTCCCCCAGGGGGCAGCTCCTTTCCACAGCCAGGGTGTCCCAACAGGTGTTCAGCTCCTAGCAGAGAGGAGATCCTGGAGAGGGAAACTCTTCTCTGCAGGCAGGTCATCCAGTTGTCTCTGCAGCTGTCAGCAGAGAGGAGGCCCTGAAGTGGGTTGCTTCCCTCTGCAGCTGGTCGTCAGACATCTTCTCAGCTCTGGCTGAGCCTGGGGCTTTTATGGGCCTCAGAGGGGAGGAAGTGCATGCTGATTGGTCCATGAACGACCATAGGCAGGTGGAAAAGGCACCTCAAGCTCCCACTGCAGTCCACAGGACTGGCAGCCCAGCCTTTAGCCTTCAGGCCGTCCCTGGCCTGAAGGTGGGGGCCCCACTGGGGAACCACCCCCTTCTGCCCAGGAACCTGTCTGCCTCCTGCTGCCTTTCATGGCGCCCAGGCTGTTTGTGCCAATGGATGCCTACAGGCCAGTGCCAAGCTGCCCTCACCACCCCCTTGGCTTCCCTCCCATGCTCATTGATGCCCAAAGTCCAGAAGGGGCCAAGGTGGCAGAGGGCTGGTATGTCAGCACTGCCCCAAGCATGTGCACACCCAGCTGGGCTGTGACAACACCCAGACTTGGCCCCGACCTTGCTCCAAGATGGGAGCCAGCACTGACAGCGGGGAGAAGCAAGGCAGCAGGAGTAGGCACTTCCAAGCCTGCAAGGGCAGAGGGGGTGGCGAGGTCTTCTTGGGCCCCTAAGAGCATATGGAGGCCTAAGTTCACAACCCCAACTTGGGCAGCTGCAGCTGCACCTGGGAGGGCAGGGCTGCTGCCTGCTTCTGGCTCCAGCCAGCTCTGTGGAGCATGCAGCCCTGGCCATGCCCCCCTGGCAGCCTGGGGCAAGGGCTGCAGTCCTCACTGAGCCCAGGCCAGAGTTCAGGGCAGGGGCGGCATCACCACAAGCTCCCAGCATTGCCCTGGTGCTCAGGGGCAGCCCGAGGCAAAGTGGATCTCGGGACCTGGGCCCAGCCAACTGGAGTGTCAGGCTTGGTGGTCTCCCATCACAGGGTGGACCCCAGAGACACAGACCAGGCGGCCCCTGGTGGCCCCTCACAGAGCCTCCTCCTGAGGCACAGGAACCTGGCATCCTTGGGGTATGGGTACAGTGGCTGTGCCGCTGGCCGGTCCCCAAAGCAGGTGCCACTCCTACTTTCCTCCCCAGACCCTGAAGCACGGCCCCGGCTATGCACCCCAGGCCTGGTCCCCCACCCCCACCCCCACCCCACTCTGTGTGCAACCACAGCACTGGCCCCAGCCCAGCTCTGCCTCAGGGCCTCCCTCTTCTCAAGGTGGTGGGCTGTGAGGGGGCTATCTGCCTCCTCCCAGCACCCTCCCTGCAGCAGCCAACATGACGGCAGCAGCTGCTCCAGACAGTCCACCACTGCTATCAGCGGTATATAAAATTCTAGGTTCAAATTCTTTTTCCCCAACAGTTTCTAGATATTGCTTATTATTTCAGTGTCCATTTAATTCTCCTTATTTGTAGGTGATATTTTTTTTTGGAAGCTTTCTGTCTTTGTTTTTGATGTGCTTAAATTTTACTTTAGTACCAGCAACAAGCAGAATTTGAAATTAAACATACAATATCATTTACATCCGCACTCAAAAAAATGAACTACTTAGATATAAATCTTTCTCTATATATGATATATATGATAAGAATTATAAAACTCTGATGAAAGAAATCAGAAAGCTAAATAAATGGAGATATATTCCATGTTCATGAATAGGAAAACTCAATATTTTCAAGTGGTCCATTCTTCCCAACTTGATCTATAGTTCACTGCAACCCAGTTAAAATCCAAGTAAGTTATTTTGTGGAGATTGACAAACTGATTCTAGAGTTTATATGGAGAGGCAAAAGACCCAGAATAGCCAACATGATATTGAAGGAGAAAAACAAAATCAGAGAACTGACACAATCTTACCTCGAAACTTACTATAAACCTACAGTAATTAAGACAGTGTGGTATTGGTAAAAGAAGAGGTAACTAGATCAACAGAATAGAATAGTGAGCAGGACATAGACCCACATAAATGTAGTTAACTGATTGTTGATAAAGGAGGAAAGGCAATATAATGGAGACAATTTAGCCTTTTCAACAAATAGTGCTAGAACAACTGGACACTCCCATGCCAAAAAAAAAAAATCTAGACACATTCACAAAAATAGCCTTCATGAAAATTAACTCAAAATGGATCACAGAAACTATAAAACTCCTAGAAGATAACATAGGAGAAAATTTAGATGACCTTGAATTTGGTGATGACTTTATAGATATAACACCAAAGCCACAACCCATGAAAGAAATAATTAATAATCAGGGGTACATTAACACTGAAAACTTCTAGGCTGGGCACAGTGGCTGATGCCTGTAATCCCAGCACTTTGGGAGGCCTAGGTGGGTGGATCCCTTGAGGTCAGGAGTTCGAGACCAGCCTGGTGAAACCTCATCTCTACTAAAAATACAAAAATTAGCCGAGCATAGTGATGCATGCCTGTAATCCCACTTATTCAGGAGGCTGAGGCACAAGAATCATTTGAACCCAGGAGGCACAGGTTGCAGTGAGCCGAGATCACACCACTGTACTCCAGCCTGGGTGACAGAGTGAGACTCCATCTCAAAAAATATATATATTTAAAAACTTCTAAGCTGGAAGTAGGACACATCCATTGTCCCAGTTACTCCAGAGAGGTAGGAGGCTCGCTTGAGCCCAGAAGTTTGAGACCAGCCTGGGAGATATAGGGAGACCCCCATCTCCAGAAAGGAAAAAAAAAAAACTGCTCTGCAAAAGACACTGTCAAGAGAATGAGAAGACAAGACACAGACTGGGAGAAAATATTTGCAAAAGACATATCTGATAAAGGACTACTATCCAAAATATACAAAGAATTCCAAAAAAACACAACAATAAGAAAACAACCCGATTAAAAAATAGGCAAAAGATCTAGACACCTCAGCAAAGAAGATACACAGATGGCAAATAAGCATATTGAAAGATGCTTAGCATCAGATGTCATGAGGAAGTTGCAAATTAAAACAATAATGACATATCATTACACACCTATTAGAATGACCAAATCCAAAACACGGACACCACAAAATGCTGGTGAAAGCAGGGAGTAATGAGAGCTCTCATTCATTGCTGGTGGGGAGGCAAAAATAGAACAGTCACTGTGGAAGACAGTTAGGTGGTTTCTTACAAATTAAACATACTCTTATCGTAAAATCCAGCAAGCCCACTCTTTGGTATTTACCCAAAGGAGGTGAAAACTTATGTCCACAAAAAAATCTGTACACAGATGTTTATAGCAGCTTCATTCATAACTGGTAAAACTTAGAAGCAACCAAAATGTCCTTCAGTAGGTGAATGGATAAACAAACTGTGGTACATCCTGACAATGGAATATCATTCAGTGCTAAAAAGAAATGAGCCATGATCATGCCTGTAACGCCAGCACTTTGGGAGGCCAAGGCAGGCTGATCACCCGAGGTCAGGAGTTCGAGGCTGGCCTGGCCAACATGGTGAAACCCCATTTCTACTAAAAACACAAATATTAGCCGCGCGTGGTGGTGGGCACCTGTAATTCCAGCTACTCAGGAGGCTGAGACAGGAGAATCGCTTGAACATCGGAGGCAGAGGTTGTGGGGAGCTGAGATCATGCCACTGCACTCTAGCCTGTGTGACTCTGTTGAAAAAAAGAAAAAAGAAATGAGCCATGAAAAGACATGGAATAATCTTAAATACATATTACTAAGTGGAATAAGCCAATCTGAAAAGGCTACATAACATAGGAGATGTTTCTTTCAAGAAGGCATTCTTGAAAAGGCAAAACTGTGGAGACAGCAAAAAGATCAGTGGTTGCCAGTGGTTAGGGTAGAGGAAGGAATGAACAGACAGAGCACAGAATATCTGGGGGACAGTGGAATTGTTCTGTGATGCTTCAGTGATGGATATATGTCATTATACAGTTGTCCAAACCCATAGAATGGACAGCACCAACACTGAACCATAATGCGAACTATGGATTTTTGACGATAGTTGTGTGTTGTAAAAAATAGACCACTCTGGTGCTGGGACGCTGATAGTGGTACCAGGTGAGGAGGGCAGGGGGTATATGGGAACTCTGCTCACTTTTGCCATGAACCTAAAATTGCTCTAAAAAATAAAATCTATTAAAAATTTTTAAGAAATTCACTCTAATGTGTCTATATGTAAGGTCTTTTTCCTTTTCTATCTGGTTCAGTACTCCTTTAATACCTTCTGTCTGAGGGCTTATATGTTTCTTTAGTTCTGGAAAATGTTAAGTCACTTTCTTAAAATATTTTCTCCTTTTTGTGTACTCTTTCATCTGTTTCAGAGACTCATTATAGACACATATAAGTATTTATTAGCCTTCTCCTTCCTGGCCTCCACATCTCTTAATTTTTCAATATTCTTTCTCTCTATCCCTGGGAGAGATTCTTTTTTATTATTTTATATTTTATTTTATTTTAGAGATGGGACCTGACTCTGTCACCTAGGCTGAAGTGCACTGGCGCAACCACAGCTTACTGCAGCCTCGACCTCCCAGGCTCAAGTGATCCTTCTGTCTCAGCCTCCAGAGCAGCTGGGATCACAGGTGATCGCCTCGACGCACTTTTTTTTTTTTTTTTTTTTCCTGAGACAGTGTCTTGCTCTGTCATCCAGACTGGAGTGCAGTGGTGCAATCTCAACTCACTGCAGCCTCTGCCTCCCGGGTTCAAGCGATTCTCCTGCCTCAGCCTCCCAAGCAGCTGGGATTACACTGTGCTCCACCACACCTGGCTAATTTTGTATTTTTAGTAGAAACGGGGTTCCACCATGTTCACCAGACTGGTCTTGAACTCTTCACCTTAAGTGATCTGCCAGCCTTGGCCTCCCAATGTGCTGGGATTACAAGCATGAGCCACTGGTCACAGCCTCCACACATTTTTAAATTTTTTTGTAGAGATGGGGTCTCACTATGTTGCCCAGGCTGGTCTCAAACTCTTGGGCTGAAGTGAGTCTTGGCCTCCCAAAGTGGTAGGATGATAGACATGAGCCACCACACCTGGCCAGGAGAGCTTCTTGACTCTAATTTAACCTCATATCCACATAATTAGATTTAGTTGAAATGAACATTTCCCAGATCTGAGTCCCCAACCCCGCTGGTCTCTGTGCCACAGCTGAGGAAGTCAAGAGGGCTAGGGAAATGTTATTTCCAGGACCTGAGCTCCAGGAGCCATTGCCCCATTCCCTCCTTACCTCATTGCCTCATTCAAGAACATTGATTCCTTTTCTTCTCTGTGCCAGGCCCTATCCTGGGTCCTGGAGGCACTTGGGCCCTGAATAAGTCTCCAGCACTCTCATCACTCTCCTCCGCATCTATGATGCCCCAGCCATGCTGGCCCTCTCCCAGCACCTTAAAGATGATAAGCTTGCTCCCCACATAGGGCTCTTCCACTTGCTGTTCCCGGCGCCTGAAGTGACCTCCTACCTCTCCACCCTTCCAATCTCTGCCAATTTTTGTATTGCTGACAAAAATCAAGGCTCAGTTCTCGTCATTCCAGGCTCAGTTCAAATGTTACCTCCTCAAAGGGCCCATCCCTGACCACTTTGTCTACAGCAGTCAACCCTCTGCTCACTCAGCATTACCATCTTTGCTTTCTTTACACACAGCAGTTACCACTGTAGGAAACTACTTAGGGGAGGCTGCCCTAAGCTGCAGTTACAGACGGGAGGGAATGCAAGGTAATGAGAGAGCCACCGTTCATGTCCATTCAGGGTAATCACAGGCTGGGCCCTCTGTGAGCATCTTACATGCACCACCTTATTTCATTTACACAACTCTGTGTAATGTAGACATTACGGTTATACTCATGTCACAGATGAGATGAGCAGCCTGAGACTTAGGGAGCTGAAGTGGCAGGGTGGCAGGGCTAGAGCGTAGTGGAGTCCAGATTGGATCTGAGTCTGTGTGACTCCAGAGCCTATGTTTGTGACAAATACGAAGTGAGAGGAAGGAAGAGGTACCCATCTCTCTGCTTCTCTTGCACGTGGTACATCTGGATATTTGTCTCTGGAGCTGGCAGGGCTCCATGACATCACCTCAGAGGGCCAGTGCCCGGCATGCCCACTGAAAGGGCAGAGACACCGAGTCTTCCTCTCCGCCCTTCCCCATTTCTCTCCTTCTTACAGCACTCAGTGGTCAGGAGGGGACTCCAAAAGGCCTCCTTTCATTAGGAAGCTGGAGGCAAAGCTTCAGTCCACCCCTACTCGCGGGCCCCCCTTCGCCATGATGAGGGTCCATCCGACCCCTCACCCCAATTCCATATGCTCAGGACACACAAAGGCAAATCAGCTCCCAAGCCCACCAGCTCCATGGCCCTCTTGCCCCACATCCAGAGGGACACCTGGTTCCTGGGTCCTCTGCAGTGGAGAGGCTGTGATCAGAGCAGAACCCAGCCCTCCTAGTCTGTTTCTAGGTGCTCTCTCTAGGTGGGGAGCTTCTGGGTCCTCTGGTCTTTCCTGGTCTTGTCCCTCATAGCCCTTCAGACAGAGAAGGCCAGCACTGCACCCCTGGACAGCCATGGCTGTGTGGGCTGGGGATGCTGGGTTCTGTGGGTTAGGGGTGCTGGGCTGTGTGGGTTGGGAGTGCTGGGTTGTGTGGGTTGGGGGTGCTGGGCTGTGTGGGTTAGTGGGGCTGAGCTGGAGAAGCACAGTGGCTACCTCAGAGCTCCTTTCCCATCCCCCATGGCTCTGACAAGGGCAAAGGAGGAGACAGCAAGGATTCCCAGGCCTCATCCTCCTCCCCACCTGGTGGAGGTTGTTGGAGGAGGCACAGGGAGCTGCCACCAGTGCCCTGGCCCCTGGTCAGGATAGGCCTGGGGAGAACCACAATAGAGCCCTCAGTGGGCCTCAGGGCTGCAGCAGATCTACCGTCTGCAGAGAGCCTTCCCATCTTTCTTCTGTTTCATTATCCTGGCAGCTCTTTGAAGTAAGCAAGGAAGGGAGTGTGAACCCCCTGAGGAGAAGGAGACACCTAGGCTCAGCAAGGTGAACTGTGTGGAAGGCTATACTGCGGCCTTGAATGAGTGCTCCAGCCAGGATGTCTTCTGCTCCCTCACATTAATGCATGTGTGCTTACATGGGTGCCTTGGTCTGCTAGGGCTGCCATAGCACAATACCATAGACTCAGGGGCTTATCCAACAGAAATGGACTTTCTTACACTCTGGAGACTGGAAGTCTAGATCAGGGTGCCAGCATGGCTGGGTTCTGGTGAGGGCCCTCTTCCTGGCTTGCAGACACCACCTTCCTGCTATGTGCTCAAATGGCCTTTCCTCAGTGCATGTGCAGGATGAGAGAGAAAGAAAGGCAGCTCTCTGTGCCTCTTCTTATAAGAGCCCTAATCCCATTCTTGCTGAATGCCAGGGGTTTGACGTAGGTCCAGTTGCTCGCTGCACAGAAAGCCAATCACTGACACAAGTGTTGCTCGGGAAGAACACTTTAAGGCAGGTGACATCAGCAGGGAGATGGGAGACTAGTCTCAAATCTGTCTTCCTAACTGACTAAAGTTAGGGGCTTATATAGCGGAGACTTAGGGAGTGGTAAGGAAGAGAAGTTGATCAATAGGCAGCAGGCTGTCAGATGAAGGGTCTGGTGTCCCATTGTAACCACATGCAGGAAAACAGGAATTAGGGAGGGGTAAGGAAGAGGCATTGATCAATGGGCAGCAGGTGTGTCTCATTGGATGTGGTGGTCTAGGAAATTTGTTTGTTTGTTCATTTCTTTTTCTTTTTTTTTCTTTTTTTTTTTTTTTTTTTTGAGACAGGGTCTTGCTCTTTCACCCAAGCTGGAGTACAGTGGTGCAATCATAGATCACTGCAGCCTCAACCTCCCAGGCCCAAGTGATCTTCCCACCCCAGCCTCCTGAGTATCTGGAGGTGCCACCACACCAGGCTAATTTTTTTTTTAAGAGACAAGGTCTTATTATGTTACCCAGGCTGGTCTTGAACTCCTGGTCTAAAGCAATCCTCCTGCCTCAGCCCCTGAAAATGCTGGGATTACAGGTGTGGGCCACCGCACCAGCCTGTTTTATTTTCTTGATAGTGTCTTGCAGGACTAACAGTTTCCTGAGAAAGGAACTCAAATAAAACAAATGTAAGTTTCTCAAGCTTCAGTTTTATGGGGAAATTGGGCTGGTTTCATCATCATGAGTGCCCTACACTCATGACCTCATCTAACCCTAGTCACCTCCCAAAGGCCCCATCTCCAAATGCCATCACATTGTGGGTGAGAGCTTCAACACAGGAATTCATGGGGGCGGGGATTAACATTCAGTCATAACACCAGGTCTGTGTCTTAATCCATTTGCATTGCTATAAAGGAATACCTAAGACTGGGTAACTTATAAGGAAAAGAAATTTCTTTGGTTCATGGTTCTGCAGGCTGTACAAGAAGCATGGCACCAAAGCATCTGCTTCTGGTGAGGGGTTTGGGAAGCTTCCACTCGTGGCAGAAGACAAACAGAGACATATGTGTAGGTCACATGGCAAGAGAGAAAGCAACAGAGAGAGGGGAGGAGGTGCCAGGCTCTTCCCAACAATCCTGTGGGAACTAAGAGTGGAAACTCATTCACTCCCATAAGAACGGTGCTGAAGGTTCCAACCCCACAACACAAACACCTCTCACCAGGCCCCACCTCCAATATTGGGGATTAGATTTCAACATAAGATTTAGAGGGCTCATATAATCAAACCATGGCTGGGTACAGTGGCTCATGCCTGTAATCCCAACACTTTGAGAGGTCAAGGTGGGAGGATCACTTGCGTCCAGGAGTTTGAGAGCAGCCTGAGCAATGTAGCAAGACCCTGTCTCTACAAAATAAAAATAAAACAATTAGCTGGGCATGGTGGTGCATGCCTATAGTTCCAGCTACTCAGGAGGCTGAAGTAGGAGCATTCCCTGAGCCCAGGAGATCGAGGCTGCAGTGAGCCATAATTGCACTACTGCACTCCAGCCCGGTCAACACAGTGAGACCCTACCTCAAAAAATAAACAATACCACCATAGCAGTGTGCATGCACAGATGTTTGTACACATATGGGCATGCATAAGTGTGTAAATAGGCATTGTGCATGCTTTCCTGTGCACAAGAAGTGAGTGTGAGATCCACATGCAAGAGGATCTGTTTCCCTAGCCTGGCCTCTGTGGCTCTGCTCTGTTGCCTCCCCCCTATCTCTTGCCCAGCCTCCCACTTCAATAGACTCCTCCTCGGCTGAGATCTCTTACAAGCTTTGTTTGTGCTGCCAGGAAGCTCTATGGGCGGCTGTGCAGGCTCACCGTGACCAGCTCACTCACCACTCCTATGTGCTGAGCCTCTGCCTTCTGCTCCACCCTTTCTCACTTCCCTCAGCACAAACAGTAGAAAGTCCACCTTGGATCTGCTCCGCATCTCTACCAAGAAAGCAAGTTCCCTTCTCCATCAATAGTCAGCTAGGACCATCCTCCGAGCTCTGATCTCCTGCTAGCCCAGGGTGGGCTTTCCCTCCCTCCTTACAGAGAACAAGGCTCATTCCCCTGCACCTACAGATTGTGTTTCAGGGAAGCTGCGAGTGCCTCTCACCTCCCTCTATTTGAACACAGCCGTAATCCACAGGCCACAGAAGTGAAGAGGCTGGGGCCTCCTTCATTGCTGTCAATTTTCCAGCAGAGCTTATCTGTGTCTTCACACAGTGCTCTCTTGTCAAAGAAGCCAGGGGCGGTGTGTGACAACCAGGTTAAATAAATGCTGCCTCCCTTCCCTGTCCTGTTACTGAGGACAGCCGAGTGTCTCCTTGGCTTCCACAGATGTTGGTGTATTGTCACCTGTCCTTATTTGATTAGTGTCTTAGAGTGCCTGCGGCCATCTCTTCACAAAAAGACAGCAAGAAAGAGGACATGTCTCCGCTGTTTCCTCTTTGCTGCCTGGGCTGCTGGCCCCAGAACGGCGGGGAAGGTGGGACTACAGGGATCAGGGTGGGGGAATGAAGATGCTTTCAAGGGCAGGGAGGCCAGGGGTTTTAAGGACTGCAAGCCAGGGATCGAGGTCCGTGCATTGTTGATTCAGAAACCCTTTCCAGACATCTTCATATCCATCCTCCATCTGCTGTCCTGACCCATGGTGACCTTTCCAAGCTCCTGCAGTACAAGATGAGAGGGGCTTTGTGTTTTCCCTCATTAAGGAGAACACATGCATCCCAGTGAGTCCTAGTGGTGAACGCTGGTGCTACTGCAATGACGTCCTGGATTCTGTTCCTCTGTGGCCCATGAACACAGATGGAACACACCAGGACTAAGAGCCACCAGATAGAGGACCCGGAAGGGAGTGTGGCCCTTTCCACGTGAGCCCCCTCTCCATGGCTGAAAGAAGAGCTCAGAACTCACTGCCTTCTCACATGGGGTCACTGGCTCCATCCTCATGTCTTATTTAATTTTCTCAGGAGTTCTGTGAGATAGTTGGTAATATTTTCATTTTCCAGATAAGAAGCTAAGGCTCAGGAGGCCAAATGACTTCCTTAAGGTAACATAATCAGCAAGTGGTAGAGCCAAGACTCAAAATTGGATCTTCTGACAACTCCATAATTCAGGCTAATCCTGACATTAGCCAGAAGGGCTGGCCAACACCAGGTTGTGCACAGCCTAATTTGCAAGGTCCATTAAGGACAAAACAGGTCAGGTGCAGTGGCTCACACCTGTAATCTCAGCACTTTGGGAGGCCAAGGCGGGAGGATTGCTTGAAACCAAGAGTTCAAGACCAGCATGAGCAATGTAGTGAGACCCCATCTCTGAAAAAAAAAATTAACCAGGTGCAATGGTGTGCTCCTGTAGTCCCAGCTATGCAGGAGGCTGAGGTGAGAGGATTGCTTGGGCCCAGGAGTCCAAGGCTGCAATGAGCTATGATCACACCATTGCACTCCAGGTTGACTGACAGAGCAAGACTATCCACCAGGATATGGTTTGAATTTGTGTCCCTGCCCAAATCTCATGTCAAATTATAATCCCCAATGTTGAAAGAGGAGCCTGTGGGAGGGGATTGGATCACGGAGGTGGATTTCCCCCTTGCTATTCTTGTAATAGTGAGTTTCCATGAGATCTGATTGTTTGAAAATGTGTGGCACCTCCCCCTCTTCTCTCTTCTCCTGCTCTGGCCATGTAAGACATGCCTGCTTCCACTTCCACCATGACTGAAAGTTTCCAGAGGCTTCCCCAGCCATGCTTCCTGTACAGCCTGCAGAACCGTGAGCCAATTAAACCTTTTTTTAAAAAAAAAATTACTCAGTCTCTAGTCGTTCTTTATGGCAGTGTGAGGAACAGACTAATACAAAGACTCTGTCTCTAAAATAAGAAAAAAAAATTAAAGAACAAAACTGGGAATGAGAAGATCTATGTAGCCCTCTCCAACAGGTGTTTTCTGGTACACGCGTTTTCATTGTTGGGTAGTCATGAACTTGGCTGGCTAATATTAGACATAAGTCCCTAGTGAACAATAGCTATAGCACACACATTCTCACGTACACTCACCAAAGTCTGACACACGCACCCCTATGCCTAGGCATGCATGCATCACCTTCTCATCCCCGACCACCTGCATCCCCTGGGAATCCATTTACATCTACTCAACAGAGCGGGGAGAAGAAGGAGATAAACCTGTATCAACACTGTATTTCTATTCCTCTCTCTCCTTGTGAAAACAAAAGAGGAACAGGGCAAAGCCTCATCCAATGTTTATTGGGAATCATCTCGACCTGATCCCGGGAAAATAGGTCCTTTTCAAATCCATGGTTCAGACGCAGCCTTTCCCATGACTGGGAGTGGGGACAACAGGCTGCTCGCCGGGCTCCGTGGCTGGCAGAGGAACTTGGTGGTAAGGCTTAATTATGATTCACAGAGCTGCATTCTGGAGAGGGTTTAGAGCCACTTAATTAGTGTAGGAATATACAGTCGTAATTATCCTGAAATATGGCCTAATTAACCTATGGAAAAGCCAGGACCACTGCTCGGGGATGCCAGAGACATTAGCAGCCTATTAATATACCCAGTCTGGGCCAGGCGCGGTGGCTCACGCCTGTCATCCCAACACTTTCGGAGGTCGAAGTGGGCAGATCACGAGGTCAGGATTTCGAGACCAGCGTGGCCAACATAGCGAAACCCCGTCTCTACCAAAAATACAAAAATTAGCAGGGTGTGGTGGTGTGCGCCTGTAGTCCCAGCTACTCAGGAGGCTGAGGCAGGAGAATTGTTTGAACCCGGGAGGCAGAGGTTGCAGTGAGCCAAGACCATGCCATTGCACTCCAGCCTGGGTGACAGAACAAGACTCTGTCTAAAAAAGAAAAAAAAAAAAAATATATATATATATATAGCTATGCAGTCTGCTATCTGGCACAGCCTTTGGGGGACTCAGGACTGGGGCAGACAGAGGAGAAAGGGTTTGTCTGGGAAGATGAAATGTTTAAGAGGAAAGTGTGACGTGGGCAGGGAAAGGAGAGGGGAGTGATATTTATTGAGGACTCATAAGGGCCAAGCAATGTTTTAGTCCATCTCTTACTTAATCTTCAAAACAGTCCTTTAAGATTGATATTAAAGTTCAGGGAGGTTCATTAACTAACCCAAGGTTACACGGCCAGGAAACATTCACACTGGAATTCCCCTCTAGGCTGTGGCTGCAAAGGCCATGCTTTTTTCTCTCTTCCACACTGCCTTGGGCAGGCACAACAGGCGAGGGAAATGGACTAAACAGAGGAGAGCCCCTTTCAACCCTAAGGAGGAGGCTCTTCTGCCGTTTTAGAAAAGTGGAGTCATTCAAGCGGTTCAAGCTGTCAGTTGTGTTGTGCAGGCTGGACATTGCACAAACCCTAGGAGTCCCATTCACACAAGCTACAGGGAGAATAATGTCCCCTAGAGGGCACAGTGTATGGCCTGCACGGCCATTCACAGCAGCCCTGGGAGACTGCCCTACATGACCCTTTAACTTTCCTTCCTACCCAAGAGACCACTTCCAACTCTGGCTCTGAGCCCAGATATTGGCCCAAAGCTAGAGAAGCTACCTCTGGGATAATCCTTCATGAAGCAGAATTTGGACCCAGTCCTCTCCTGGGGAGACTCCAGCACCCAGGGACACTCAGACGCCAGGACACAAGTTCAAAGCCCTCCAGGGGGAGCCCGAGAGCCGGGCGTGCGCCGCAGAGCCTGTCTGGCCAGCAGGTTGAGGAATATTCCAACAACGTCCTCATTCTTCCCTGATCAAAGGAGCCAGGATTGAACCTGCTGTAATCATCCGTCGGGGAGTTTGCTTAAAATTCCCCTAATTATGGGAGAGCAGAAAATTGCTACGCCTCAGACTGAATAGAGAAATCGAAGGCGCCCTGCTCCCAGCTGCCTGGGGGGGGAGACACGCCAGCATGGGAACAGAAGGCGGTGGGGGGAGGCGAGGGGCAACTGAGGATGGGCGGTGGGAGAAGAACGGTGTGCTGGTCCATGCCAGGGAGCGGGAGAGGAAGGGAAGGAGCCAGCTGCACTGGGGCTGTGGTGACTGGCTCAGGTGAGGCACACTGCCTCCCCTCCAGACAGAAGGGTGCAGGGGTGAGGAGAGCAGGCCTGTGGGGAAGAAACAGCCAGCAATGCCCCCTCCCATGGCTGGAGCTGGCTTTCTGGAGAGGCTGGGGACCCCCAACTCTGGCTTAGTTTGGACTGCGGGCTCTGGAGCATCCTCCCTGCCAGGGGTGGGGAAGGGAAAGGGCTGGAGGAAAGGTCAGGGAACAGGCCGGCAGGGCAGGGCTCATCCAGGCACCCTGCTGTGGGCTCAGCCCTGTTCCAGGCACACTGAGCGGTCTAGAAGAAGGAGAAGAGGACCAGATCTCTGCCCTCAGAGGGTCTCCTTCTGAAAGGGGAGACCGGGTGAGCATCTTAACCTAAAGTAAGATTCAAAGGCACCGTACACACCAGTGCCTGGCCCTCACAGTTTCCTGAGCTGTAGGAAGCGGATGGGAGTGCACTGAACTGCATGGATCAGAAGGGGAGGCTTGCTGGGCAGGCAAGTGCCAAGCAGAAGGAAGGGGCAAAGGAGGAAGGGACCGGAGAAGGGAGGGAGAATTCGAAGGAGCCATGCAAAATAGAAGGAGATTATGGCGGCCACGTTTTGGATAAGGGGGCCAAGGCCCAGGGAGGTGGGGTTACTTGCCCAAACTCACACAGCCCATCAGTGGCTGAACTGGGGCTCAAACTCAGGTCTCAGACTCCTAGTCTGGTGCATTACACAGCCATGGAGGCAGGGGGTGGGAGTGGGGGTCTGGCCAGAAGGTGGGATGCTGGAAAGAGTGTGGGGACTTGGGCTTAAAGATCCTGCTGCATCAGCAGTCCGTTTACTGACAAGTTGACATTGATTCTACAGGAGAAGCAGTGCTCTAAAGGGTCTCTCCTTTGCTAGACCTGCCCCATTCATGAGCTCTCCGGGGTCCCCACCCCAACAGCTCCCCTACCAGGGAGAGATATACCTGGTGTCCCTCCATTCTCTCACCTGTTTCCAAGGGCCTTCTCAGTTCCTCCTGCAAGTCCCCAGCAAGTGCCTAGCTTTGGTCCTCTTGGGGCCCCAACTACACTATGTTTTTATCACTTACAGTGTGGCGAGGGGTTGAGATCCTGGGGTTGCAAGTTACAGACACCCACTCAAACTAGCATTTCAGCCCAAAGAGGCAATTTACTGAAAGAACTTAGGAGTGTCTTGTAGAAGCTAAAGGCAGGAGTGTGGTGGAGCCTCAGCAAGGAAGGATTGAGGACAGCAAAGCCACCAGGCCCTGGGAATTCCAGGTCACCATCTCTCCTGCACACCTGCTTCATTTTTTTCTGTGGGCAGACCTCATGACCCAAGGTGACCACCCACAGCTCCCAAATGTATGTGGAATAGACAGAGAACTCTCTGAAGAGACTGTCCCTGCGCCCTGACTCCAGTGCCCCAAAGACTGAATTCTCATGGGTCCAGCTTGGCTCAGGTGCTTTTTCTAATCCAGCCAGCATCAATTCAGGGGGTTGGGTCACATTGAACAAATGGCTTCGATGTGCTCACTGCTGTGTGTGAGCAGGATGGATCAGGGTTCGTGGATAGTTGGAGAGTTAACTCCAACAATTGTCCATCAAGGTAGTGAAAACAGGGCTGGGCTGTGGGTGTGCAATGGACAAGGCCTTGGGCCTGGACACGGGGGTGTTACCTGTTGCAGCAGGTGTTCTCCAGATGGTTGAGGCCTTCGCGTGCACCTGAAAGGTGAGTTATTCAGTGTGTCAGATGCTGCAGCTCCAGTGGCCAGCTGTGGTGAGGCAAATCCTCACGTGGAAAACTAGAAATGAAAGGTGGGGGCTTCAGCCTGGCCCCCAGACCTGCAGGTGCCAAGATCCTGATGGGCAGCACCAGGCGAGTCCGGGAAGGTGGGAGCATTGGCACAGGGCCCGCTGGGAAGGCAGACCAGCCCCCAGGGCTCCAGGGTGGTTGTCTGAGGCTGGGAAACCGGTACTTTAAAAACTTGACTATTTTCATGCTGTTTGTATTTGCTGTAATTACTTCCCTTTTGTTCCCCCTTAGTATTTATGGAAGTTCTTTGTGAGAATGCCAGCAGATCCCAGCAGTACTGAGAGAAACCAGCAACGGGGTCTCTATCTCCTCCTGGGCTCATGGTAAGAAAGACAAATCTCCCACAAGCCTGGGAGTGGAGGTGGCCGGAACATGGCTGGACATGGAGGTACTGGAGTTGGGGGGGACCAGGATTGCAGCCAGCAGGGCTCCTGCTCCCCTGGAGGGCCTCTCTTTGAGCTCTCTTTTGAACCTGGGGTGTCTCTGGGCTCCCTGGGAACAAGTCTGTTGTCCTGGACTCGACTGGGCTGGCTGCTAGAACTGCCCACATACTTTCGGCCTCATCCTGGGGGTGGGGGGCAGGCAGCCTAAGCAAGCCACTCTCAGGCCAGGGCTGGGTGTGGACTCCTGAGGAAGCTGCTCCCTGTGATCCTGGGTGCCCCTGGGTGCTGAGGCTGGGAGGAGGGGCAGCAGTGTAACCGTAAGAGGTTTGTTGCCCATTGTGCATGACAAGTCAATATGCTGAAACACCAGGTTACATCAGAGAAAGGGTTTAATTGTAGGGCCACCAAACAAGGAGACAGAAGGAAACCTCAAATCCGTCTCCCCAAGGAGTCTGGGGCTAGGGTTTTGAATGGTTTTGGAGGGGGCCAGAGTGTGGAGATTGTCGATTGATTCGAGTACAGGGTGAAGTTATGGGACAGGGAGATGAAGAAACTGTGTTCTCACCCGGACTCGGTTCCTCTTTAGGGGTCTTCAAAATGATTGGTGTCAGGTGTTTCACTGGAATTCAGGATCTGCTTAAGTAATTCTTAAACAAAAGTCTTATGACTCTAACACCAGATATCTTATCTATAGGAACAACTGGGATGCAAATGGCCAGTGTCAAGTTCTACGTGACTGTCGGTTACAAAGGAGTGGGTCAAGTGCAGCCTGATTAATGCTTATCACCATATTTCTGTCCAGAATTCTTGTTCACCCTGTGAGAACGGCTTCAGCAGTGGCTTGACTGGATTAGCAGAGGTTCTGCCCAGGGTAGGGGGCCCTGCACTGGGACCCAGAGAATGGGAACGCAGACCCCTGGGATAAGTTCTCCCTTGATCCTGGTCTCTGCTGGGTTCCAAGTCTTCCTTCAAGTTCCCCTTCCCCAGCTCTGGCTTTTTGCTGGGCCCCACCTTAAAAACTCAACAAGGGCATCAGAGCCAAGTCAGGCGGGGGGACTGCAGTTCTTCACTGGGTTTGGGGCCAGCTCAGCAGGAGATGGGGACGCCTTGGTGTTAGAGAGAAGTGGTACCTCTGTGATTTCAAGGAGAAGATAGGGTGGAGGTTCATAGTGGCAGAAAGAGCCAGGGATAGAGTCATGAAGTCTTCTGCCCTCTGATATTAAATTATTTGTAAGCAAATTGTCACCAATGCATCCCCAGAAGGTCCTGGCACTGCTCCGTGCCGTGGCCTTTCCTGGCCAGATGGCATTGCCTGGGTGGCTGAGCAGCTCCGAGGAGGAGCGAGGTGTCTGCAGACAGAGAACCAGCAATGACATGGGACATTAGGTGCTGATGGCTTTGCTGAGCAAGAGAATTGCAATTAAGGACATGATGAGTCCCTCTGGGGGCTGTCAGACAAGGGTCCAGAGCAGGGGTCAGGAAGCTGGGGCTTAGAAACAGCAGCTGGAGGAAGGGGTGATGAGAGGGGAACCAGGACAAGGTGTGGGGGTGCAGCCACCGTCCTCTCAGCAAGTCTGCCAACAACAACAACGAGGTGACATAATCATAACAGCACCTGCCCTTACGCACTGCTTAACATGCCCACACTGAGAGGTAGGCAGTTTCATTGTCTCCATTTTACAGATAAGGACACTGCAGATTGGAGGTTAAGAAACTTACCTCAAGCACTTAGATAGTGGAGATGCAATTCTGGCCCAGCGCCACGTGGCACCAAAGTTAGGCCTCACAGCCACCCCACTGTGGTGCCCTTTTCCCAGATTTTCCCCAGGCTGGCTCAGTTGATGCCCAGAGCTACAGGCCAGCACTGCCCCAGCTTGGATCTTGAGGTTTCAGGTGGAAAGTCCTAGGAGGTTGAGCGCTCACCCAGACTTTCTGTCTGCCACCCCGTGGACACCACCTCTCCACCCTGCTGTGGGGAAGGGAGAGGAGGGACATCTGCCTGGATGACAGGCAGAAGCCACTCCAGGGAAGATGGCAGACCCAGGGAGGTGGGAAGGGAGGAGGGGTGCATGCGTCACCTCAGAGCTGGTGTCTGAGCTCCCCATTTGCTCAAACCTCCCACCACAGGGAACCCCCACTCCCGATCCTCCCTCCTTGGGCTTTGTCCAGTGACATCATTGTCAATAACAAGCTCATCCTTATCTAGAACAAGCATACCTGAAGGATGGGCACCTCCGCCACCCACTGCTCAGCCTCCCTCCAGCCCTGCTCATTTGCACATGCCCACCACACCCCGAGGCACCCTGAAGGTCAGCTGATATGTGGAAAGCCGTCGATGAACAACTCTGCCCTTTTTAGGAGCTGTTCATATTTTGCATTCAAAATATGAGAGAAGGAAGAGAAGGGAGAGAAGGAAAGGGGTGAGATGAAATGCGAGGGGGATGAGAAATGAGAGGCTCAGGTGCTCGGGACCAGGCTTCACGGCAGTGCCGGTAGGCAGATGACAAATGTGCTGAGAGAAGGGGAAATAAGAGGTGAGGGAGTTCAGGATGACGCCCAGTTTTGCCCAGAATACCCGTCCCTTCATTCCCAGCAGCCCAAATCTTATCCATCCTTCAAAACCCAGCACAGATGCCACCTCTTCCATGAAGCCTTCTCTGACCTCCACATGAGGCTTTCTTTCTCCCTAAGTACCTGTCCACACTGATCTCATGAACCTTGTCACTTTCTTCCTTGCATTGAGCAAACCTGGCTAGACTCGGAGCTCCATGGGGCAGAGGCCGGGTCTTGCTCATCATCCCCTTACAAGAGCCCCACGACTAAGTGTGGGATACAGTGGGACTGATGGAGAGGAGAGGCTCATGATGATGCTGGACGGGAGGTGGAGTGCACTCAGATCAGAGGACATGGGAGGGGCTCAGGAAACATCAGCTGAAAGGTGACTGAGGAGAGCCACTGCTTGCAACCTGAAATCTAGATTGTATTTGAGGACCAAATAGAAAAGAAGCCTGTTTCCACAGAGTCCGGCGGAGCTGGGAAAGTGAATGCAGTCAACTCATGCCATCTCAAGGTGGGGGGAGGGGCAAGCACAGGCTGCAGGGAGAATAAGCTTTTTGGAAAAACATGCCTCTCACACCCCATGTGGGGTTTTTTGTTGTTGTTATTGTTGTTTTGAAACAACAGTGAGTGACTCTGTCACCTAGGCTGTAGTGCAAGTGGCACAATCATGGCTCACTGCAGCCTCAACCTCCCAGGCTCAGGTGATTCTCCCACCTCAGCCTCCCAAATAGCTGGGACTACAGACATATGCCACCACGCTCAGCTAATTTTATTTCTCTTTTTTTTTTTTTTTTTTTTTTTTTGTAGAGACGGGGTTTTGCCCTGTTGCCCAGGCTGGTCTTGAATTCCTGGGCTCAATCGATCTGCCTACCTCGGCCTCCCAAAGTGCTGGGACTACAGGCGTGAGCCACTGAGTCGCTCTCCCCCACCCCTGACCCATATGGTTTTGATAGGAGCAACAGCAGAAATAAAATCATTTATTTGTTCAACAGTATTTTTATTTCAGATATTCTATTTTCATCTTTATAAATTACATTTGTTTTTCTTAAATCTTCCATCTCTCTTCTCATCATGTTCATGTTTTCCTCTGCATTTCTGAGCATATGGAACATAATCTATAATCACTGCTTTAGTATCCTTTCTGCTAATTTCATCATTTTTCTGTTTCTGTTGATTTTTGGGTCTGTTTCTGTTGATTGATTTTTCTTCTGGTTATAAGCCGTATTTTCCTGCTTCTTTGCATGACTTAATTTTTTTATTAGATGATGGATATTGTGAATTTTACATTGCTGAGTTCTGGATCTTATTCTATTCTTTTAAAGAGTGTTGGACTTTGTTCTGGCTCAGTTATTTGGAATTGCTTTGATCCTTTTAATGCTTGTTTTTAAGCTCTGTTAGACTGAGTTCAGGACAGGCGTCAGGGCTACAGTAGCATCTTCAGGAGGCCTCTATCCAATGCACCAGGTACTGCAAGCACTCTCCACTCACTGGTGGGAATCTGAGCCACAGCCGCATGTAAGCTCCAGGAATTAATTGTTCAGCCTACTGCTTTCTGTCAGCTCAGTGTTCAGCCAAAGTTTTGAGGACCTTTCTACAGGCTTCCCGAACTCTGCCTGCAGCTCCCTTCTCCCCAGGATTCTTCCTCACAGATTCTAGCCTCCTCCAACCCAATCTCCGTCTCACCAACTCAACCACCTGGCTCTGCCAACTTTCTCCAGGCAGTAAGCTGCTGTACTGTGTTGGGGTGGGGTCACCTAACTTGTTTCCCTTCTCTTGGGGCCTACCACCCTATGCCACCTGATGCCCACTGTCTGGAAACAGTCATTTCTTATATTTCTTTCTTTCTTTTATTTTTATTTTTATTTTTTCTTTTTTGAGACAGAGTCTTGCTCTGTCACCTAGGCTGAAGTGCAGTGGCACGATCTCGGCTCACTGCAACCTCCACCTCCCAGGTTCAAGCAGTTCTCCTGTCTCAGCCTCCCGAGTAGCTGGGACTACAGGCACGTGCCACCACGCCCAGCTAAGTTTTGTACTTTCAGTAGAGACAGGGTTTCACCATTGATCAGGCTGGTCTCAAACTCCTGACCTCAGGCGATCCACCCGCCTCGGCCTCCCGAAGTGCTGGGATTATAAGCGTGAGCCATCACACCAAGCCCTATATTTCATCCAGTGTTCAGTTGTTTGCATTAGATGAATAGTTTCTTTGTCCTTTTTTTTTTTTTTTTTGAGCCAGAATCTCACTCTTGTCACCCAGGCTGGAGTACAATGGCTCAATCTCAGCTCACTGCAACGCCTCCCGGGTTCATGCCATCCTCCTGCCTCAGCCTCCCAGGTAGCTGAAATTACAGGCGAGCACTACCACACCTGGCTAATTTTTGTATTTTTAGTAGAGACAGGGTTTCACCATGTTGGCTGGGCTGATCTCGAACTCCTGACCTCAGGTGATCGCTCGCCGTGGCCTCCCAAAGTGCTGGGTAGATGGGCAATTTCTACAGCGGTTAACCCTTCATGGTCAGAAGGGGATGCCTCCTGTGGAATAAATATTGATTGTGGAAATCTCCCACAGGATTTCCACATGTACCAGGCTCTGCTGTAGGTGCTGAGGATGCAGCACAGAACTCAATGGACAGAATCTCTGCTCTCAGAAACCCAATATTCCAGTGGGTGGGGGCAGGCAGTATACAATACCAACAAACAAAATAAATAACTGTGTAGCATGGTAGAAGGCAAAAAGTGCTATGGGGGCAAAATAGAGCAGGGTGAGAGAGAGCCAGGGAACAGGATGACAATTTTAAATCAGGTGCTCAGAGAAGACCTCACTGAGAAGGCACATCTAGGCAAGTGCTCGGGAGGGAGGAAGGGAGCGCCGTGCAAAGGCCCTGAGGTGGCAGCAGTCCTGGCTTGCTCAAGGAGCCCAGTGTGGCTGCAGGGGTGTGCAAGAGAAAAAGGCGAGACAGGGAGACAAATGGAGAGGCCAGCTGCAAAGAGCCTTCTAGGCCACGGAGAATGTGGGCTGTGACTCTGAGATGGGAACAGAGACAGGACATGCTCTGCCCTGGTAAAAGCCTCACTCTGGCCACTGTGTGAATAGACAGGCGAGGGTCAGGAGGTAAGCAGATGGCTTCTGTTGCAACCAAACGAGAGAAGATGTGGGCTTGGGCCCAGCTGGAGCCACAGAGGTGGTGGGAGCGGTGGGGTTCTGACTATTATGTTGAAGGGCTGAAGGAGCAAGGAGGCAAGGGTGACTCCTAAGTTGTTTGCCCTGTTAAATACAATTTATAGGAGGCCAATGGCTTGGTCTAAGCTCCTGCACTGGGCCCAACAGACCAAACCAAAGTGGAGTCATTCATGCCGAAGTTCCACGCCACCAAGCCAGAACTAAGATCTTTATCTGAACTTGGGAGGGATCAGGAGAGAGAGATAATAGCCAAGTCTCCAAACTGGCCAATTTTCATTGGCAAGAAAGGAAGTCCCCTCTGCTTTAACCTTTACAAGAAAAAGGAACTTTGAAATGACAAGTTCACTTTTCGTTCCCTGTTTCTGCTCAGCCTTTTCCTGTCCATAAAACCCACCTCCTCTGGTTAGCTCTTCGGAACACTCACTCTGTTTTATAAAACAAGGTGTCACCTGATTCTAGAACCACAAATAAAAGCCATTTAAGATCTTTAGACTTTTGACAGCCCTGAGGAGCTGCAAGGATGGAGTTGCCACTGGCTTGGTATAGAGAAGGTTGCAGCCAGACAGGCTTGTGAGTGGGTCAGCGTGGCTGTGGACATGCTAGGTTTGAGATGCCTACTGGACCTCCCAGTGGACATATCCCATAAGCAGCTGGACACACAAGTTAGGAATTCAGTGGGGAGATCCCAGACAGTGTGGAGGGAAGGCAGCTGGGGAAGGAGCCTACTGGTGAAGGTCTTGCCTAGTGATGCTCAAACATCACCAGAGAGCTCCTTGCGTTTCCCACTCCCTGGAACAGACTTCAGTCTCCATGAAGTGGCAGGAGCTGGAAAACTGACCCGCCCCCTTCAGAGGCTGGACCATTCCTCCTCTAATTCCAAGAAAGTGGATCCAAGCTACTGAAGGCTGCTGGCCTGGCCTTGTTTTAAATGGACTGCATTCCTACCCAAGAACCACACTCCAGGACCTCCAAGAAGCTGCGCAGGTGGCTGTCCCCCAGGGGCCCATATTCTGCTCTTCACAGAAGTTTCTGGTTCCCATTCATGACTCTGGACAAGATTTGTCCCCTTAGCCCACGGGATGTCTCACGTGGACACCTTGCATTTGACAGGGAGTCTCCCCTAACTCTGCCTTGCCCCTGCTGGCCGGGACATTTGTTGGCTGTTTCCCAAGCAATCTTGGCACATTTCTGATTTCAGCTCCTCTGTACTATGCCTCACCACTGGTGTATGGCTTGGGTGAATATTTCTCCCATGCCCTATAGAGAGAAGGTCCAATAGCCCTGGGATCTGGAAGTCCTTCAAGATATCTAACCTCCATCCCTGCTGCTTTTCCCCTTCGTCCTTTCATTCTCAGCCCTCCAGCTGGAACCCTCACCCTTTTGCTTTCTCCTCGCCCATGGCTTCTGTCCGCCTCTGTTTCTTGCCCCTTCCCTTTGTCCTTCGGTGTCTTTCATGCCTCTCCGCCCCTCTGCATGCCCTCTCCTCCGCTCCCTCACCTCACTCAATCATTCATCTAGACCATGAGTTGAGGGGAGTGGAGGTGGAGCTCCTGCTGACTCTGGTAAAGGTCCTCTTTCTTCTCTCTTCACCCTGGGGAGGCCCGAAATTACCTTGATGGCTCCAGAGTCTGCCCCGCTCCAGGATGCCCCCTTGTCCTCAGGCACCGCCACCTCCTCCCCACCCTGGTCTGCAGCTGTGCCCTGCTGTCCCCACGCTGTCCTGGCCTGGCAGGAGGTAGAGCTGGTCCCTCAGGAGGCTAGCGCCTACACCTCCACAGCGACCACATCTCCTGCTCCCCGGCCCTTACACACACACACACACACACACACACACGCTCACGCATGCTGCTCCTTAAGTGATGGTAAGGGCAGTGGCCAGGTGATCCATCGCTCCCTCTTCTTCTCTTGCTGTGGTAAAATATGGACAGCGGGAACCTCGGGAGAAATGAGGCATGAAAATTAATCTGCTTTACAATCCTCATGAATATTTAAAAGCTCATGAATATGTAACTACATTTCTTTTCTCCTCCATTAGTGTCTGCTTTTGAGTTACTCTATAGCTCCCTCTGGTTCCTTTGGGGGCTGGTTGGCTAGACTGATTTTTAAATTGGGTTTACAGGTGCCTATAGCTCCTGGGTTCCCTCCACCCCCAATCCTGGGAAGAGAATTTGTCCCTTTAAAATTCCCCAGGAAAGCCTGGCAGAGGGAGACAGAAGCAACCCTGTCCTACCTCACACTGTGGGGACCCAGATGGGTTAGTGAAGGTGCTTTGGAGTGTCACTCACAGAGAACACCCTTTTAAGGATAAACCACCTTTTTCCGCCATGGACCTTGGTTCCCCTTTATGACAATAGCAGGCCCTTCCTGCTCAGCCATCATGAGTACCTCAGGGCCTTAGTCCAGGGTGGGCTTGAAAGGCCAAGAAATTAGGTAGCAAAATGTTACTTTCTTCCTACTTAGAAGAACCGAGTATTGGCCGGTTGTGGTAGCTCACGCCTGTAATCCCAGCGCTCTGGGAGGCCAAGGCGGGCAGATCACTTGAGGTCAGAAGTTCAAGACCAGCCTGACCAACATGATTCAACCTCATCTCTACTAAAAATACAAAAATTAGCCAGGAGTGGTGGCGCATGCCTATAATCCCAGCTACTCGGGAGGCTGAGGCAGGAGAACCGCTTGAATCCAGGAGGCAGAGGTGGCAGTGAGCTGAGATCACGCCCTTGCACTCCAGCCCGGGCAACAGAGTGAGACTCCACTTCACAAAAAAAAAAAAGAACTCAGTATTAAGATAATGGTATGGTACTCTACAGCCATCTCCTGGCCCCTGGAACCAGCCACTACATCTAGAACAACCCTCGGAACACCTCCCACCTCTGGGCACCTCCCTGGCCCATCCACTCCTCTTTGGCTACTCCAGGAGCCAGCCTCACCCACTCCAACCATCTGGAGCAGGGGAAGGAAGGCTCTTACCCACCTACCCACAGCCATCAATCACCACAGAGCAGAGCAGAAGGAGCAGCAGGGCATCTTCCCAGAGCAGCAAGATTTTTCCTGGAGCCTGAGGCAGAATCCAGCATTGACCTGGCATCCTGTCGAGGGAAGGCTGGAGCCTGGCTCGGTGGGGGAAGGCGCCATGGGTCGGGGCAATGGGCTGTGGGAGCCATCCATCCCCACCTTCCAAAACCCAGCCTAATCTGGTGGCAGAGTGCACTAGAGGTCCCAAAGCCCGGCAGCCAGCCAGAGAAGTCCAGGTTGCATGGTGGCCTAGAATTCCAAGTCAGATGGAACGCTGCTGACCAAAGTGCTCGCCCCATGCCTGTCTTCAGTCCCTCCTTCCCATCCTCATGTCACACCGTTTTGATCTTATTTCTTCCCTTGTAATGACCCTCAGGGGCTCCTTAATTTCTAGCATATCAAATTCATACCTGACCTTCTATTTCAACTGCCAGCCATCCCAGGCCCCTCATCCACTCCTGGGTTTACCCAAACTGAAACACTCACCATCCTAGACCACTCATCCCTTTGCCCCAGGCCCTCTGTTTCTCATCTGATGATGGCTGTCCTTTTTTTTTCCTCCAGACTCCACTCAAAACTGCCTCCATCGGGAAGCTTCCCTGGCTCGCCCAGGCCCACTGAATGTGCCTGTCATCTCTTCTGGGCTCTCAGTGCTTCCTGGGCAGAATCTGTGGGGTTCATTGGGCACCATCTTCACGTGTGCACAGTGTGGAAAGGGCTGGTTGTCATGCAGTGTCTTTTACACCAGACCCAGCACGCAGATGGCAATCAGTGTCAGCAGCCCCCTCCTAGGACATTGTCGTGTCTGTGTGGAAACACGTGCTGGTCCACACCTGTGGAGCCGCCTCACTCTGCCTTGCAGGAATGGCCTGTCCTGCTGCCAGAAGCTTCCCAATGCAGGGTTCCAAGTCCCTTCTCCCTCCAGACCTCTCCTCTCAGCTCCTGCCGGGAGACCTCACACACAGGGCCTGTGGTGTGCCATGCGGGCTCGGCTGTGTCGGGGGATTGGCCAACCTGGACCTAGGGAAGGAGCCCAACCAATGGGTCAAGAAATCCAGCTCTGTCCGGCGACCTTGGTCAAGCCGCCAAATGTTCTCAGGTCTTGGTTTCTTCATCATTCAAATGGGAGAAAAGATCTGCCCTTTCATGAAAGGGTTATGGGAAGAATCAAACATGAAAATGCTCTGAAAAGTACAGAACACTATGTAAATATTAGGTATCTCTGCTACTATAATAATTGTTGAAACAAGGTATTAATATAAGTGTGTAACATCCCCCAGCTCTTCTACACATCCCTGTTTGGGGAGTCCTCTGACCTAGCCCCCCTTTTCCTTCCTCTGGCCTGGGGAGGGGCAGGTGCACCCCCTGGATGAGAGCCCTTGAGGATCAGCAGCCCGTTATCCATGCCGGGTCCCCATGCAGCACCATCGCCTCCAGCCCCTGGCCTCTCCACTCAGCTCCCTAGCTGCTTCAGCAGCAGGAACAAGAGTGTGCCTTGTCAGACAAGCCCCACGTCTCCGTAGAACACACTCTCGGCATAATTACTTATTGGAGAGGTGCACAGGCCCCGCCTTTATCACAGAGCTGCTGCCACCACTGTATTGTCGCTGCTGCAGCAGCTGAAGGCTGCACGTCCCCAAACCAAGGAAGCAGGAGCAGTTCTCTAGGTAAGTAGGGCCAGGTAGGGCCATGCTTTGGAGGGGACCTTGTGGGCCTGGCTGTGAATAATTGGAAGGGAGGAGAGTCCACAGCCCAAATAAACGCCAAGCTTGGCTTCTCTCCTTCCTGGCATCACCCACCATGAGCCCCCACCTGCCCATCTCTAGGGAGGTCCCCCTTCACCCTCCCCAGGCCCCCTTTCCCCTATCTCTGTCTCTGCCCTGGCACCTGGGTAGGCCCCTTATTAGCCTCCTCTACCTTCTCTCCCCCCAGGAGCTGGGGTGTGGCCTGTATCTCAGGCATGGTACCAGCAGCAATCCAGGCAGGAGATAGTGCTTGAAGATGCAGACAGGTAGTTAGGGTGGGTCCCATTCCCCAGAGCCAGGTGCAGGGAGCTGCCACCTCCCACACACCACCCCCTCCACCCACATGCCTGCCCAGGGAAGCCACTTCCAAACAGCCCTTGGGAATGGCGCATTTTCTCACCTCCCCCACATCTCAGCAGGCTGCTGAGACAATTGACCTCATACCACAAACATCAGCTCTCCCAGCTCCAGAGAGTTTCCCACAAGGTCCCACCCCTGAGTCCAGCAGAGGCCCAAGCCCATGGGTCCAGAAGAGGTCTGTATCCTCTACCTACCTATTTCTAGACAGTGACTATTTCTAGAAAAGATGGGAAACTGGGCCCTGGGGTCCTTGACTCCCCCACCTCATTCCTGGGGTCCCTGGGGTACAGTCCTCTAGCTGGGCCATTGGTGGCACCAGGGCAGCCTGAGACTCTGGGCTATTGGTCCTTCCAGGGGTCTCACCCTTGTGGGCAGCAGAGGCTCTGAAGAAGGCAGATCCTGCTTTCCCTCTCACTATGGAATAACCGAGCCCCTTCCTCCACATGCACCCTCTCCACTCCACCCTCTGCCAGGCTTCGCCCCAGACCAGGGCTGGCAGTGGTCATGCTGTCCTCCTGAGCCAGGGTGGGTTCTTTCGATCAGTCCTAAGCCTGTTCTGGGACACCAGTCCCTGCCCTCAGGACATCCTGCCCGGTGCCATCTCAGGGATCCTAGGTGATTCTGCCCAAAATCTAACTTCAGATTGAGACACATCTGTCCTGGCTTCGAGGACATCCACACCAAGGCTGGGGTCCCTGCCCTGAGCCCTGAACCCTGAGCTGTATCCCAGCCCTCCCCCACCATAGCTCAGCACCTGAGGGAGTGACAGCTGGAGTGGCCAGGATGCATTGAGACAAATGGGCCTGTGATTAGCTGGCCATCAATACCCCTTAAAGGCCCATTCTCTCCAAACCTGGCAGGTCCCTCTCAATTCTACCCCCAGCCCCACCCCGCCCTCCTGAGCCAGGCAGAGGTCCAGTCCCAGCAACTCTAGACTCCTCTTCCCCTCCCTCACTCTCTGCCCTGGCCATATCCACCAGATGGATTATGTCTTATTTCTCTTGGATTTGGCTGCAGGAACCAAACAGCATTTAAGGCCATTGATTGTTCAAAAGGCCAAGTGTATAATGTACCAGAAAATTAGTTTGAAGTGCCCAGCAGGGGAACAGCTCAGCTCTGTCCTCAGATTTACTCTGCTCTGGTGGGCTGGGATGGGGATGGGGTGGAAGTCAGTATGCCCTACAGCCTCTTCAGGGGTTTCTGGGAGGCCATCCTCTCCTCGTGGCTGAGCTGGGGCCTCCTTGCCAGCCAGTTTACACAGGTGAGCTCTATTACAGCAATACCCCGCCTTCATCTCAGCTGCCACCCACATGGCCCCTTCCCACCTTCCCTCCTCTCTCTCTCTCTCATCACACACACACACACACACACACAGAGAGAGAGAGAGAGTACACCCACAGTACACACATAGTGTTAGAACAACGTGCCCACAGAGATGCACGTACGTGAGACAGCCCCATACTCGCCGACACTCCACCTCTGTGTGAATGAGACTCTGAGAACCTAGAAAAGTGCTTTCCTTTTGCCTGAAGAATTCAGTGCCAAGAAGGGTGCTGACACAAAAGAGGTGATCACTGATGTTTGCTGAATCAGTCAAATGGCTTCTTGGCTGAATGGACGCAGAACCATGGACAGCTCCCACCCACTCCTCACCTCTCCCCTCCCCTCCCTCCCAGATGAGTTAGCTCCAGCTCACAGCCAGCTGGAGTCACTAATACGTTGGTATCATCATACATAGTGGCATTCATTTTGAACACCTGGTATGCACCAGTCACGAGCCAAGCTTTTTGTATGAATCATCTCACTTGGTCTTCACAACCTCTGAAGATAGGTATCGTTATCCCACTCTACAGATGACAAAACTGAAGCTCACAGGGATGGTCACTGCCCAAGTTCCCATTGAGTTTGCCTGAAATAACAGAGACAAGGGCACCTAATTCCAGGGGTCCCTGTTAAGTTGTCCATGCTTAATATAACCGTAACTTCACCAGATGGGTTTCCCCTGAAAGCAGAGGAGGAGAGACCAACACCTCTCAGTCCATAGCAGCAATTCCTCAACATCGGTCCATCACACACTTCCTGTTCCCACTGCATTCAGCCCCAGTGAAGATTCCTGAGGCCTGAAAATCAAGGTCAAACATGGCTAAAGTCAGAGAGCTCAAAGGGGACACTTGAGCATCTCAAAAAAGTGTGTCCAAGTGAAGTCATGCCAAAAAGCAATAGGTTGTTACACAGACTCACCAAGTTTAAAGAAAGAGGAGCAAGGACCCAGAAGCCAGAAGCAATTGTCCAGCCCTCTTCCTCTTCCCTCTCTGGGACTAATGAAAATATTGAAGAAGGTAAAAGACTCAGTTCATTGGAAGAGAAAATTAACAGTGACCACGAGGCCGGGCGTGGTGAGGCCAGGTGTGGTGGCTCACACCTGTAATCCCAGCACTTTGGGAGGCCAAGGCGTGTGGATCACCTGAGGTCGGGAGTTTGAGATCAGCCTGACCAACATGGAGAAACCCCATCTCTACTAAAAATACAAAATTAGCCAGGCATGGTGGTGCATGCCTGTAATCCCAGCTACTCGGGAGGCTGAGACAGGAGAATTGCTTGAACCCGGGAGGCGGAGGTTACAGTAAGCTGAGATCATGCCATTGCACTCCAGCCTGGGCAATAAGAGTGAAACTCCATCTCCAAAAAAAAAAGTGACCATGATGGCTGAAGAGCTCAGGGAATGCGGACATAGGGAGTGGTTTTATAAAAGGCTGAGCCACACTCTTGTGATGGACAGAAGAGAGAGCATCTCCATTTAGCGTTGTTGGCAGGAAAATGGTGATCAATGACCTTTGATGCTCCAGCTGACCCAGGGTCAGGGAGCCAACATCTCTCCCACACCCAAAACAGTGGTGAAAGCATGAGGGGAGAATATGGGTCATTTGGTTTCAAGTATCAGTGCCCACATTTACCCCACTCCATACCCATCAAATGGTCAGTCAAGCTTTATTTCATATGGCAAGATTCTGAAACACTTGAGATCTCTTTCTTACAACACAGAAGCTAGGACCTGTTTGCAATAAGTATCTACACAGAGATGTTTTAAAAGGTTTTTGGCCCAAAGCAAAGTCCCGTGTTTTGGTCACTTACCTATTCTCCAGACTTCAATCCAAATGCCTTTGGGGGTGTTTCCAAAGATACAGTTTACCCTCAAAGAATAAACATTTGCCAATATTCAAGACCACATGCCACAGACTTCCAAAGGGGAGTTCCCAAAGTGATTTGACAGCGCGATGTGACTGGAATGGGTATCAAGCTTTCCAAGTGAATTACACGGATGGGAACAATGCCTCTTGGATGTAAAAGTTCTAACACGTGAGCAAAACCCTTAGTCTAACTTTTTATTATCACATCAGCAGCTCGCCATTAGCAGTGCATCTCAGAGTCCTTTCTGATGTTTACTAGTCATTATCTGAAGGAGAGAGAAGACAAGGACGGTGTGGGGAGGTGGGCAGGCATTCTACTTGGAGTCAGGAGATCTGGGTTTGACTCTGCGTTTACTTTTTACTACCTGTGTGATTAAGGGCCTAAACTCCTTTAAAATTGTCTGTTTTTTTCATTTATAACATGTTAGCAACCAAAATCTCACTTGTTGGAAATATGATTCTGGCTAAATGCGATGGAAAACCTGACCCCGTGCTTGCCACATCATATGAATTCAATACATGTTAGTTGATTGCTTGGGGAGAAGGGGTCGGGCAGCCACAGGTCCTGGATAAAGGCTTGGCCATTGTCAAAGGCCTTGCCTTGAAAGCAAGGGTGAAGTCGGTTTCTTCTCTAAAAAGGGTACAAATACAGGGGGCCGTGAACCTAAAAGACAAACTTACCCTAGGGAAGTACATTGTCTAGGGTGGTGTCTTACCACAGGGATACAGGAAGGAGGCAGGGCTTCATCACTTACAAAGATTGACTGAGGATCTGAATTCAGTAGGAGGAAGAAAGCAAAGTGCTCTTAGAAAGAAAGATATTCTTCAGTGTCAGAGTGAAGGATCCACATGGGGTGACGCTGCAGCACAACAGGGCTGTTCCACAAGGGGAAGAACTTCCACCCAGGGTCCACTAAGTCTTCAAACAGTCTAGTGAGAGAGGCTCTAGAAGCTGGCAGAGCTAGAAGGAAAAGCATGTGTTTGGAGACAGGGGAATGGATGAGGTAAACTCATCAGGAACTAGTCCCCCCATCTCTGAAACTCAGCAAGTCCAGATCTATCTTAAGAGCAGCTTTCCAGCATCGGGAGGAGGCTCTACGAAGCCCGGGGAAAATGCCAGTGTGGCAATTTAGTGGTGAGCAGCATTGCTAATGAGTGCCAAGAATAACAGTGGCTTCTTAATGGAGCCCTTAATGAAGACTCATTTCGGGTTTTATTAACGCAGAAAAAAAGCACACACTCTTTTTTCCCCCCAGCTCTCAGAGAGCAGGCAGAATAAAGAGAAGCTCCAAACATGGGGCTGAGCGCATATCCTGGTTCCTGATTGAGGTATCATAATAGGCTTTGAGAAGTTGGGTAGGAGGGGCGGGATCAGAGCCCTGAAATGCTCCTTTGGCCTTCAGACAATCTCTCTGGACTCAGAGATCCCACGTGGTCTTAGGGGGAGATTTCCCGCTAGGCTTAGTCCTGCAATTTGCAGGCAAGCTGCAAATAAGAATACAAAGGAGACCCATCCCCAAGGCGGTGGCAGTGATTTTAACAGACAGACACTCTCCATTAAATATTTAATTAGAATGCAATCCCACCAGAGCTCTCTCACTATGAGAGACTAAAAAAAAATGCAGGCCAGGCGCGGTGGCTCACGCCTGTAATCCCAGCACTTCGGGAGGCCGAGGTGGGCCGATCCCCTAAGGTCAGGAGTTCAAGACCAGCCTGGCCAATATGGTGAAACCGTATCTCTACTAAAAATGCAAAAATTAGCTGAGTGTGATGGCACATGCCTGTAATCCCAGCTACTCGAGAGCCTGAGGCAGGAGAATCACTTGAATCTGGGAGACAGAGGTTGCAGTGAGCCGAGATCGCACCACTGCACTCCAGCCTGGGTGACAGAGTGAGACTCCACCTCAAGAAAATAATAATAAAAAAATTAAAAAATTAACAAATAAATTAAAAATGCAGCTCTCTATGCTGAGAACTAGGCTTGTTCACCCCTACCCCATGTTGCTCACCTGTTACCAAGTATATAGTTCCCATTGGCTTAAAATGCAGCAAAAGGGATTCAGTTTAGACCCCCCAAAGAACCTAAAGTTCTAGTAATACAGTACTTTAGGATAGACAGGTGACCTTGAATGTCATCCAATCAAATTCCTGATTTTATGAGAAAACTGAGGCCAAGAGAAATTAGAAACTCATTCAAAAATCAAACAGCTGATTGTGGCTGAGCCGTTGTCCAGGACATCCGGGGCAGTGCTCCCCGACAAAACCACCCTTTGCCCGTTGCTGGACTCCCTCTCCCAGGGCTAAAAAGTTGGCTAATTGACCATGCTTGGGGCTGGGCTGGCAAGAGTAAGATGGCATCTGGGGATGCCTTGGGGCTAGGATCTTGCAGTATCTCTGATGCCCCAATACCAGCCCAGGATGCAGCTTAGCATTTGCTTTGCACATCCTAGATACTCAATCACTCTTTGTCGAATGAAATAGGAGATCTCCATTTGTAGGTCGTTGATCCCCTAAACTCAAATGGGAAACCTCAAAAGAGGGAAGATAATCATTCCCAAATAGCTCCACAGCCATACTGGCAAGCCCTCTGCCAATAGTTAATGCACAGTTACCAAGTTAATAAGATGAATGGCCTGGGAGCCTAGGAAGTGAGCAGTAGGAGGGGGATGGGTTTTTCCCCCCGATTAGCGTGAACCCTCCAGAATGGGGACTGTCTTTGTTTGGTGCTTGGGGAGACCCAGGACAAAGAGGAGTCAGTCCTTTCCTGGGAGGACTCAGCCTGATAGGGAGCAGCCTACCCCCCTCAACACACACAGCGCAGCTGCTGAGTGACTGCTGTGTACTCCACACCATGCTATGTACTTATTTCTCACTTAATTCTCACAATTTCATTGTAAGGTAGCCATTATTTTGCCTCTTTTAACAGAAGAGGAGAATGAGACACAAATAGAGTGAGACACAAGTGGCTTATGTCAATTGCCTAAGGTCACACAGCAAGAAGTTAGTGGAGCCAGGAGATGAAGCAGGTCTGCCTGGCCCTGCTCTACCACCAGCCACATGCAAACACCTGCAAACTGAACACCTCAGTGTCACAGGACACCAAACGTTGCGACAGCTGTTGCAGGGAGTACACTCTGGTAGGTCTCCCAGACAAGGTTCCCTGGGACTTTTGAGAAAGGCGAGAAGGAGCTCCTTAACAGGCGGCAGGCCTATCAGAGCAGAAGCTGGCATTTAGGGAGCAGCTGCATGGTATGCCACTCCATGCCATGTGGCTCACTATACAGTCTCATCCAACTCTCATGACCACCTTCTGAGGCAAGACTCAGGTTCAGAGCGGGACAGTGACTTTCCCAGAGTCACACGGCTAGTCAATGCTAGATTCGGGTCTGAATCTGTAGGAGAGGACAAGCCACTGACTTGATGGGAGGAGACAGGTGCTGGGAGAGGCTAAAAAGCAGCTCCGAGGCCACTGCTGGAGACCCCTCTTTCTTAGCATAGAGGAGCTTATTTTAGGAGCCTTGGCTCTGAAAAGGCAGGAGACGGGGCCAGGTGTGCCTTGTCCCACAGGCATTTTTCACTTCTGGATCCACCCCTCCTCCCCCAGGAGGGCCCCTGAAGTTGGCAGAGGAACACATTGATAAGATTCCATGAACATGCAAGGGGACCACGTAGCTTTTAAGCACCACCATGGCCACTTTAATCTGTTTTCCCAAAGAGGTTTATGCCCCATCTGCTCACAGGGCCCCCAGCGCGGCCCTGCTCACCAGCCCCTGCTGTCAGCATCCTCGCGAGTGACACAGCTCAGCCTGCCAGCAGCAGCAGGGGCTTTAAAGGCAGAGAGAACGGAGGGCAAGTCCTGCTTTCCCCAGCTTGGAGCCTCAGTTTCCTCATCTCTTAGGCAGAGCTAATGATGCCTGCCCTGTAGGATTGTCTTAAGCATTTAAAAGCCTGTCACCAGCCTTCCTTCCAAGCCACCCTTGGCTGTTCTCTTCTCTAAGCCAAATCACCACACGGTTCACCAGCCATTTCCCCCTCAGTCGGGGAGGAGTGGAGTCATCTGGGGCTCTGATCTGAGTCCAGAGACGAGAGAAGCTGGCAAGAACCCCATCTCTGGGAAAGGCCAAGAGGAGATCCTGGGCGAGGGTGGGGAAGGTCTGTAGTTCTCGTGTCTGGGCGACTCAAGAGTGACAGCCCAGGAGATCCTGGAGGCACAGAGACACCAGGGCCTGGAAGAGCTAGCAGGCAGTTGGCAGGAGCCAGACCCCCTCTGCATCAGCAGGACCTGGGAAGAGCCTGCAGCTGCACTGGGCCCTTGGTGGGGAAACGGAGGCATTCTGGCAATAGGAGAGCTCTCCTTCTTAAGCAGCCTAAAAGAAGCTGATAACAGAGAATCCAAATGCCCAGGCTCCACCCACGCAAGCTCTCTCTGTGCTGTTAAAGAAAATAGTGCCATGGCAAGGCTACCAAGCCCGGCAACAGCTCTGCCTCCTGCACCCTCTCCATTTCCTCCTGAAAGATAAAGCCCAGCCTCAGGCCCCTCTCCCACAGGCTCCTCTCCCCAGCCTCTCCAGTCTGCTGTGGGCATCTTGGCTCCGAGACCTCCTAGCTTCTGTACCTTGCTTGGTGATGCCCTCTACCTACCTTAGCACCTGCCCAAGGCTACCCATCCCCCAAGGGGCACCTCAAGAGCCACCTCCTCCACGAAGCCCAGATACCCCCAGGGGACAGCTCTTCTCACTCCTCTGACCTCCTATGGGTCTCTCTGTCTCTCTTGCTTCTGCTCTGAGTATGCAGCTTGTATGAAAGTCACTTTCCTCCCCCATCCCCAGGGAGCCCTGGAGGGTGGGGCTGGGGCTGGTTACCCCTGTGTCCCCAGCACTCAGCTCAGAGCCTGGCAAACAATAGGTGCCTGGGAAACACCGTCACTAACCCATCACCGAGGAAACCCTGCTCTTTCTTCCCCTTCCTCCTCCTCCCTTGGTACAGGAGGTAGAGGCTGCAAAAGTTGTAAAACTAGGAGAGATGATCCAGGATCCAGGATTAAAGTGTGAGTGATGCCCTTGGCTGGGAGGCAGGAGATCGGTCCTAGTGACTTTGCTCCTGTGAAGCGGAAGATTTGAGGCCCTTTACCCCTGGATTTTAAAGCTCTTAAAGGCACCTCACTTTCTTATCACCTCACCCCCTTCTTCCTGCCAATTATAAGGCAAACATCTGCCCCTCATGGAGCTCCCTCCTCCCAGGCCTGCCCGCCCCTGCCCACCTCCCCACGCTCCCTCTCCCACCCAGCCTTGTGCAGGGAATGTAATTAGGCCTTTCCCCAGGACGGAACCCCCTCTGCACAGTTGTGCTGCCCGTCCGACAGGGGATAATTTATGGAAATGGGTAAAGGTGTTTTAAATTATTCAATTTAAATGTAAATAGGGGAGATGGTTTCTCTGAATAAATTGTCTTATTTATGTTCCGCCCGACTCCCCTCCCAGGGAAATAGGGAGCCCTTTGGAGACCTGAAGAACATGCCCTCCTTTCTCTTTAAATAATGTGGAAGCAGTCCATGCCCCTGTGGGGCGGTGATGTGGAGGCAGATATGTTCCCGCAACTGCTTTCCTAATTGGGGGTCACAGGACATGCCACGTGCTCAGCAGAGTCTGCTCAACAGAGACCTTGGGCAGAAGGGAAGCTCTGCCTCTCTTCCCTCTGCCCAAGGTCTCTTTCCATCCAAGTCCCTAGGGTGGCTGGCAGCTGGCTTCACACCTCCCTGACCAACTCCTTCATGCTCTGCGATGCTAACTGGCTGTGGGTCACCTATTCTTGGAGCATTTCTATCCTAAACAGGGTCCTTTAGACACAGGGCTGCCTTGAAAGGAAAGCCCGTCCCTGATGCATCTCAGACTCACATGCACCCATAGGAGGGCATTTGAGAACGGGCAGGGGGCCATCCTTTATTAGCCCCTCAGCATCAGCCAGATGCCAGTCTTGCCTTGGGGTTGGGGCCATCACACACACGAGCAAGCAGTGGTCCGGGTAGCTGTCGGGGGGTACTCAGAGACAAAACACCGAATATCCAAAACTCAAAGTGGCTCCGATCTTATGGAGCTCTGGAAACCTGCAGGTAGGGCAGAATTCAGGGCTGGTGTTGTCTGGAAGCCTGGCCCTGTTTCCCTGTGACGTGTGTGTGTGTGTGTGCATGTGTGTGTGTGCATGTGTGTGTGTGTGTGTATGTACGCTATCTATGACTAGATCAGAGATGGCTGGGGCAGTTAAGGGCCTTAGACTCACCCACAACAACATTCCGAGAAAACTAGATTAGAGCAACCTTCAAAAACTCTTTCAAAAGCGTAAAGATGTCTTCCTCCATCCCACCCCCAAAAATACCTGCTTGCATCTTATTGGCCCACTCTTGACCAATCGTTGGTAAGGAGAGAGGATTACTTTAGACCAAGCAGGTGGTTCAGGAGCTGGGATAAGACCAACTCCTTCCCTGAGACACACACCCTGAGGAGGGGTGCCAGAACAACAATAGGGTCTGTCAGGAAGGAGGAAATTCAGACTGGACACTGGGCTAAACAACATCCACCGTAGTAACAGTGGAGAAAGTGTGTAGAGATTGCTGAAATCAATATATGTTTTAATCATCAGCCATGTGTGCTTCAACCTTCCCCACTTGAGCTGGGTCAATTTCTTTTCACCCAATTCCAAGAGCCAGGCCTTTGCCCATTCGTCAAAGAGTAGAGAATCAGACCAATGGCCCAGATCACAGACTGGGTGGCAAGACTGGTCCAAATTAAGCTCAAAGAGCTGTCCAGAGGCCTCAAATCTTTCCTGGGATATCTGTAAGTAAAAGGACTGCTTGTCCAAGCCCCCTGATCATCACCACCCTCTCTGCCATTTATTCATTCATTCATTCGACATGTTATTCTGACTGTCTACCTTGTTCCAGGCATAGCTGAGTGCTGGAGGGTCACTGGTGAAAAAATAGACACATTTTCTGTTCTGTGGACTTTCCATCCTTGTAATGGACTTTATCATGTTTGTAGTCATTGGCTTGGCTGCCAGCATCCTTGCTACGTTCAGGAGTTTCCAGTCTTATGAGTCACACCTTCTGAAAGCAGAAAGCAGAAACTGGGTTACCCAGCCTCCATTGCAGCTGGAGCACAGCAGATGTCTCTGACTCCACCCATTGGCTTCACTCCCCAGAGACTCCTCTCTAGAAGGGAGGAGTTTGGGGAAGGAGACCATACCCAGAACCCATCATGCTGACAAGGGTGGTAAGAATGTGTCCAGCTTTGGGGGTTAGAAACGGTAGCAAGATTAAGTTCCTGGCCTGGAAGTGCAGTCAGTGGGGAGTGACAGTGGCAGCTGAAGCTGGTGAGGCAGCAGCAGCTGTGGTTTCCCCATCCATCTAGTTCTGTATGTCGTGGGCATCGTGCCTGGAAGCGTAGTCTTAAGTCTGGTTCTCCAGCCCTCCCTAACACTATTGATTACATGAGACACCCCATATTCTTCTAATAAATTCCTTTTCTGCTTAGCTGGTCTGAATCGGCTTCTATTGCCTAAAGCTATGAACCCTAGATGTCTCATTTCTTTTGGGCTTCTATAACAAAATACCATAGACTGGGTGGCTTATAAACAACAAAAATTTATTTCTCACAGTCCTGGACGCTGGGAAGGCCAAGACTGGGGCACAGCAGATTCAGTCTCTGGTGAGAGCCCTCTTTCATGTCCACAGACAGCACCTTCTAGCTGTGTCCTCACATTTTAGCAGGGGCAGAGCTCTCTGAGGACTCTTTCAAAAGGCACTAATGCCAATCACAAGGGCTCCACCCTCATGACCTAATCACCCTTCAAATACCATCATTTCCAAATACCATCACTTTGGGGGCCAAGATTTCAACGTAAGAATCTTGAGGGGAAACATTCAGACCATAGCACTGACTGCTGCAGAAGTGTGCCCCACCCTTGATGAGAATGACTCATTCTGAAGACTCACCCTGGGTGGCCCCTTGCCTGAATTCCCTCAAGCCCAGGCATTTTGCTCATTCCTCTTCCCCCCCACCCCCACCCCTTTTGGAGATATGGGGTCTCGCTCTATCACCCAGGCTGGAGTGCCATGGTGCGATCATAGCTCACTGCAGCCTCAAACTCCTGGGCTCAAGCATTCCTACCACCTCAGCCTCCCGAGTACCTGGGGCTAGAGGCACACGACACCACATCTGGCTTTTTGTGTGTGTAGAGACAGGGTCTCACTATGTTGCCCAGGCTGGTCTTGAACTCGAGCAATCCTCCATCATTAGCCTCTGAAAATGCCAGAATTACAGGCATGAGCCATCATGCCCAGCCTCATGCCTCGATCATGGCAGTGTGAACAGAGGCATAAACCTCTGTGTGAGTCTCCACCATCCCTCCACACTCCACACACACACACACACACACACACACACACACACACACACCTCTGAGCTCTCTGAGACCTGGGACCATGTCTCTTTCATTGGTAAATCCTCAAGTCTCCCCCTCCCCCTCCCCCTCCCTCTCCTTCTCCCTCTACCCACGGTCTCCCTCTCATGCGGAGCCGAAGCTGGACTGTACTGCTGCCATCTCGGCTCACTGCAACCTCCCTGCCTGATTCTCCTGCCTCAGTCTGCCGAATGCCTGCGATTGCAGGCACGCGCCGCCACGCCTGACTGGTTTGGGTGGAGACGGGGTTTTGCTGTGTTGGCCGGGCCGGTCTCCAGCCCCTAACCGCGAGTGATCCGCCAACCTCGGCCTCCCGAGGTGCCGGGATTGCAGACGGAGTCTGGTTCACTCAGTGCTCAATGGTGCCCAGGCTGGAGTGCAGTGGCGTGATCTCGGCTCACTACAACCTACACCTCCCAGCCGCCTGCCTTGGCCTCCCAAAGTGCCGAGATTGCAGCCTCTGCCTGGCCACCACCCCGTCTGGGAAGTGAGGAGTGTCTCTGCCTGGCCGCCCATCGTCTGGGATGTGAGGAGCCCCTCTGCCTGGCTGCCCAGTCTGGAAAGTGAGGAGCGTCTCCGCCCGGCCGCCATCCCATCTAGGAAGTGAGGAGCGCCTCTTCCCAGCCGCCATCACATCTAGGAAGTGAGGAGCGTCTCTGCCCGGCCGCCCATCGTCTGAGATGTGGGGAGCGCCTCTGCCCCACCGCCCCATCTGGGATGTGAGGAGCGCCTCTGCCCGGCCGAGACCCCGTCTGGGAGGTGAGGAGCGTCTCTGCCCGGCCGCCCCGTCTGAGAAGTGAGGAGCCCCTCCGCCCGGCAGCTGCCCCGTCTGAGAGGTGAGGAGCCTCTCCGCCCGGCAGCCACCCCATCTGGGAAGTGAGGAGCGTCTCTGCCCGGCAGCCACCCCGTCCGGGAGGGAGGTGGGGTGGGGTCAGCCCCCCGCCCGGCCAGCCGCCCCGTCCGGGAGGTGAGGGGCGCCTCTGCCCGGCCGCCCCTACTGGGAAGTGAGGAGCCCCTCAGCCCGGCCAGCCACCCCATCCGGGAGGGAGATGGGGGGTCAGCCCCCCCACCCGGCCAGCCGCCCCGTCCGGGAGGTAGGGGGATCAGCCCCCCGCCTGGCCAGCCGCCCCGTCCGGGAGGGAGGTGGGGGGGTCAGCCCTCCGCCCGGCCAGCCGCCCCGTCGGGGAGGTGAGGGGCGCCTCTGCCCGGCCGCCCCTACTGGGAAGTGAGGAGCCCCTCTGCCCGGCCAGCCGCCCCGTCCGGGAGGGAGGTGGGGGGGTCAGCCCCCCGCCCGGCCAGCCGCCCTGTCCGGGAGGGAGGTGGGGGGGGTCAGCCCCCCTGTCCGGGCAGCCGCCCCGTGCCGGGAGGTGAGGGGCGCCTCTGCCCGTCCGCCCCTACTGGGAAGTGAGGAGCCCCTCTGCCCGGCCACCACCCCGTCTGGGAGGTGTACCCAACAGCTCATTGAGAACGGGCCAGGATGACAATGGCGGCTTTGTGGAATAGAAAGGCGGGAAAGGTGGGGAAAAGATTGAGAAATCGGATGGTTGCCGTGTCTGTGTGGAAAGAAGTAGACATGGGAGACTTTTCATTTTGTTCTGCACTAAGAAAAATTCCTCTGCCTTGGGATCCTGTTGATCTGTGACCTTACCCCCAACCCTGTGCTCTCTGAAACATGTGCTGTGTCCACTCAGGGTTAAATGGATTAAGGGCGGTGCAAGATGTGCTTTGTTAAACAAATGCTTGAAGGCAGCATGCTCGTTAAGAGTCATCACCAATCCCTAATCTCAAGTAATCAGGGACACAAACACTGCGGAAGGCCGCAGGGTCCTCTGCCTAGGAAAACCAGAGACCTTTGTTCACTTGTTTATCTGCTGACCTTCCCTCCACTATTGTCCCATGACCCTGCCAAATACCCCTCTGTGAGAAACACCCAAGAATTATCAATAAAAAAATAAATTAAAAAAAATAAAAAATAAAAAATAAAATAAATAAATAAATAAATAAATAAATAAATAAAAGCCAGAATGACTGGATTTAGAGAGCTTCTGGATAGCTGAACACATGCAAGTTCCTGGAGGGCAGCTCGCCCAGGGAGGGCATGGGAGTTCTGTGCCCCTTCCCCCATACCTCACCCTGAGCATCTCTTCATCTGTATCCTTTGTAATAAAATAAATCGGTAAACATGAAAAAAAAAAAAAAAAAAAAATCCTCAGGTCTAGCTTAGAACCCAGAGTGCTTACTAAGGGCTCACTAAGTATTTGTTGCTAATGTGATCATTGCTGCTGTCATCATTATTTGACATGAAACAGCCTCCTGTGCCTGACTCTGGGTTGAGCAATACACATAGAGAATGGCTTGTACCTCGTCCTTACTCTCTCCAGAATCAGCCACGAGCCTCATGTCCATGGGCTTTAGGTGCTGCAGACCCCATCAGAATGTCCCCTAAAATACCACAAGAGTGCCCCCTGGCCCTTGCCCAACTCCCTGATCACCCCTGACAGATAGCCTTGCATTTATTTCTTCTGGCCAGCTGGTCCCCTCTCAGCCTTTCCACCCACCACACACTCCCATTCCACCTGCAGCCAGGGAAAAGGTCTCCATCCTTGGACATGGAGATGGTGCTCCTAGGGCCCTTGGAGAGATATTCCCATGGGGGTTATGTTGCCAACCCAGGGGTGTCCCTCATCCTGTCCAGCCCTGCCCACATACTCCTCGCTCTACCCCTTCTACGGGAAGAGCTAGAGGAAATGGACAGACTTTCTGGAATCAATTTCATGCCCTTGGGCATGATAAATAACCAAGCAGAGAGCAGCCCCCATCTCAGGAGCTAATGGCCTTGGGTAGCTCAGTGATGCGTCACTCCCTGAAAAACAAAGCCTGGTCCAGCTGCTCTCTCCACACGCACATTTTCTCCGTACACTGCTCTGCTTGGAGCAGACTCACACAAAGCCCAGCAACACCTCCCTGGGCAAGGACAAGAACATGCATTTCCTCTTCCTCAGGCAGCACACAGCGTTGCATCAGCAGAGGGGCCTAGGCAGGCCCAAGACAGAAAGCACCTGCCCCGTGACCTTAGCTACGAGTGCTATGCCCCAGATGGAGCCGGACCACCTGGAGTCAAAGCCCAGCTCCTCTTCTCACTCTGTGTGACCTGGGCAAGTTGCCTAAATACTGCCTACCTCACAGCTCCTTCTGAGGATTAACTGGGATACTGTTTGCAAAGGGTTTAGCACAGTGCCTGGGACATAGGAAGTCCTGTTATGTTAACTATTCTTTTTAATTTTTTTTTATTTTTTAGAAATAGAGATGGGGGCCTTGCTATGTTGGCCAGGTTGGTCTTGAACTCCCGGCCTCAAGCAACCCTCCCGCCTTGTCCTTTCAAAGTGCCACTGCGCCTGGCCCCATGTTAACTATTCTTATTATTATGACTCACCACGGTCAGGAAGTTCTTGGTTCATCTCATCTGAGTCCTATCCACAGCCTATTAAGGCCATTCCAGCCTGTTCCATTCCCGGTAGGCATGGGGCTCAGGAGTCCCCAGTGCAATGTGGCAGGAAGAATAATGGTGCTAGAAAACAAAGAGCTATGCTCAACCCCCATCTATTAGCCATGTCTATTAGCCATGATTCTCTTTAAATCCATTTGGCACAAGACAGATTCCAAGAACATGATCACTAGCTGTGTGGATGTGCGGATATCACTTTTCTTCTCCAGCCACAGGCTACGGCATGCCTGTTTGTACAGTAGGAAAAAAACACCTTCCCCAAAAAGTCATGGTGAGGATTAAGTCAATTCAATATCATCTAAGCAAATGCCTGGGATGTGGCAGGCAGGGATGTTAGTTGAATCTGGATCCACTCGAACGCTCTGAGAGTGAGACCTAGTCCCCTGAGCCTCCTCTAGCTGAGGATAAACAACGAGCTGGTTTCCACAACCTTTTTCACCTCAAGACCAGCTCAGCAAATTCCTCAATGCTGCTTCAGCCTGGGGAGCACTTATTTAATGGTGTGAAACCAACATCAGTTATTAGCAGAAGTGAATAAAACCCATGAGCCCCCAAGACTGGAGAACAGCCCTCCACAATTAAAATTGGAGGGATCTAGTGACTCTAGCAATGAACTTGTGCACCACACTTTACAACTTTACAGTTAGCAAATGCAATGGTATAATCATGGCTCACTGAAGCCTCAACATCCCAGGCTCAAGAGATCCTCCCACTTCAGCCTCCCAAGCAGCTGGGACTACAGGCATGTGCCACCACACCTGGCTAATTTTAAAATTTTTTGTAGAGGTGGAGTCTTGCCTTATTGCTCAAGCTGGCTGTCTCACTGTCTTGCCAAATGCTTTCACAGCCCATTTGTGCCAAAGGGGAAATGAGCCCAGGCTGGGGAATTGACTTGCACAAAGTGGTGGAGAAGGACGTGACCTTACATTAGAACCAGCTGCTCCATCCTGTCCACCCCATCATGGGCTCTGCAGTCCTCCTGTGTCTCCCTGGAAGGCCCTTAGAGATCTTCCAGCCCATTCCCTGCCATAACACCTATCCTTAGCACAGAGTAGGTCCTCAGCAATTCACCATCTAATCTAATCATCAGGTTTAATCCAACTACTTCATTTCCCTGACAAGGAAACTGAGACAGAAAAAGAAGTGGTGAGTAGCCCCAGGTCACACAGCTGGAAAATGAGGTGATGGACCTGCTGACAGAAGACCATGAGCTCATCCCAAAATATCAGAACTGGAAGAATCCTAGGTCATGTGGCCAAACCCTGCCAATCCTTCCCTGGCCATCCAAGCCAAGTCCTCCCACTCAGACCTTGAAGGAGCAGAGACAGAGGCTTCAGAGGCTGGACATAGTAGATGGATTGTAAAAATGTCCTCTAATTCTCCCCTCCATACATCCATGTCCCTTTGCAGCATAGCTTTGCAGCTCCTCCCAATAAGAAGTGGAGCCTATTCCCCCTATTGAATCTGAGCTGCCTTGTGACTCACTTTGACCAATAGAACTCACCAGAAGGGACTGTGCGCCAATTCCAAGGCTCAACCTCAAGAGACTCTGCAGGCTTCCGTTCTCTCTTAGAGCCCTGCAGTACCCCATGAACTACCCTGGGCTGGCCACCTGGAGGATGACAGACCCAGTGGAGAAAGGCCCAGTTGTCTCAGCAGAGGCCTCCTATATTAGTCCATTTTGCATTGCTATACAGGAATACCTGAGGAAGAGTAATTTATTTTAAAAAGAGGTTTAATTGGCTCGTGGTTCTGCAGGCTGTACAAGCATGGCACCGGCATCTGCTCAGCTTCTGGTGAGGCCTCAGGAAGCTTTTACTCATGGCAGAAAGTGAATGGGGAGCAGACATGTCACATGGAGAGAACAGGAGCAAGAGAGGAGAGAGGGAAGCCCCAGTCTCTTTTTAACAGTCAGATCTCATGTAAACTTGTTACCATGGGGAGGGCACCAAGCCATTCATGAGGGATCCACCCCCATGACACAAACACCTCCCATGAGGCTCCACTTCCAACATGGGGATCACACTGCAACATGAGATTTGGAGGGGACGACACCCAAACTTTAAACCTCTCTAAACCTGCTGATGGCCAGCTGACCCCCAAACATAGGAACCCATCCTAGGTCAACACAAGCCTCTCCTCAACCCACAGCCAAACTCAGATACACAAGTGATCCCAACCAAGAACAGAAGAACCAATCAGCTCACCCCTAGACTCATGAGAAATCATAAATATCATTAAGTCACTGAGTTTCTCCAAGTACTAGCTAATAATAGTAGTAAAAGAAAGATCCCCAAGCCATAGCCTTTGAGGAGCTGAGGCCTGTGGCCACCCAGATCCTTGAAGAAGCAGGAGGACCCTTTTCTGTGAAGAGCCGATTGAGCATCCACCTCCTCTGTCCAGCTGCAAGGCCCCGACCGGCACAGGGCAGTGACGTCAGCTCTAGCTTCAGCCCCACCCTTTCCACCCACCTGCAGGCCCCACCCCTCGGCAGTATCAGGAGAGGTGAAGACCCCTTGCTGCGCATAGGGACAGCTGCAAAGCGAGTGGAGGCTGTCCCCAGCCCAGGAAGAGCTCACCTCGGAGACAAAGCCCTGGGGTGGCATCTCCACAGTGGCGAAGCATCCAGGACCAGACATCCCCCACAACGCACCCCCCTCGAGGAGGAGCAATCAGCCCCAGGAGCACAGCACGGCCGCTTGACATTTGATGGGAGTCATTATCAGACACTTATTCCCAATCAGGCCTCAAGTGTCTCTGAGGGCCCCTCTGGTGCCTTCTCATTCCAGGGAGCACTAATAGGAGAAGGGGAGGCGGGGAACCCACCAGGTCTGGGCAGAGGTCCTCACAGCCCACTCCTCTTACTCCAGCACCCTCTTTTCCTACTGAGGCCCCAGGGCCTGAACTCCCACAAGTCAAAGCACAGAGCGCGGGGTGGGGTGGGGCGGGGACTCCAGAGCTGGGAGGCTCAACTCCCCGGTCTTCAGTAAGACCCAGTACAGGGAAGCCCAACGGGTTGCCTGCGGGAAGCCTGGGTCCGAATTCAAATTCCTGCTGGACTCAAGAAGGGCTTTATTTCCCAGCTCATGACTTGGCAGTCCTGAGCCCCCTGGGCAGCCCCCTCTGCCCTCAGCCGGGCTCCTCCCCAGCACACGCACCAGAACTCCCCATCCGCAGCAGCAGCCCCGAGGCTGTCTTGGAGAGAGCCATGGCTCCGGCGTCTGAAGGCCCGGGCTCTCCCTGTTCCGCCGAGGAACCTTGAGCAAGCCACCTAATCTCTCCTGCTCTGAAAGAAACAATGATCCAACCCGCCCTCCCGGCCCTGCCTCTCTCTGCAGGAGGCTATTGAGAGAATCATGTTCTTTAATGTATGGGAAAGCACTTGATAAACTGGAAAATAAGCGCTGGGTACAATTTTCCCCACTGGATAACCATAATAGAGGCAAGCTCAGGTGAGCCAGGCGCAGGCATGATGGTAGGGGTGTGTGTGTGAACGCGTGTGTGTGGGTGTGGGTGTGCGCGTCTGCACCGGTGTCTCACTTCGTGCCTCAGCACTCCAATACCCGTATTTCATGGTTTGGGATTGTCTGTGGGTTTTCACCCTCTATGTCTCTATTCAGGCAGTGAATCAACCATATTGATGTGATACGCTGAATGCAGAGGCTGAGTTCTGAGCTGACAAAACAAAGGGAATTTAAAAAGCCCTGGCCTGAGACGTGACAATCTAGAGGATGTGAGGATGTGCACACACACCTCTGTGCTCTCTCAGGGAACTTAAGGACTCTAAACAACTGAATGGGAAATGTAGGAAAAAAGGGACTGGAGGGTCATGGAACAATGGGGCCTGAGAGAGGTCAATCCAGGTTTTCTGGCAGAGGAGGTAAGGTCTGGGTTGGATATTTTTTGCTTGTTTTTTGTTTTGAGATGGGATCTCTCTCTGTCACCCAGACTGGAGTGCCATTGCACAATCACAGCTCACTGCAGCCTCAACCTCCTGGGCCCAAAGGATCCTCCTGCCTCAGCCTCCCAAGTAGCTGGGGCCACAGACACGCACCACCACACCCAGCTGATTTTTTAATTTTTTTTTTTTTTTTTTGGTAGAGACAGGGTCTCGCTTTGTTGCCCAGGCTGGTCTCGAACTCCTGGGTACGAGCAATCCTCACTCCTTGGCCTCCCAAAGCACTGGGATTACAGGCATGAGCCACTGCACCAGCATGAGCTGCATTTTGATAGGAAGGCTGGGCATGCAGACAGCAGGAAAAATGGCTGTGGAGGGTTGGACAGACATGGGTCAGTTTTAAGTAGTATTCTGTTATCAAATAATGCTAATTAAACTTGACCCTTGTCGAGCAAATTAGGATTTACAAAGCTTTTCCACATGTATTTTCTCCTTTGAATCTCATTACCATCCCTTGAACTAGACAAATTGGTTGTTATTATCCCCATTCTATAGGTGAGGAAACTGAGGCTCAGAAAGGTGGCATTCCCAGTGTCTCCAAGCTCATGGGCCATGGAGCTGGTAAGAAGGATCAGGGCTCCGACTCTGACCCCACCTGGTGCCCTTTCCACAGGTCTTTTTAAAATTCTACTCCACCACTGTGTCTGGTTATCTCTGCTTACTCCTGGGAGGCAGGTACCATGTTTGGGTAATGAGCTCTGGGTACTGCTTGGGAAGTTAGTCAGTGGAGAGGAGTGGTGGCTTTAGAATAAGAAAGAATGTAGGTCAAACCCCAGTTCTGCCATCTGCCTTAATTTTAACTTGCTAGGTCCTCTCTGTATTAGTCTGTTTCACAAGGCTGATAAAGACATACCGGAGACTGGGTAATTTACAAAACAAAGAGGTTTATTGGACTTACAGTTGCACGTGGCTAGGGAAGCCTCACAATCATGGTGGAAGGCAAGGAGGAGCAAGTCACATCTTAAGTGGATGGCAGTGGGCAAAAAGATCTTGTGCAGGGCAACTCCCGTTTTTAAAACTGTCAGATCTTGTGAGAACCGTTCACTATCATGAGAACAGCATGAGAAGGACCCGCCCCCATAATTCAATCATGTTCCATCGAGTCCCTCTCACAACACGTGGGAATTATGGGAGCTACAAGAAAAGATTTGGGTGGGGAGCCAAACCATATCAGTCTCTGAGCCTCAGTTTCCCCCATGTAGAATAGATTATTGTGAAAATGAGAAAAAATAATGTCTTTTTTTTTTCTTTTTAGAGACTGGGTCTCACTCTCTCACCCAGGTTGGATGATGGTGGTGGTGAGGATCACAGCTCACTGCAGCCTCAAGTGAGCCAGGCTCAAGTGATCCTCCCACCTCAGTCTCCTAAGTAGGTGGGACTACAGGTGCACACCATCATGCCTGCCTAGAATGTCTCTGAAGCACTTAACACTGTGCCTGACACATAGTATTTGCTCAATTAATGGTATCTGCTATCATTAACATCATAGTTATTAGTTATTATTACTAATCGTGAAGACTGTCCTGATGGCCATTTTTCACTAGTTTCTTCCTTCTAGGATAAATGGGTCATTAGGCACCCACACTGTGACCTTCTGTTACTATTACAACAGATGGTTCCCAGTGAGCACAAGGTGATATACTTCCTCTGTCCACGTGGGCCCAGGTAACCAGTCCAGACCCCACACCTGAGGGGCCTTAGGAACACTCTTCCACCAATTGGTGTTGAACCTGACCCCCCAGCGACCTGTTGAAATCCATTTCAGTCGCCAGAGCTCTCATTTCTATTAAAACTCCATTTGCCAAGAAAGCGGAAAGGTAATTATGAATCCTAGTCTTAAATCACTCCGCTGCTGAATTATTAAAGGGAAGAATTAAAAATAATCAGGCTTTTTCATTACACTTCATAGCAGGGAAATTAAAGGTGTAAGAATGTATTTTTTCCTCGAATTTAAGTATTCATTTTGGAGATTTATAGGGGAGTTGAAATGATTCCCTGCGTGCCCAGTTCTCCCCTTTATGAAAGGGGGAAAGAGAAAAAACCTTGTAAAATTAAAAGGGAGATAGAGCGAAGAAGGGATTTAACATAAAGAAGTACAACTGAGTGCTTTGCATTTTAATACATTTTTTTCTGCACAATTAAACCATTGAGTGATATGGCAGAGAGAGATTAGGCGGCTGCTAATTTCAGATACTGGGTGGTAAAATGGCAAGCGGGTCTCCCCAGTTGTTGGGTTGGAAAAGCATGCTGGGGCATCAGAGCTGCCCTCAGACCCCAAAGCCTGTGAAAGGCAAGGGCCATTTCCTGTGCCAAGCCCCCCACACCCTCTTTTCTTCAGGGGAGAACAGGATAAGGGACCTGGTTCATTTCACAGAGCAGAAAACCCAAGGCACCAAGGCTGGGGAAAGCAGCGGCCTCAGAACCAGACGGGGGACAGGGACACAGAGAAGAACTTTCCAGTGAGTTGTCAGATCTGGAAGATGGAACAGAGAGAAGGTGGGATGCCTTTCCCTCAACACTCATTTCCTGTACCCCCCCATCATGGATGAGTGCTGGAAACAGAACCGCCCAGAATTTGGGGAGAGACAGGAAGATTCTGGAAGGCATTGGTCTTCAGAACCAAATCCCCAGACCAATGAGATGAAAGATTCAATGCAGGCCCATCCAGTCAGGAGAATGCAAACTAGACTTCCCTAATTCAAGTGAGAAACAGGTGTAAACTCTTCATCTCGCTGAGATTAGGTACAGAAGGGGAGGAAATGACAGCCTGGGCTGACCTGGATGGGATCCATCCAGTGCCACTTCTGGGAGCAAGGGAGCAGGACAGTGAGCTTAGAGTTTGCAGGCAAAGAGGTGGTGGGTCTTGAGCACCTCAATTCTTCCTGGATTCCAGCGGCTGGGGAGCGCTGTGTGCCTCTCTTCCTTCTGGGGACAGTGAGGACTAAACAAGAATAGAGAGTGCCATTAACACATGAGCATCACTGGCAACAGCTGGGTAGTCCCAAATCGGACCCAGGGGAGGGTGCTGAGAGTGACTGGCCCCATCCAGATGTGCTTCAACAGCTGGCCTGCCTCTCTGTGGGGAAGCCAAGCAGGAACACCTCTGTCCTGCATCCCTTCCACCCATATAGCAAAGGCTGAACCAGGAAAGCGGCAGGGAGAGGGCCGGCCCCTCCCCCAAGGAGCTGGGCCCCAGAGCCGCTCTGCCACCTGCCCCCTCCCCAGTGGTAATGAATTGCAGGGAAACGCTGCTGAGAGGTGTCAGAACAATTTCTATTAAACATAATTTCCTAATGAAAAGGTTACGACGGAGCCCGGTGGAGCTAATCAGGATTGAATGTTCACTCCAGCCACTCTGAGGGAGGGGGCTCAAGGCCGGTTCTTGGTTCCACCAGGTCTGGGATGGAGGGAGGAGGCCCTGGGGAGGGGGAGGCCCTAAGCAGCTTTGGATGCCTCCCGCCCCAGGTCTGCACATGCTGTTATTGAGAGCGGACCAGTGCCAGGCACTGTGCTCAGTGCTGTCCATATGTCATCTCATATCAGCCCCGCAAAATTGATACAATTGTTCCCATTTTAAGGATGAGCAAACTGAGGCTCTGAAAAGCCACATGACTTGCCCAAGGTCGCATCCTTAGAAACTAGGAGGCAAAGCCAGGGCTGGGCCCGGGTCTGTCTGAGGGAAGCCGGGCTGCACTGCCATCCTCCCTTCTCACCTTCCAGGGTCCCGCTCACCCTGTGTTGGCAAAGGCCTCTGAAGAGCAAATGCAGCCCTGATCATGGGGCAGGGCTGGGCAGCCCCGGAGCAGCAAAGTCTGTGTGACTCCTGCCAGGTATCCCTCTGTGCATACCCCGCTGTCTGTAAGGAAACTGGTCACCGACTCTAAATGGTTCTGTGACTCCTCCAAGGCTGGCCTGGATCCCTGCTGAGCCCAGAAGGGGCATGTTTGTCAATACAACCAACTTGGGTGCTGAGAGCCCTTTGAGGCTGTAAACAGGGGGCACTCAGCCTGTGCGCACCCCCTTTCTGGTCCCAGAAATTGTCCCCCAGTCAACCCTGCCACTGAGCAGTGTGTCCCCAACTCCTCCATTGCCATAGATCTGGAATTCTAAATTCCTACATCAGGGCTGTACCACAGGTGGGGCCCAAAACTAAGAGAAAGGAGGAGGCCTTTTTAGAATGTCCAGAGACTCCTCCTAAGCCCTCGATTATAAACTCTTTAGAAATGGCCTTGGCCCCTGCTGGTGGGAGGTCGGGGATGGGGGGATGGAACAGGAAGGGCAAACAGGGTGCAGATCTGAGGCTGAATGGTAATGAGCCCTATTCTCATGCAGTTCAGAGGCTTCAGATACCACCAGGGTCCAGTTGGGGACAGTTTCAGGAACAGTGGGGCTTTGCCCTGCTAGAGCTTCTGCTGATGTTGAGATACCTCTTTGGAGGGAGAGGATATTCCAGGTGTGACCTTGGGGATGGATACAGGCCCTTAAAGACTGCATCTGAAAACCCTCCAGGAATCTCATCACCACCCATATATGCTGGGGAGATGGGGATGAGTCTAGAGGAGGGGCCCACACTACAGATTCTACCCTCCCCCACCACCACTTCCCATCTACACCTACCACCACCTCCCCTGCCCCTCCCTGACCATCCTTCCACCCATCTGATGAGCGCCTCACCCCAAGCAGGGTGCATCTCCCCATCCCTCATTACGATGAAGCTGTCACCGACTGCCACACGCTTTCCCTGGACCTTCAAAGCTGGGAACAGTATGAAATATGCAGCCGCCTTCCCAGCTCCCGCTCCCCCCACCCTTGGCTCCCTCCCTTGAATTGCTCCACACAGATTAAACTCAGATGTCGCAGCTCTGACTCAGGACATTCAATGCTGCTTCTGCCTCTAGGCAAGAGGCACTCACTTCCTGGTGTCTGGGGTGCCACGGACCCAGGCCCCTCCACACACACATCCGCCCCATAAGGCCATCTCATCTAAGCCCACTTAGACAGAAGACTTCCTGGCAGGGCCATCCAGGTTTTCGCTGAGAACAACAGTGGTTCTCAAAGTGTGGTTTCTGGACCAGCAGCATCAGCATCACCTGAGAACTTGTCAGAAATGCAGATCCTCAGGCTCCACCCAGACTTCTAGAATCAGAAACTGGGGAGGGAACCAGCAATTTGGGGTTTAATGAGCTCACCAGGCAATTCTGATACATGCTTCAGCTTGAGAACCATTGATCTAAAGCTGGGTTCAGTCAATATCGAGTCAACTAGACGGAGGTCCCCTGGGAGCCCAGGACTGTGCTAAGACTGGCAGGGAAGAAAGCCACCACCTTCCCTGCACGGGCCTGATCAGTGGCAGGCAGCAGGCTCAGCCAGAGAATGCTGGAGGCCACAGAGGGTGCGAGCTGCACACCCCGTGGCAGGGAACAGAGACTCCAGGAGGAGGAGGGGAATAAAACTAAATGTAAATAATGGGGCCAAAATGTAGGCATGAATGGGGGCCAGTAACTCCAGCAGGCCTCTTTATGCAGTGCAGTTACTTACCAAGTGCTGTCATATTCTCCCTCTCGTTGGGAGAAGAGTGGAGCAGGAGGGATTATCCCCATTTTACAGGGGAGACAGTAGAGAGGAGAGGCGCCCTATCCCAGGCTTCAGGGCAGTCAATAAGGAACTGGGCTCGGTTCCTCTGACTCCCATTCTAGCGCCCTTTCCAGGCCGGGGAAGCTGTGGGAGGGCCTGAGCCTAGCAGTTGGCAGGATCTGGAGGAGCTGAGGGAGGTTTTGGGAAATCCTGGGGGGTCGGCTGGAGAGGAGGCAGGAGTCAGGGGGCATCCTGGCATCATGCCTGCTGCCCTCATCATCATCCACAGCACTGCCTTCCTCATCAGTGTCCCAGCTAGGACAAGTTTGCCACAGCTACAAGTGACAGAAAGCCAAGGAGGAGAGGCGAGTGGAATTTGGCAGGAAAGAGGGAGCAGCCCATCTTCTTGGGGAGGAGGGTCCTCATGAGGGCCTCAGGCAGGTCCCTCTGGCTGTGGGCAGAGGACCCAAAGGATGGAGAAGGGAGGCAATGGAGGCTGCAGCCAGTGGCCGGGCATGGCCTGGACTAGGATGGTGGCTGTGGGGAAGGAAGAAAGTGGCGCAGGAGGAGTGGAGGGCCAGTAGATAGACACACGGGCCGCACCATTGACCCTGGGGAATGTCATATGTCTTCTCCTGGCCGCCATTCTCCCCATTCCCCTTCTTCATGTCATCTCACAAGAGCAGGCCCCTCAGGAGGAACCCGCCATGGGAGAGAAGAATGTGACTCCGCTTTGCAAGTTCTCTTCTCTCCCTGAGCTTTCCCCAGTGTCTGGCCTTGGGCACAGGGAAAGTCCAGACCAGCCTATGGGGCCATCCCCATCCCATCTGCATCTCCCAGCCTTGGTCAACCTCTCTTCCTCACCTCTCACCTCAACCCCCACTCATCCCTCCTGACACTGCACCCCACACTGCCTGTGTCCCCACCGCCTGCACCTCACCTCCTTTAGAAAGCCTCTCCCCTCACCGTCCCCAGCCTCTAGGACTCAGCAGCCACAGGACTTGTATTTCATTCCCAGCTCTTCTACCTGTTATCTTTGTAATGGATACAAAGGCCCTTCGGCTTCCTCAGCCCCGCTCAGTGAGTGTTGTGAAGGTCAGCGAGGGGCCTGGTAATGGTAGGTGCTCAGGGTCTGGTACTTCCTGTGCTACCCGGGCCTCCTCAGCATCTACCTACAACTATGTGAATCATATTCCACAGAGACAGGTGGGCCTTGCCCCTATGAAAGTTTCCTCCACTCTTCACTCCCCACCCACACCAGCATGCAGCGTGGACCAAAGGCACAGGAGGCAGGAGCCAGAGCCTCTCGGCAGGTGGTGCACAGTGGGAAGAATTCAGAGCTCTCCATGGCCCACCTCTATGTTTTGCCTTGTAAATGATGATGACATCTTCTCTAAAGACTTTCCCTCTTGGGAGAATATCGTCAATGCTGACACTGACATGAATTTGTCTGATGGTGAGGGCGGTAGGGGCACACAGCCAAGTTCCTGGAGAGCAGGGGCAGCACAGGACACATCTCTCTACCCACAGCGCTCACCACAGAGGCTCTGCCACATTCATAAGGAGGGAGAGAAGAGGGGATGGGCCAATCCTTTGCCCAAGATCAAGTCTTTAGGGCTCAGGTTCATTCGGAAGTTAGGGTAAGAGGTGAACTTCAGACCAGTACTCGATTGGAGACTAGAAATGAGAATAGGGTTTAAGATTCATATTAAGGAAGGGATGATGATTCGAGCTGTACTTCAGATTGATATGGATTCAAGTCTAGATTCTGGTGAGAGTTCTGTTTAAGGTGGACTCTAGGGACTAGGTTATTGTTAGCCCTAAGGCTCAAGCTAAAATGCATCTTAGCATTAGGTGTGTCTGAAAATCCTGGGGCTTGCAGCAAGGTTCAGTGCTGTGGGCTGGGGCAGAAGCTCTGCAGGTGACAGGCCTGACAGCCAGCTGGAGAGGTAGGTGTGGCCAGGCAGCCAGGGCCAGATAGGCTCTGAGGCCAGCACCGTGGACAGCTCCAAGGGAAGCACCTTAGTAAGCCAAGAAGCCACTGAGATGTTCCCAGCTGCCAACACTGACCCCGGGAAGACCAAGATGGCACCATATCCTCCAGGGAGTTGGGGGTCTCTCATCTTTGGGTCTTTGTGTTAACCGCAGAATCATTCTCCTCTTAGACCCTATATCCCCTGGGCCTAAAATCGGATTCTAGTTGAGAAAGCTCTGGTTTGGGCCTTTACAAGATGACCATTTTCCTAAAAATCAAAGTTCTTCAAATTCAACCCTTGACTACCAGATTCACTCCACTTTGCATGGCATAACTTATTTCTCTGATTTTTCTTTCTCATAGAGAAATCAGGGAGCTCCTCAAACATGACTCTTCTCTCCCTCCTCGCATCTTCCCCTCATCTCTGGAGCCCTCAGAGGTAGAGTGGGACACAGGTGAGGGGCACTTGGGCAAGCAGTGCACAGAGTCTGATTTCCTCCCAGCCCTGGCCAGACAATCTCCTCTTTCCCTTCAATATTGCCAGATGCCATGTCACAAGAAGAGGTGCTACGGAGCAGCGACAGGCTGAAGGAAATCAGATACTGCCCACACTCAGCCCCATGTCCTGCAGGTCATAGATAGGCAGGACTTCCAAAGCATACCAACCCAGCCCCTCAGAATAGGGGACAAGGTCACCAATGTGAACTGACCACCTACTTTGTGCCAGACCTAGTCAACATTATCTCATTGCATCATAAAACCAGCCCGAGTGTAGTAGGTGAGATTACCCCCTTTTAACTGATGAAGAGACTGAGGCTCAGAGAAGTTAATAACCTGTCCAGGGCACCTCATTAGCAAACAGAATACCTGGGATTTGAGACCAAGTCTGCCTGACCCTAAGCCTGTTGACACAAAACCTTTACTTTTTCCACCATACCATGAACTCCGGTTGTTAGAAAGGCCTTAAAATCAACTTGGCAAGAACCCTCTGCCTTTGTACCAGATGACATCATCCATCACTAATTCTGGCCTGGGTCTCCACAGGTATAACTGTGTCTCTTGGATGCTGAAGGCTGGGAAGAGGGGCTTTGTCATCCGCCCAGGGTGGTCCTCCCTCTAGGGCTTGGAAGCTCAAGTGAGCAACCCCCCTGGTGGGCAGGTGAACCTCATGGTTCAGGCGGTGGCCAAGCAGTTCAGCAGCGTGGCTTCCTCTGAGCCATTTCCCCCAACAGGGCACCTTCAGAGGACAAATCTGCATGTGCCAGGGGTACTGCCTGAAATCACCCCCTAGGGAGGGAAAGTGGAAATGGTCCCTGAACCCCTGACTCCAGCTCTGGGGAATCTAGCCCGCCCCGGGAGGTCACCTGGGTTGGGAGCAAAGGTGAGGCAGCCTCAGCGAACCAGAAGGCACCAGGCTGGGAGGCTCTGGGGGAGCAGCGAGCTGGAGCCTGGCGCTCCTCCTGTCCCTCTGTAGTAATTAACAGGCCTTTGTTCCTGTCCCTGATCTCGTCTGGCAGAGCCTTAATCATCCTCTTGCCTGCAATGAGCAGCCTTCTCATTAGGGCCTTAAGAACCTCTATTATAAACATGTAAATGGAACTCAACGAGGAGGGAAATATTTGACTGCTCCAATTTCCTTTGTGCCGCTGCCAGCTCTGGGCTGCGCACGCCCGTGATTTCATTGCTCAGCAGCCAGGTGCCAGCCGCTGCCCCCACCGCCCCGTCACACAGCTCCATCTTCTCCGATTGGAATTTAATTACCTTCACCAGCGAATGTTTGGAGAACCTCTCTCCATCAATTGATTCTGAAGTCAGATTTTTATTCCGAGATACTTAATGGCACTTGGGCTGATGGAAGCCTGGGAGCAGGTGGACCTGGGCCACAAGGAGCCCTTTAACAACAGGGTGAGGAAGGGTCATTGCGGATATTCCCCTGCCTCTGAGCAGGTCAATATTTCAGGCACCCCAGACAGTTGGAAGTATCGCATTCCTGAGCCTCCTGCTGGTCTGGACTGGAAGTTCTTTCTGATGTCTGCTTGATGCTGGGTGAGCCTTTTTTTTTTTTTTTCAAAATTGTAGTTTAGCCCTTGATGAAAAGGAGGAGCCCCTTCACTGCCTGAGAAAGAAGCTGATGATAGGATCAGCCTCTCCTAGGGGTGTGATAGCTCTTGCCTGTCACGGATGAGATGGACGTGTGCTCCCTGCAGGCCCGTGCAGCTGGGGCCTGTGGCGCCCCCAGGATGGTGAGCCCTTCTTGTGCAGAAGTCTCCCTGTGCCGAGTCCTCCTTCGGCACACAGTAGATACCTAGACATTCACTGCCCCCGTGCCTTTCTTTTCCTTTTCCAAATTGGAATCTCTACTCTGCTCATTCTTCAATGCCCAGATCACTTCCCTCCTCCACGAGGCTGCTCTCTACCATCAGGCCATAGTGATCTCTCCCACCACTAGCTTCAGAGCATGCTGTCTGCCCACTGTTTGTCCATTTAATGGATGTCACCTGCGTGAAACAGGGCCTTATTGGCCCACAGTAAATCATAGGCATAGGTTGCATATGTTGCCCAATTTGAATAAATGAGTGTCACTCCTTCAGGGTGCAGACTTCCCTTTCACTGCTGTATTCCTCACTGCCCTCAGCACAGTGCCTGGAACATTCAAGAAAACTGGGTTGCTGGGGTAGCAGGTAGGTAGGTAGATGGGTATTCTGGTCAGAGGACTGCAGTTGGTGGGGTGATGAAATGGTGGAAGGGTAGGCTTGTTAGCTGATTGGTTGGTTGGTGGATGAGTGGCATATTGGTTAGTGGGTTGCAGAGTTGGTGGGGAAGCAAGAGAACAGGTGTGCCAGTTATTACTGAATTGCGTCTCAGCTTCACATGTACTCTCCGGGGTCTGGTCTGTGATCGTGGAGCTAGACCCTGTCGATATTTCTCTTTAACCAGCTGGCTCCATGTTCGGCTTTCCCAGGAGACGGTGCTGGAGGAGCAGCACAGGACGAGGAAGGGCTTCTCTTGCAGGCTCCTCAGTGAGGTGTCCCGCAGCATCCAGCCTCCTGCAGCAGCCCAGAGAGTGGCCTGCCAGAGAGTTCCACCCACACCGGCACTTCAGCAAACTTTCCTGCAGCCAGGGCGCCTCGGCTGTACCATCTCTAACAAGGTTTGGGTCTCAGCCCTGGGTGTTGGGGTTGCGGGAAGACGCTTCCAGGTTTCTTCCTGCCTTCGATGCTCGGCCTCAGCCCTAGAGGTAGAAGTGTTCCTTAGGTAGGCGATCTCCTGTCATGGTTAGTGGGTGATCCCCTGTCATGGTTAGTGGGTGATCTCCTGTCATGGTTAGTGGGCGATCTCCTGTCACGGTTACTGGGTGATCTCCTGTCATAGCTACTAGGCGATCTCCTGTTATAGTTACTAGGCAATCTCCTGTTATGGTTAGTGGGCGATCTCCTGTCATGGTTAGTGGGTGATCTCCTGTCATGGTTACTGGGTGATCTCCTGTCATAGCTACTAGGTGATCTCCTGTTATGGTTACTAGGCAATCTCCTATTATGGTTACTAGGAGATCTCCTGTCACAGTTAGTGGGCGATCTCCTGTCATGGTTAGTGGGCGATCTCCTGTCACGGTTAGTGGGCGATCTCCTGTCACGGTTAGTGGGTGATCTCCTGTCACGGTTAGTGGGCGATCTCCTGTCACGGTTATTGGGCAATCTCCTGTCACGGTTAGTGGGCGATCTCCTGTCATGGTTATTGGATGATCTCCTGTCATGCTTAGTGGGTGATTTCCTGTTATAGTTAATAATTCTTTATATTAAAGCTTTCTGTTCACAGCACTGTGTAGCTTCTATCTCCTGATTGGACAGTGTGGTAATGAGTTGGTTGGTGAGTTGGCTGATAGGCTGGTTAGTGGGGTGGTTAGATGGTGGAAGAATAGGCCGGTTGGTAGATTATCTGGTTGGTGAATTGGTATGTTGCTTAGAAGGTTGCTGAGTTGGTGGCATGGCAGGGTGTAGGGTAACAGGTAGAGTGGTGGCTGATGGATTGGTGAGTGGGGTGTGGCTTGGCTTGTTGGTTGGTGTACTTGGCTGGTTGATGGGTTAGTTGAAGGATGGGGTGATGAGCTGATGCTTCAGGACATGGAGTTAGCATCATGTCAGAGGGAAGGACGAGTCCCAGGGAGGCCCCTAAAGTGCTGGTGGGTCTCAGTCTCCATTTCTGCCCTCTCATAGGGCCAATGCTGCTCCCCAAGCTGGGACCCTCAGAGCCACACCATGGCGGCTTGGAAGGTGGCAGGGCTGCAGAAGAGGCTGTGGAGGAACTTGGAGCGTGACTCCAAAGGACGACAAGCAGAGGAACCCTGGGCATGTCAAGCCTCCCCTGTGCCCCTTTACCACCCCGTACCAGGGCCCTGCTTCTCCTGCAGGCTCTGAATAAGCCTCCAAGTTGCCGCCAGATTGCCCAGCACCCAGATGACTTTCCAGCAAAGAAACTTAAGGATGCATAGTCCTTCAGGATGGATTTCTGCCTTTGCCCCATGAAATCTCCCGAGATACAGACCCCAGAGCATGGACCTCTCTTAGGTACTGGGCCACCCTCCTACCCCAGCCGGGCTTAGAATTCTTCCCAGTGTATCCCCCCCACCCTGGTCCATCAGGACCCCCAGATCCTCTTCCTCTCTCAAGTCAGTCTCTGCCACCTCACTCTTCAGCTGTCCTCTGTGCTGTGACAGTCCTTCTTACCACATCTCCCCTGGCTGGCCTGTCCTTGAGGCTTGGGCTGAAACCATCAGCAAGACCTTTGTCTCCTTTCCTACTGGCCTTCCCTGCTCCCCACCCGTAGGTCCCCACTCCATGCCTTATGGGTGGTCTGGCCCACACTCCAGCCAGAGCCACCAGGACATTTCCAAATTACATCCTTCAAGAATCAGGAAGAGATTTCAGAAGGAAATTGCTTTCTCCCCTGCTCAGTCCAAATGAGACTATTTTTTACTTGTCTTGCCCCTCCCCCACCTCTCTCTCTTGCAATTTCAGTAAAAAATGAGAACAGTAGAAAGCGGACCCCCTCGTTGGTCAGCCTTTCTCCCTCCTGAGGTCTGCAGAGGCCTGAAGGCATCAGCTGGGCTAGGGCAGCACCGGCTCCATTCCTGCGGACAGGCTGTACTCCAGGGCTCCATAAGCCCAGAGGCCAGGTCCGGGGAGCTGCAGGAGAGGGCAGACTTGGGGGACAGGGGGAGCCTGTGGCTAGAGAGAGTCAGGCAAACCTGTGAAGTAGGAGCCTCACTTTGTCTCCTGATGCCCCTCTCCCTCCAGGAATGTCCTCCATTGCCTCCAGGTCCCTACAGGTCTCAGGTCAGAGGCAAGACATCCAGGACATCTAATGCTCCATCTATGCCACCTGTGCCAGGCCTCTGAAGGTCACCCCTTCAAGAAAGCACCAGCCTGAGTCAGGGGGCCCGAGCTCCAGCCCTGCTCAGAATGCCACTGCTCTCTCTGCTTCAGTCGTCTCACCCAGAAGTGAGGCCACCTCCAGAGTTGGGGCCAGGATCAGATGGGATGATGCAGGTGCAGGCGCCTTGTAAAGAGTGCAGGCTGCTGTTTGCTGACCACTCATGCCGTGCCATGCCCTGTGCTGAGTGCTTAAGTGTGTAATCTCATTTTGTCTTCACAAGAATCTTCCAGGAGAGTCTATTGTCATTTCATCTAAAGAGAAGGGATCAAAGCTCAGGGAGGCCATGGAACTGCCTAAAGGCACACAGCGGCCGAGACCTCAAATCCCTGTTCTTAACCCTGTTCACACTGTGTTGTCAGGTGCTAGTCTGAGTTTTGTTAAAGGTACCTTTGAAGAACTATTGATATGGTTAGGCTTTGTGTCCCCACCCAAATCTCATCTTGAATTGTAATCCCCGTAATCCCCACATGTCAAGGAGAAAACAGGTGGAGGTAACTGAATAGTGGGATCAGTTTCCCCCATGCTGGTATCATGATAATGAGTTCTTATGAGATCTGATGGTTTTATAAGGGGCTCTTCCCCTTGGCTGAGCTTCTTCTTCCTGCCACCTTGTGAAGAAGGTGCTTGCTTCCCCTTCACCTTCCACCACGATTGTAAGTTTCCTGAGGCCTCCCCAGCCATGCGGAACTGTGAGGCAGTTAAGCCTCTTTCCTTTATAAATTACCCAGTCTTGGACAGTTCTTTATAGCAGTATGAAAATGGACTAATACAATTATCACCCCAAGAGATAAGTGCAGGAGGAATTTCAGGCTGTGCATGTGTGGAGGAGACACGGGGTTGAGGAGAGCTTCTAGAATTCCTCAAATGACAATAATAGTGGCCAACTTGTGCAGGCTGTGTGCTAACCTGCACACAGTTAGCCTGCACAGGTTAGCCACTATTATTGTCATTTGCTAGCCACTCTGATGCTGTGGCTGACTATGTGCAGGACTCTGCTAAATTCTTTCTCTTGTTAACTCATTTAATACTTACCATCCTCTAAGACAGGTACTGTTATCATCTCCAGTGTGCAGATGGAAAAGCTGAGGCACAGAGAGGTGGCTTAAGGCATTCAAAGGCATGTGACTAGTTAGCCTCTGCCCCTTACAGCCTCAGCCACGACACCGAGGGAGCTACTTCTCCTCCCACTGACTCCTCTTCCTGAACCAGAATGTACCTTGTGGGAGTTGTGGGACAAGGAATAAATGGGGGGCTAATTGTCAGAATAAGAACCCCAGACCCAGGACCCACAGTGAGGATGGGGATGTCTCTGCCCTGACTTTCAGGTCAAAATCACCTTCTCTGTCTATCACACCCCTCTCCCCCGACACCCAACATAACACCTATAGTCCATGCTGTTCAAGGCTGTGGTGCTGAAGGAGGGGGTGTGGACTGGGTACCCTGGGACACAGGGCTGCTTGGCTGTTAGTCTCCTGGTTCCTCCCACCCCACCCCGGAGCCTCCCAATCTCCCTCTTGAGTGTGTCCCATCTCTGGCTCTCTGTGCCAGTTGCCCTTGTTTCCCTTACCCCCATCCATCCCTTTTCCTGGCACCAAGCTTCAGATTGCAGGGTCACCTCAGCCACTGGACAGTCACAGGGAGCCAAGGACAAAAGGACCAGTGACATCACTTGGGAATGAGACCAGGAAGTTCAAGCCTGGCTGACGGGGCCAGGGAGGGGAGAGCTAACCAGGAGATGACAGGTTCACCAACCTGTCAACAAGAGTGTATCTAGACCCAGCAATGCTAGGCTGTGGCTGAGCAAGTCACATGGACTGTTAACCAAGGGGTCTATCGGGGCAGCAGCAGCAAGGGACCTCCCCTGTAATGCAAGACTTCTGTCACCTCAAGCTTCTTCTCCAGGATATGTTCCATCTGTACTGGGGAGGGGGGAATTCTCCAGACAGAGCCAGCGCCTACCCCCCTCCCCTAACACACACGGTTGCACTGGGCATGCATCCTAATAAGCAGTCATTTAGGCATATTTTGCTGCCCTAAAGATTTTGAAAATCATGTAAAAGTATGCATATAATATGATAAGATGTAACACATAAATGGATGATGTTCAATCAAAGCCAAGACTGGTGGGGCCTCATCTTCACGCCAAAGTGAGAGGGAAAGCAAGGTCCAGGAAGGGAGGAAAGGAGGAGGCAGTGGCCAAAGACCCAGAGACAGAGTGAAGGGACAGAGCTAGCGACCGAGAGGTTCCAGAGAGAAACAAGGCGCCTCAACCCGGCAGCTCCCCAGGCCTGCACTGGGCCACCAAGGGCTCCACATGCTCGTCATGAATTTCCCTTTTCTGTCAAAAACAACCAAGACACAGGGAGAAGAAGCATAGAATAATGAGGTGAGATCAGAGGGGATGTTTTTGTACTCAGAACATTTCAGAAAATTGGCTCTGAACATGGGGGCAGTGACCACAGAAAGGAAAGCAGTGACAAGGTCCTCAGAATCCAAGAGACAAACGCTCCCTGGGAGAAAGGAGTGGTGTTTACTTGCGTGTTCATTACCCTCTACCAGCAGCGAGGACAGTGCCCAGCACACAGTAGGTGCACAGTAACTATATCGAATCATTGATGAATGAACACCAGCTTTTCAACACAGCTAAGGTTTTATTAGCCCTTAAGCCTGAGGAAAAAAATACATCCCCCATGGGTAGTTCCAAACAGGCCACTGATGAATGGGATGGGCAATTCATCCATTCATTTATTCATTCACCCATTCATTTACCCTCCAATATGTGTTGAGCCCTTCCCAGTGCGCACTGCTCTAGGATGAATCAGTGGACAAAACATAAAAATTCCTGCCCTCAGGGAGCTTTTGTTGTGTTGGCAGAAGACAGTGCAATAACACAGACGAGCAATGGGCTGGGGTGTGAGAAGGTCATGCATGCCATGGAGGGAAATAAAAGGGACAGGGTCAGGCAGCAGACTTGCAGGAGGTGAGGGAGGGAGCCAGGCAGCCATGTGAGGAAAGAAAAATGCAGAGGCCCCTGGGGGAGCCTGCGGGTAGTGCAGGTGTGTGAGTGTGTGGGTGTGCGGGTGTGCAGGCATGTGCGGTAGGGATGGCTGGCACGCCTGAGCGAGGTGCAGGCAGTGGGGAGGGCTGCAGGGCAGCAGTCTGGGCTCCGGGCAGTTGAGAGCCTGGCTTTCCTGGGAGCAGAGGCAAGACGGAGCCTCTGTGCTAAGCAGGGACTGCAGGGGCCATGGAGGGACCCGAGGCAGGGCGGGTTTGGTTGGGCTCTGGATGTATTTGGAGGGTTGGCGGCAGGACTTCCTGGCTGATGGGGAATAGGGTGTGAGGAAAGGCGGGGAGTGCAGTGCTTCACGGTGCCCTCACGAAGCTTCCACACTAAGCGCAAAGGGGAGTTTGCTGCAGCTGCCTCCCCACACCCCTTACCCCTGTCCCCACTCCTGCCCAGCACAGCCCAGGCCAGAGCAGTTCCCCAGTTTTCATCTCAGCCCAGCTGGCACCCTCTGACCACAGACCCCCCGCGGAGATGTGAGCACTGCCAGCCTGGGAAGGGAGGCCCAACCTGTCCCCAGCGCCCAGGTGTCACTGCCTCATTAGCTCTGTGCTGGGCTCCTCCAGCACAGGACAGCAATGTGTGTCTGTGACCCCAGTGCCACCACACAACACACACACATGCTCACACATGCACACACACTCATACACACGCACTCTCACACACAGCCGCTCACACGCCCTCATACACTCGAAATGCTCACACACATACAATTTTGCATCCTCACATTCACACTCATACATTTATACGTGCTTTCATACTCACATACACACAGTCACACCCACACACAAGGGTGTGTATTTGCACCCCCATAACGCCCATATTGCCACGCACACTTACTCCTTGGGGCTCCCTGGGTGAGTAACCCCATTAATTCTCTTCCTTCCATGTTAAAAAGAGGAGGCTGGGCCTGCCTAGAATCACGTGGCTTATGACCGTTTATGGCTCATAGACCCTGCTGAGAACTTGGTGAAAGCCAAGGATCCTCACCCCCATTCTCTCTCACACTCACACTCACACACACTCACTCTTGCACACATGCACACACATCACATTTGGTTTTGTGTTTCCAGGGCTCATGACCCTCCAGAAGGCCCTCCACAGACCTGGGTTACGAACACTGGCCAAGACACTGTGGTGGAAAGGGGAAGGACTCTGTGCAGGACCTGTGCCTGGCACTTCGCAGCCCTCAGCTCTGATCCTGACAACCCAGCAACACCAAGGCAGGACTGGGCCAGCCAGCCCCAGCCTCCCCCAGACTAGGACCCCCCACACCCCTCAGATTCCTGGGACCCCCTCCTCCATGCCCAGCCACTCTGCCTTGCTTCCTCAGCTTGCTGACTCAGAAAGGCTTCTGGTGCATGGAAGGCAGTCGAGAGGCCTAAGAGGCCCTCCTGGCATCCAGGCTGAGCCAGGCGCGGCCAGTGTGCCCCAGGACCTAGCACCTTGTGGGTCCTAGAGCCGCAGGAGGCGGGAGGGAGGGAGCAGGAAGCTGGCATGCGAAGCAAGGATGAAATATTGATGCCTGAGTCCTGGTAAAGCAGAAAGCGCTGCTTGTCCATGAATAAAAAAGCGGGTCGGAGGAGCAGGCTGGGCAGCAGATTAATTAATCTAAGTGAGCGCTCGCTGTGCTTTGTGCCATGAGGGAGGGTGCCATGAGGGAGGGTGCGTGTCCCAGCCACAGACCCAGCAGTAGTCCTCTGTACCAGGCAGGCAGCTGGGCCACACCAGAAACATGGGCAGAGCTGAGCACCAAGTCCAGACAGGCGGGAGGGGCAGAGGCAGCAGACCCTCCAGGACCAGCCTGGGCCTCTCTGCCCAGTGCCCTGCCGGGCCACCCAAGATGACAGCTTCCCCGGCAGAAGGAGACCCAGAGACAGCTGCTTGGAGGGGCGAGCATTGGCAGGACAGGATCTCTGGTGATGAGAAGCATCCCGGGCTCCTGGGTCCTTCCCAGCTGTCTCAATCTCCCCCTCGGGGAAACTGACAGGACCAAGGTAAAAGAGGGGGGAAGGTGGGGAGAAGGGTGGAGGCAGCAGGTCTAAGATTTGGCACAGGAAGTTGGCTGCAGGCTGGGCACTGCACTGATGTTGGCAGGGATGGTAGCCACAGGTCTGTGAAGGCGAAGGGTTGGAGGGTGTTGGAGCCATTCCACCCTCCCCAAGACTCATCCCATGCTAACCCAAGATCCTGACAGCTTCCTGCCTGGGCATAACCTGGAAAATGCATTGGAGGAAAGTGGGCCACAGGTTGATTGGACATGGTGCTGGAGGTCTCACCAGGAAACTGTGCCCACGACCTCTGCATTTTTTCTCATCCCCTAGATGTAGCGGCTTTCACAGGCTCTTGGCAGTTTTGTTTCCCAGAAGTTACACTAGGACTTTGCGGGCAGGGTGGTGACGTCCGTCATCATGCTCCCCATCTTCAGAGTCCAGCAGAAGTGTCCTAACTGACCCCTGTTCCCAGGGGAGGACCTCCCATCCCAGTGGTACGAGCTCCCCCATCCCCACCCCAACCAATGCTCAGTGGGTCCAGGTGCCCTTGGCTCAGGGCACCTTCCCGCTCTGCGATGTCCATGCACAGCACCATCCCTGGAACCTTCTCTGGTCAAGGGCCAGGTCAGATTCCAGGGGGCCTCGGCTGGTGCCAGCCCCAGTCCCAGTCCCAGGCAGGCGGCAGACACCCTCCAGCCCACCCTTCCTTTCAAAAGCCTGAACCCTGGATCACAGTCAGGAGCAGCCTCTGGAAACCAGCCCAAGACCAGGCCATGGGGAGAGGACATCAGTGGGGGAAAGAGGCGCAGCGGGCCTCATTGCAGGCTGGTTACCTCCACAGCCACGGCCATGACCTCTGCCTGCCTCCTGGCCCCAAGCCTGGCAGTGACCTCCCTGGACCACACAGCCCACTGCTTCTCTGGCGGGGCTGGAAGCACTTCCTATCTGTCCTGCTCGCTGGGCATTTATCACCGGCAGCCTGCCCACACCTCTTGTGCTTTGTCTCATCTTTGTTATTTAACTTTGTTTCACGTAGGATTATTCCTGTCTCTCCCATTAGTTCTCAGCTTCTGGAATGCAGGGGCAAAGTCTTTTTCATCCCTATGGTTCCCCCAATCCCCTACACAGCACCAGGCCCTTGAGAGCCACGTTGCACAGGTGTCGGAGTGAATGCATGAACATGCGGGGCCTGGGGCAGCCCCTTGGGTCGGACCCCAACGCCCAGCCAGCCCTGGCACTGCCCACTGCCTCAATGGGAGCTGGCACTGGCCAAGGGCACCTGCTCCGCACCTGCCCAGAACCAAATGGGATTTTACAAGTATCTAACCTTCCCCACTACCATCAAGGCAGGCGTGTCTCTCCCATCGAACAGATGACAACACTGAGGCTCAGCACTTGCCCAAGGTCACCCAGCCGACAAGTAGCAGGGCCAGGAACGGCAGCATCCTCGCTGGCACCTCCAAAAGCCAGCTGTGAGGAGCCCTGAGCCGAGGGCCTCTCCTGGCTGCTGAGGAGGCTCAGAGCTGGATGCAGGCCAGGGCAGGACAGGTCCCATGGCTGAGAGCAAGAGCAGGCGGGCACGGAAACCTCACCCCTGTCCCAGGGCCCAGGAAAGACTCGGGCGTCCAACCAAATCCACTCGGCTTCCAGAGGCTGCCCCGGACAGACGTCACCGGGCCTGGGATCAGGGTGGTGTTGGTGACCCTCACCAGCCCAGAAATAAGCACAGGTTCCCCGGAGTCCTGCCAGAGATGAGAAAGGCAGCAGGTTGACCTGGGGGCGCACACGGCCGTACCTCCGCGCCCCCCACCCGCAGCGCGTTGCCTCCGAAGCGGGAAGTCCCAGGTGCATTCATTCCTGAGAAGAGGCCGGGCAGCCGGAGCCCGCCATTTCTGCAGTCACAGCGCCACCTCCTGGCCGACCGCGGCGTGGCCGTAGGGGCCGCTCCACCATCGGAGAACTTCCAGACCGCAGGCCTTGAATCAGGCATCCAGCAAATATTGACTCAGCACCTCCCTTGGGACAGGAGTGATGTTAGAGGTTGGGTATACAGTAGTGAAGAAACAGACTAAAAGCCCTGCCCTTGCAGAGATTACATCCTAATGGGGGAAAGAGGTAATGCATAAGTAAGGTCAACACGTAAAACAGACGGTGTATTAGAGGGATGAGCACCCAGGAGAAAAATAAAGCCGGAAGCGGTGAGTAGTGTCAGGGAGGCTGTGGTTTTACACAAAGTGGCCAGACACGGTCTCACCCAGGCAGTGACATTTGCGTAAAGCCTGGGAGGAGACGAGGAGAGAGTTGAGCAGACTTCTGAGCTAGGGCATCCCAGAGAGCAGGCACAGCAAGCGCGAAGGCCCGAGGCCTGCCTGGAGGGTCTGAAGAACAGAAAAAGGCCCTGAGGATTATGTGGAGGCTGGAGAGGGCAGGGGTGGGGGCAGACCCTGAAGGACCCTGTGGGCCATGGCGAGGGCTTTGCCTCCATGACATGGGGCTTCATGGCCGGGCTCTGAGCAGGGGGATGGCGTAACTAGCTTGTGTTTTAAGAGGATCTCTCTGGGCACTGTGTTGAGAACAGACCGTGGGGTCAAGGGTGGAAACAGACATCAGTTAGGAGTCCACTGCAACCTCCAAGCACCTTGGCCCTGGGGTAGCAAAGACAGTGGGGAGGTGAAAATGGCAGGATTCTCCCAGGTGTAAGAGAGAAAGGAGTCAAGGACGATGCCAAGGCCTTGGCCTTAGGTAGAGAAAGAAGCTGTCCCAGTACTGTCTTTTGCTGAGGCTCAATGGGAGAAGTCAGGAGTTCCGTTTGGGAATTGACGGTCAGAGTTGTCAGGTGAAATGTCACGGGGGCTGTTGATAAATGAGTGTGGAGCTCAGAGGAGAGGCCCTGCCTAGAGCTACAATCCGCAAGTCATCAGCACTTGGGTGACATTCAGAGTGAGACCGGATGAGATATCAGACACTCTGAAAGCAGAGCGAAGGGACCAAGGAGAGAGCCCCAGGGCCCTCTGACATTTCCAGATCAGGAAGATGTTGAGGAATTGGGGAGAATGAGAAGGAGGAGCCAGCGAAAGAGAGGACACCAGGAAGGGGGGCTCCCAGGAACCCAAGTCAGAAAAGAGGAGGAAGCGACCAACCACGTAAAAAGCCACTGATCCTTAAGTCAGGGCTGAGAAAGGTCCCCTGGGGTTAGCAATGTAGAGGTCACTGGTGACCTTGATTGTGGTCAGAGTGGGGACAAAAGTCTGACAAGAGTATGTTCAAAGGAGAATGAAAAGAGAGAAATCAGAGACAAGTTGAGACAATTCTTTTGTGGGATTTTGCTGTAAAAGAGAGAAGAGAGATGGGGAGCTAGCTGGAGGGGCCGTGAGTCAAGAGAGTTTTTTCAAGGCGGGAAAAAATACGAGCTTGCCTCCATGCTGACGGGTGATTGGGGTACAAAGGGAAAAACGTATTGAAGGAGAGGTCAGGGAGAAATATGAGAGTGCTGTCCTCAAGCAGATGAGAAGATCTGACTGTGCTTCCAGAGGAGATGCACTTCACAGCCGCCAGAGGGCTAGAATGGAACACCAGGCAATCACAAGAATGGGGAGAAACTGGAACCCCCAGGCCCTGCTGGTGGGAATGTAAAATGATACAGCCACTTTGGATAACAGTTTGGCAGTTCTTCTAAAAGTTAAACCTGCAGTTACCATATGACCCAGCAATTCTACTCCTAAGTATGTACCTAAGAGAACCAGAAACATACAACCACACAAAAACATGCACACAAATATTCATAACAACATTGTCTGTAAGAGCCAAAAAGTAGAAACGACACCAATGTCTATCAACTGACCAATGGAATATTATTCAGCCATAAAAAAGAACAAAGTTCTGATACAGGCTACAACATGGATGAGCCGTGAGTACAAAATGCCAAGTGAAAGAAGCCAGTAGCGAAAGACCACATGGTGTGTGACTCCATTTATATGAAATGTCTAGAACAGGTGAGTCTGGAGAGACTAGATTTCTTCAGAGACAGCATAGATCGGTGGTCTCCAGGGACCAGGGAGGGGGAATGAGGACTGACTGCTAATAGGAACGGGGTTTCCCGTGGGGATGAAAATGTTCTGGAATTAGGTGGCGGTAAATGTTACACAACTCTGTGAACACGCTAAAAAGCACTAAATTGTACACTTTAAAGGGGTTAATTTCATGGAGTATGAGTTATATCTCAATAATAGTATTTTTTTGAAGATCTGGTCATACAGAGTGGAGGGGTTGCCTCAGCCCAGGAAGGAAGCAGAAGACCCAGGCAGATGCAAGCAGGTGTGTGGTGTGGGGGTGGGGACCATGGACATTCTCTCCCAGTGGCTTCTATTTTCTCAGTGAGACAGGAAGTGACATCATCAGCTGAGAGTAGAAATGGAGGCTCCAGGGAAGAGCACAGGGACAGAACAGATATGTCACCGCAAGAGGAAATGAATGGGCTATGGAGATTCAGGAGGATTCCCAGGCAGCATCAGGCCCACGGGAAGGAAGCAAAGGTGCTGGGAGGCAGGGGGCAGTGGTCCCATGTCAAGTGGGCCCAACAGCCTGAGAGTGTGGAGACCTGGGTCACCAGCATTGTGCTCCCCACATAACACGGTTCGCCCACTCTCTGGACATACAGGGGTTCCCATGGGAGTTTGATACAAACCCTAAAAATATGCCTACCTACTACCCATCACCTTTTAAAATGCACATTCCCTGTCACTCTGCAATTCCTCTTGGGGAATTCAGTCTCAGAAACACTTGCATGCAGACACAGCTGCATATGCAGGGATGCTCACAGCAGAATTGTTAGCAATCTCAAAAGATGGGAAACCACCTAAGTGTCCATTACTGGGTAAGTGGTTTTTAAAAATTATAATACATCCACACGATAGAATACTCTGAAGCAGTAAAAGCCATGAAGTGGTCCAGACGTACTAACATGAAAGGATTTCCATGGCATATCATGGGTGGAAAATCAGGTTGCAGAATAATGTGTGTAATATTATATAATTTTCTTTCCTTTCTTTTTATACAAAATGGTATGTATGCATGTGTGTGTTTAGATTATTAAAATATACATAAGGCCTGGAAAGGATGCACTCTAAATTATTAATGGTGTTTAATCTCAAGAACTAGGTTTTGCAGGAAGGGTTGAGGGGGTTGATGAGGCAGAAGGGATTTCAGAGGGAGGCTTTCATTTTGTGCTTTTTATGTTTTTTGAACTATGCTTTTTGAACATGTAACATGGAGCATATATGCTTTGGAAATTTAAACAGGAAAGAAGGCTGAGCTCAGTGGCACATGCCTGTAATCCCAGCACTTTGGGAGGCTGAGGCAGGAGGATCGCTTGAACCCAAGAGTTTGAGGCTGCTGTGAGCTGTGATCACACCACTGCATTCCAACCTGGGCAACAGAAGGAGACCCTTTCTAAAAAATAAAATAAAATAAAATAAAATAAAATAAAAAGGAAAGAGCTCATTGTGCCCTCTTGCGCTTCTTTCCCTCTCTGGACTAGAGGACCCTGGAAGGCCAGCATCCTCCCTAGCCCAGACAATGCTGTGCATTGGTCCCTGGAGATCATGGCGGGTCCTGACACCTGGGCTTTCCCTTTGCCCACCTCTCTTCACCCCCAGACAAGGGATGAGGTTCAGAAAAGCAGGAACACTTGCAGCACCCAAACCTCCACTTTTTCTCCTCCCCTCACACCACCACTGCTCCCCTCCAGCTACCTCCCTGGGGAAGAAGGTGTCTGATCAATCCAGTAGAACCAAAGCGGAGAGAGGTAGCTCCGTAATGCTAATAGCATGGGTTTATATAATGCTTGCTGTGTACCAGGCACCATTCTGAACACTTCTCATGAATGAACTCACAACAGTTCTATGGGTTCCACACTATTACTTTACTATCCTGCATTGTAGATTTCAAAAACACAAACAAACAAATAGGAGTCACAAAAGGCCAAGTAATTTGCCCGTGATGCTACTACCATCTATCTGTAAGTGGAACCTGCACAGTGAGGCTGCAGAATCGGCACACTGACCTCTGCAAGCCGTGCCCCTGCGAAGCCACAGTCCCGCCCTCTTCATTCCTTCCTCTGCTCTTCTGTGGCTCTGGGTCACCTGACGTCTGCTAGGGTCAGGTACTCTCCAGGGCAAGACTGTGGCATCCTCAACACAGACCCCCCGCGCTGACACACGCCTGGCAGCCAGTGAGTGCTCAGCAAGTGTCTGTTGAATTAACTGTGGCGTGCACCACCCTCTCTCCCGCCCAGGGATGAGCAGATCCTTTCCCCTTCAGAGCAGTCCAAACAAGGCAGCAAGTTTGCTCAGGAGCCTTCCGGAGTACTGAGTGGAGAGCAGCCCATGGGGATAGAACAGAGGCTGCCACTGAGCTCCTGCTCCTGCTGGATCAGACTCCTGCTCTGGGTCAGACCACTACCGCCCTGGCTGTCCAGGTCCAGCTGCTGGTAACGGTTTGTGTTGGGAAGGGTTCCTCCCAGGTTGGCCTCAACTCCTGTCTGCCCTTGACTGAGCTGGACTCAAGCCTTGCAGCTGCCCCATCCCTCTCCCAGAACCTGGCCCCACTCCTTGGGGTTCAAGCTGCAGAAGGGTGAGCCCAGACAGCCCATCCCTGAGGCCTGGATCTGGCTACCCTTCCTCCAGCTCATCCACTCCCAGCCACCTTGGCTACTTCCACCCTAGACACAGCTAGGTGCTCACCCTGAAACAGGAAGTCCCCACAGCTGACCCTTCAGTCCTTCGCTTTACCTGCAGAAACCCCCAAGCTCTTGTAGCTCTAAGTCCCCTGAGAGCTACTCACAAGTTCAAGTTTTCAGGCTGAGGGTCATCAAAGCCCCTCTGTTCATTTGCAGAACCTGGAGCAGAGCAACATCTCCACAGACCAGCTCACCTGGCCAGTTCAGAGGCAACTCTGCCCACTTCCTTGGTCCCCCTGTGACTTCCATGGCATAGAAATTTGGGAATTCAAGCTTCCATCTATCCATCCATCCATCCATATATCCATCCATCCATTCATCTACTCAGCCACATGTCCAGCCACCCACCCAACCATCCATCCACTCATCCATCCATCTATCCATTCATTTATCCAACCATCCACCCATCCACCCATCCATCCATCCGTATATCCACCCACTCATCCACCCACTCATCCACCTATATATCCATCCATCTATATATCCATCCATTATCCATCATTCATCCATCTATTCATCTACCTACCCATCTTTCCACCCACCCACTATCCATCATTCATCCATCTATTCGTCTACCTACCCATCTTTCCACCCACCCACCCACCATCCATCTATTCATCTATATATCCATCCATCCATCATCCATCTACTTATCTACCCACCCATCTATCCACCCATATACCCATCCCTCTCTCCCTCCCTCCCTTCACCCATCCATCCATATATCCATCTAGCCAACCAGCCAACAAATGTATATAACGTGACATGCTGGACCCTAGGGATCCTGAGATGGACACATTATGATCCTATCCTCCCTCTGAGGGTAGGAAAGTAAAAGAAGAAAGGGATGTTTTCCAAAGATTATTCTAAGAAGGTGCTGACTAATGGAACTTTCCGTGATGCGGCTAATGTTCTCTTCTGTGCTACTCAATATGGTCAACAGCCATTAGCCATGTGTGGACATTCAGCATCTGAAATGTGGCTAGTGTGACTGAGGAACTGAGTCTTTCATTTCATGTAATTTTAATTAATTGAAATGCAAACCATCACATGGCACCAGTGGCTTCAGGACGCCACAGACCTAAGAACTGTGGTAGCACAGAAGGGAGGGGAGGCTTCAGGGAGGAGACAACATTAGGCGGGGCCAGGCTCAGACTCAGCCAGCTTGCTCATTCTTCTTCCCTGACACCTGCTGGAGCATGTCCAGCCCCGGCCAGACCCTTAAGCATATTTTGGAAAGTCTGTTGTCACAGTGCTGAGCTCAGCTGGAGGCTCTTCTGACCTTGCACACCCTCTCTGAGGTCACTGCTGGGTGAGGCCTGAGCCCTTCTCACTCCAGGAGTTCCTGACTCATCCTGGAAAAAGCAGAAAAGCCTCTGTATTTCTCAAGAACCAGCTTCAATGTTAAGAAGAGGGCAGACATGACCCCAGGCATGACCCCAGCTCGGGGACACAGGGACAGGGTATAGGGGGCAGGGAGAAGTCCAAAACAAGTGAGAAGCAGAATAGAGAGCCAGGGCCCAGCAGAGGGTGAGGTGAAAACTGATGGAATGAGACATGGAGGAACGGACAGCCCAAGCCAGCAGGGCAGACAGAGTAAGAGAGATATGCCACAGAGCGACGGCTAACATGAGCCAGAACGGAAGGGACATGCTGAGGTAAAAACAGCTGGAGGCAGGCTGACAGGTGGCTACAGACAAGACTAAGACAGGCTGACCAAAAGGCAGTCTGTGACCCCAGGAGAGGTGGGGTGGGGGTCCCAGAGGGCAGCTCTGAGATCTCTGGCACATCCATTGACTGCACTTGCAGATCAGACCACTAGGAGGTAGCATTGCTCCAACCACTGCCACTAGCCCGGCATCCAGCTTCCAAAAGATGGTTACAGCCAGACTCCCTGTCATGGGCAGCGGACATGGCTTCACTGAGAGATGTAAGAGGCTGGGATAGGGGGACCCAGGGCATCTATGCCCTAGCCTGGAGAGTCCCTCTCTCATCACCCAGGATCTCCTCAAACCTGCCCCTTCCCTCCACATTCCCAGTCCCTGGCCTTGTCCCTTTCCTGACAGCTGCCTGGGCTCCCAGAGCACTGAAGGACGGAGGCTCAGGATGCCCATCAATTCCCTGTCTTTGCCTGAAAAAGGCAAGTGAGGATTCTAGGTCTGAGAATTGCCCTTAGCTCCTGCCATGGGGCCTGGTCCATGACGAGGGTCTCATGGGTTCTTGGGTGCAAGGCGTGCTTCACATAGATCCAGGGGTCTTGGCTGACCCCATGCTCAGCAGCAGCCAAGTGCAGCTTTGGGCTGCATTAACAGAACCAAATGTCTGGATACAGGACTGCATTCAGCAATGAAGCCCAGTCCTCAGGCTATAGCTCTGGAACAGACAATGTAGCACAGGAGGAAGAGCGATGCGGACCATGTCATAGTTACAAACCCAGTCGTGCACATCATAGGGTGGTGATCTCATCAGATTATAATACCGTATTTTTGCTCTACCTTTTCTGTGTTTAGATGCCCAAATATTTGCCATTGTGTTACAGTCACCTACACTGTTCAGTACAGTCACATGCTGTACAGGTGTGTATCCTAGAAACAACAGGCTCTATCATGTGGCCTAGGTGCGAAGCAGGCTGTACCACCTAGGCTTGTGTGAACACAGTCTACGATGTCCCCACAATGACGAAACAGTCTTATAATGCATTTCTCAGAATGTGTCCCTGACGTTCAGTGGCATGTGACTGTCCCATCAATGGAGCACCAACACTATATACATCAGCTTCTCTAATCCTTACAACGGCCTGCATAGTTATACCCACTTTACAGATGAGAAAACTCAGAGAGGCTCCTTCTCTAAAGGCTATCCTATAAATGTAGGTGTTTCTAGGGGTTCCATTTCAGGCCTCTTCTCTTTTTCCTCTGCATGTATTCCCTTAGCCACATCTGCTCCTATAACCTAGCCTTAATTCTCAAATTAAGTCCTTGCCCAGATCTTTCTTCTGGGTTCCAGACTAGTCCATCCACCTGCTGTCAGTGGCCCTCACCAGCCTCCACTGCACCCAATTCAATCAGCCTCCCCCTCCTGCTCACTCTGCCCTCACCCTGGATCTCGGATCCTAGCACCACTCAGCGCCATCTCACCTCCCTGAGCCATGCTGCCATCACCCTTCGCCTCCATGTGAAGTGTGGCTCAGGGAGATGAGATGAGGCTGAGAGTGGTGCTGCTCTGTTTTTACTGGTGCCCTCCACACTGCAGCCAGAGTAGTCTTTTTTTTGGCAGGGGTGGGGGGTCGGGTCTTGCCCAGGCTGGAGTGCAGGCTGAAGTACAGGCTCGTCACCCAGGCTGGAATGCAGTGGCGCCATCTCGGCTCACTGCAACCTCCTTCCACTTCCAAAGTTCAAGCAATCCTCCCACCTCAGCCTTCCGGGTAGTTGAGACCACAGGCGTGTGCCACAACACTTGGCTAATTTTTAATTTTTTTGTAGAGGCAGGGTCTCATTATATTGCTCAGTCTGGTCTTGAACTCCTGGGCTCAAGCAATCCTCCCACCTCGGCCTCCCAAAGTGCTGGGATTACAGACACGAGCCACCGGAGGCAACTTGGTCAAACCTCCAGAGGCCACTTTCCACCCCCGCCAACCACATCTTCCTGGAGGCAGAGACAACGCTTGTTCCCTGCCTTCCCTCCCGACACCACCAGCACGCACTTGTGCACGCGCACACGCACACACGCACACGTGGGCAGCTCGAACTGCGCTCCCTCAGATTCCTCCTCCCCTGAGCACACTGTACCTGCCCTGCCCCAGGACAGGGTGCCCCCTCCTCCCACCTGCACCCCACCTGTCTCTCCCCCAGCTTCTCTTGTTCCAGCACCTCAGTCCTGGCATCTGCCAGGCTAAGAAGCCATCCTTGGCCTGGGAGCGCTGTCTTTGACTCGTTTTGTGGCCCTGCACTCCTGCTCTTGGCCTCATCTGCCCATCAGTAAACAGAAGTGGATGGATCATGAGATGACCTCCAAGGTTTCTTCCAGCTCACAGCACCACTGACTGGGAGGCCTCAGCAAAAATGTCCTCACAGTTCTGGAGGCTGGAAGTTAAGTCTGACATCAAGGCATCCTCGCGACTGGTTTCTTCTGAGGCCTCTCTCCTTGCCTTGCAGAAGCGCCTTCCCCTGCGCCTTCACCCAGACTTTCCTCTGTGCAAATCTATGCCCTCGTTTCCTCTTCTCATAAGAACACTGGTCATATTGGATTAAGGCCCACCCATATGACCTCATGGTAACCTAATTACCTCGGTAAAGGCCCTGTCTGCAAATACAGGCGATTATGAAACAACATGTGTTTGAACTTTGTGAGTCCACTTACATGCGGATTTTCTTCTGCCTCTGAGACAGCAAGACCCACCCCCACCACCCCCTCCACAGCCTACTCAGCATGAAGACAGGGAGGATGGAGACCTTGATGAGGATCTACTTCCACTTAATGACTAATACATAGATTTTCTCTTCCTTTTGTTTCTTTTAATAACATTTTCTTTAGCTTACTTTGTTGTAGGAATACAGTACATAATACATATACCATACATAATATGTGTTCAACTGTTTGTCATTGGTAAGGCTTCCAGGCGACAGTAGGCTATTTGTAGTTAAGTTTGGGGGGAGTCAAAAGTCATATGTGAGTCTTGGCTACGAGGGGGTCGGTGCCCTTGACCCCTTGTTGTTCAAGGGTTAACTGTACAATCATATTCTGATGTCCTGGCTAGGGGTTGGGACTTCAATATGTGAATTTTGTGAGGACCCAATTCAGCCCAAGGCACTGGAGGGACAAAGTCCACACTAGAGCACCCTAAGTACTACTGAGTATTTCTAAAGTACCGCCGGGTATGGCTGGGTGCCCTGAGTCCTGCCGGGTACACCCGGGCACCTGAGACCTGCCGGGTACAGCCAAGAAACCTGAGACCAGCTTGGTACAGCCGAGAACCTTGAGACCTGCTTGGTACAGCCGAGAACCCCGAGACCTGCTGGGTACAGCCGAGAACCCTGAGACCTGCTGGGTACAGCCGAGAACCCTGAGACCTGCTGGGTGTGCTGGGCACCCTGAGTCCTGCTGAATACAACTGAGTACCCTGAGTCCTGCTGGGTATGGCTGAGTACTGCTCACTTTCAGAGTCTCTTCCTCCCCCGGCCCCCTGCTGCCTCTGATCTTTTTTCAGAGTGCCACTGTCCCTCTCACCTCCCTTAGTCCCTGGGAAATGGAAGACAGCCTGGGAGTGAGGGAGGAAAGGGGACATGGGAGCACAGCGGACGGGGAGGGAAGTGCAGGGAGAACAGCTAGACTTGTTGCTGGGGAGGACACTGTCTTGGGGCCATCTAGGGCTAGGGGTTCACCGGGCAGGAGCAAGGCAGAGGGGTAAGGGAGTCCAGGGTTCTAGCAAGAGATGGTGGAAATGTCATGATCAGTGCAGACTAGAAAGCAAAGGTGGGAGATGGAGTGAAAGCAGAGGCATTCGTGACATTAGAAGCCAGCAAGCTGGGTGGGACAACAGGGATTACAGAGAAGGGGAGAGCGGGGCTGGCTCACTAGAAGCCAGCAAGCTGGGTGGGACCACAGGGATCACAGAGAAGGGAAGAGCGAGGCTGGCTGAGCCTCTGCAGGGAAACGGGTGTTCCAGCATCTGGAGCCTCTGAACCTTCCCAGGCCTCTCAGAGGAGGAAGAGCCAGGGAGGGACAGGGAGAGCTATTGGGGGGGCCATCACAGCAGCCCCTCAGGTTTGGGGTCTAGGAGTCTGAGTTACCAAGTGGGGCTGGTCTGACTGTCTGCTGGGAACAGGCTGTCCCCGGCCCAGCTGTGGGCACAGGAGAGAGGCAGAGCCTGGTCAGGAGATCTCCCAGGGGAGGCTGGGACACCTGACGCTGCAGGCATCAGAGAGTCTGGAGGGAGAGGGGCCAGGCGGGGTGGGAGCCGGGGTCTCTGAGCTCTACAAATGGGCCGCCTCGCAGGCAGGCCAGCGGAGAGGACCCCAGAACACTCCATATCTAATTGGGTGGGTGCAGTATATGGATTTTCTGTAAGAAGTGCTCTCTGAAGCATTTCAAAGGCATGTGTGGCCTCAGAAAGCTTATGAGTCAGTGGCCAACTGACATTTGGTACACTGCATTTAAATGCAGGCAAAAGGCAGCCGTCTTAAGGCTTGCGGGAAGGGCGTGGGCCAGCTTTCCTGGAACATCTGCCAAGGCACAAAGGAAGATGCTGCCAGGAAGGAGTGCAGTGATGTTTCCCAGGCCAGCCCTGCCTCCTGGGCCCTGAGCACCTCCCCTTAGAGCTTCCATCAGTCTGGAAATACCTGTGAGCCCTACTGTGTGTTGACACCAGGCTGGGTGCTGGGGCTACCCGGGAAGAGCAGCCTTGCCCAGGAGATGCTCGTGGTCCTGGCTTCCTCATCTGGCACCCATCAGGCTAGACACAGATGGGGCTCCAGGCCTTTGCACATGCTGTTCCCATAGCCAGCATCCAGTCCTGGTCTAGATGACGCAAAGCCCTAGCTCATGTCTTCGGAGAGGAGATGCGGTGTCCAGAAACTGGTGGCCTCAGGACCATTTGAGATGTTCTCAATTCAGTGTAAGGACTATGATGCACAGTGTCGTTTGTACTGTCTTTACTTTTTGTGACAGAGAAATAATTCATTTTTATGAAGCTCACAGAAACACAATCTCTCATTTTATAATTGAATTATGTGGAACTCACTTTGCACAAGATGACAGGGCTGAATCTTCTTGTGTTTTTCTGTGCGCTTGGATCTCTCTGCCTCTCCCGTGTGTTGTGAGTTCCATGGGGAAGGAGTCCAGTCTGGGCTGTGCAGGGCTGCATCCCCACGAACCTGCACAGTGCTTCCCACCAGGTGGGAACTTGGCCTGAGAAAATAAATAAGACCCTCAAAAATCCAAGGACCAAGCCATGAATCTCCAAGCCTAACCAGGTGGACATATCTCCTCCTCAGCTCAAGGGGAGACCCAGGGGCCAGAAAACAGCCACTGTGATCATGGCCTTCTGAGAAGCCCAAAGGGACAGACTACGCCCTTGCTCTAAAACATGCATCTCTCCAGTCCTCCCTCAGCCCTGAGGGAACTGGCTTCACTCCTCAGCAGAGGAGGCTTTGCTCTCCACATGCCCAGGAGGGCCGGGGTGGGCTCAGCTTCTGAGGGCACAACCTCCTTACCATGATTTATGGAAAGAGCAACTCCCGGAAGGAAGCCTTAACCAAGGACCTGCCAGGAAACTTTTTAAAATATGTCATTGAAAGGCACAATGGACCCAGGCACAGTGGCTTACACCTATAATCCCAACACTTTGGGAGGCCAAGGTGGGAGGATCACTTGAGCCCAGAAGTATGAGACCAGCCTGGGCAACATGGCAAGACCTCATCTCCACACACACACACACACAAAAACTTAGTCAGGCATGGTGGCACACACCTGTGATCCCAGCTGCTTGGTGGGCTGAGATGGGAGGATCACTTGAGCCCAGGAGGTGGAGGCTGCAGTGAGCTGTGATCACACCACTACACTCCTGTCTGGGTGACAGAGTAAGACCACATCTCAGAAAAAAAGAAAAAGACAAGAAAAGACAATGAGGGGAGGCAGAGCAAGATGGCTGAATAGAAGCCTCCAGCGTTCGTCCCCCTGCAGGAACACCAAATTAAACAACTGTCCACACAGAAAAGCACCTTAATAAGAACAAAAATCCTAAGAACCTGGTACCAGCTAGGCCCAAGTAGGGTACAGCATCAAATGGGCTCCTGGGTCCCCAGTTCTAGACTGTGGCTCCTTGATGGCATTTCTGGACCTGCTCTGGGCCAGAGGGAAGCCTGCTGCCTGGAAGGGAGGGACTAGGAACAGGCAGCATTCACCACAAGCTGAATGAAGAAGCCTGGGCCTCGACTGAACATAGCCAGGCACTATTTACCACAGGCCTGGGGTGGCAGTGGTTACGGGGAGAGACCCCTGTACTTGAGGAAAGGGGAGGGAAGAGTGGGAAGGATTCTCTGTCTTGTGGCTTGGGTGCCAGCTCAGCCACAGTTGAATAGAGCATCAGGTAGATTCCTAAGGTTCCTGACTCCAGCCCTGGCTCCTGGATGGCATCTCTGGACCCCCCTGGGGCCAGGAGGACTCACTGCCCTGAAGGAAAGGACATAAGCCTGGCTCAATATGCCACCTGCTAACTGTAGGGATTCTTGGGCCTTCAGTGAACATAGGTGGTAGCCAGGCAGTGGTCAATGCATGCCTTGGGTGAGACTCAGTTGCTGTCCAGGCTTTGGGTCTGACCCAGTGCAGTCCCAGTGGTGGTGGCTAAAGGGGTACTTGTGTCACCCCTCTCTCAGCTCCAGGGAGCTCAGCACAGAGATAGAGACTCTGTTTGTTTGGGGGAAAGTAAGGGAAGAGAACAAGAGTCTCTGCCTGGTAATCCAGGGAATTCTTCTGGATCTTACCCAAGATCACTAAGGCAGTACTTCTACTAGTGCAAGAGCTACAGCATTATTGGGCTTGGGGTGCCCTTTAAAGCAGATATGGCAGCAGTGACCAAAGACTTAGATCACAACATACAATCCCTCTGAATATTTGGAAAGCCTGTCCAAGAAGGATGGGTACAAACAAGTACAGACTGTGAAGACTACAATAAATACCTAACTCTTTAATGCCCAGACACTGACAAACATCCACGAGCATCAACACCATCCAGGAAAACATGACCTCACCAAATGAACTAAGTAAGACACCAGGAACCAATCCTGGAGAAATAGAGATATGTGACCTTTCAGACAAAGAATTCAAAATTGCTGTTTCAAGGAAGCTCAATGAAATCCAAGATAACACAGAGAAGGAATTCAGAATACTATCAGATAAATTTAACAAAGAGGTTGAAATAACTTAAAAGAATCAAGAAGAAATTCTGGAGCTGAACAATGCAATTGACATATTGAAGAATGCATCAGAGTCTCTCAACAGCAGAACTGATCAAGTAGAAGAAAGAATTAGTGAGCTTCAAGACAGTCTATTTGAAAACACACATTGGAAACAAAAGAAAAAAGAATAAAAAAGAATGAAGCAAACACAAAAGATATAGAAAATAGCCTCAAAAAGACAAATCTAAGAGTTATTGGCCTCAAAGAAGAAGTAGAGAGAAAGACTGGGGTAGAAAATTTATTCAAAAGGATAATAACAGAGAACTTTCCAAACCTATAGAAAAATATCAATATTCAAGTACAAGAAGGTTATAGAACACTAAGCAGATTTAATTCAAATAAGACTACCTCAAGGTATTTAATAATCAAATTCCCAAAGGTCAAGAATAAAGAAAGAATCCTAAAGCAGCAAGAAAAAAGAAATAAATAACATACAATTGAGCTCCACATCTGGCAGAAGATTTCTCAGTGGAAACCTTACAGGCCAGGGGAGAGTGTCATGACATATTTAAAGTGCTGAAAGAAAAAACTGTTACCCTAGAATAGTATATCTGGTGAAAATATCCTTCAAACATGAAGGAGAAATAAAGACTTTCCCAGACAAAAAAAAGCTGAGGGATTTCATCAAGAGCGGACCTGTCCTACAAGAAACACTGAAGGTAGTTCTTCAACATGAAAAAAGAGAATGTTAATTAACAATAAATCATCCGAAGGAAAAAAACTGGTAATAGTAAGTACACAGAGAAACATAAAATATTATAACACTGTACTTGCGGTGTGTAAACTACTTATATCTTAAGTAGAAAGACTAAAAAATAAACCTATCAAGAATAATAACTACAACTTCTTAAGACATAGGCAGTACAATAACATAAATATAAACAACAAAAATTTAAAAAAATCAGGGGGATGAAGTTAAAATGTAGAATTTGTATTAGTTTTGTCTTTGCTTGCTTGTTTGTTTGTTTATGCAATTAGTATTAAGTTGTCATCAGCTTAAAATAACATGTCATAAGATACCATTTGCAAACCGCATGGTAAACTCAAAAAACATTACAACAGATAAACAAAAAATAAAAGGCATGAAATTAAAACACACCATTTGAGAAAATCACCTTCACTAAAGGGAAGACAGGAAAGAAGGGAATAAAGACAAGAAGATCACCAAAAATAAGAGACAACAAATGACAAAATAGCAGAAGTAAGTCCTTACTTATCAATAATAACATCGAATGTAAATGAACTAAACTCTCCAATCAAGACACAGTGTGGTTGAATGAATAAAACAAGACCCAGTGATCTGTTGCCTACAAGAAACATGCTTCACTGATAAAGACACATAGACTGAAAATAAAAAGATGAATGGAAAAAGACATTCCACGCAAATGGAAACTGAAAAAAGAGCAGGATTATCTATACTTTTATCAGACCAAACAGATTTCAAGACAAAAACTATAAAAAGAGATTAAAAAAAGGTCATTATATAATGATAAAGGGATCAATTCAGCAAAAGGATATAACAACTGTAAATATATATGCACCCAACATTGGAGCACCCAGATATATAATGAAAATATTATCAGAGCTAAAGAGAGAGATAGACTTTAATACAATAATAGGCTTCAGCACCCCACTTTCAGTGTTGGACAGATCATCTAGACAGAAAATCAACAAAGAAGCATCAGATTTAATCTGCACTATATGCCAAATGGGCCCAATAGATATTTATAGAATATTTCATCCAATGGCTACAGAATGCACATTCTTCTCTTCAGCACCTGCATCATTCTCAAGGATAGACCATATATTAGGCCACAAAACAAGTCTTAAAATTAAAAAAAAAAAAAAGAATATCAAGTATCTTCTCTGACCATGATGGAATAAAACTAGAAACCAAAAAAAGAAAAATTTAGAAAACTATACCAACACATGGAAATTAAACAGTACATTCCTGAATGAAGTGGGTTAATGAAGAAATTAAGAAGAAAATTTAAAAATTTCTTGAAACAAATGGAAATGGAAACACAGCATACCAAAACCTATGGGGTACAGCAAAAGGAGTACTAAGAAGAAAGTTTATAGAAATAATCGCCTACATCAAAAAAGTAGAAAGATTTCAAATAAACAACCTAACAATGCATCTTAAAGAAATAGAAAAGCAAGAGTAAACCAAACCCAAAATTAGTAGAAGAAAAGAAATAATAAAGATCAGAGCAAAAATAAATGAAACTGAAATGAAAAAATACAAAAGATCAAAGAAACAGACATTGGTTTTTGAAATGATAAAAAAGTGACAAATCTTTAGCCTAAGAAAAAAAGAGAGAGGATTCAAATAAATAAAAATCAGAGCTGAAAAAGGAGACATTACAACTTATACCACAGAAATTCAGAGGATTTAAATTAGAGGCTACTAATAAATAAGAAAGCCTACCAATAAATTGCCAATAAAATGGAAAACCTAGAATAAATTGATAAATTCTTAGACACATACAACCTACCAAGATTAAGCCATGAAGAAATCCAAAACTTAAACAGGACAATAGCAAGTAATGAGATCAAAGCCATAATAAACAGTTTCCCATCAAATAAAAGCCCAGGACCCAATGGTTTCAATGCTGAATTTTACCAAACATTTAAAGAACTAAAGAACTACTAACAATACTACTCAAATTATTCCAAAAACTAAGAGGAGGAGGGAATACTTCCAACTCATTCTACAAGGCCTATATTATCCTGATACCAAAACCAGACAAAGACACATCAAAAAAAGAAAACTGTGGGCCAATATCCCTGATAAACATTGATGCAAAAAATCCTCAACAAAATACTAGCAAACCAAATTCAACAACATATTTTTAAAAATCATTCATCATGACCAAGTGGGATTTATCACAGAGATGCAAGGATGGTTCAACACACACAAATCAATCAATGGGATACAACATCATTTCAACAGAATAGAGGACAAAAGCCATAAGATCGGTTCAATTGATGGTGAAAAAGCATTTGATAAAATTCAACATCCCTTCATGATAAAAACCCTCAAAAAATTGGTATAGAAGGAACATACCTCAACACAATAAAAGCCATATACAACAGACCCACAGCTAGTATCATACTGAATGGGAGAAAACTGAAAGCCTTTCCTCTAAGACCTGGAAGAAGACAAGGATGCCCACTGTCATCACTGTTATTCAACATAGTACTGGAAGTCCTAGTTAGGGCAATCAGACAAGAGAAAGAAATAAAGAGCATCCAAATTGGAAAGGAAGAAGTCAAATTATCTTGTTTGCAGACAATATGATCTTATATTTGGAAAAACCTAAAGATGTTACAAAAAACTATTAGAACTGATAAACTCAGTAAAGTTGCAGGACACAAAATCAACATACAAAAAGCAGTAGAATTTCTATATGGCAACAGTAGATAATCTGAAAAGGAAATCAAGAAAGTAATCCTATTTACTACAGCTACAAATAAAATATCTAGGAATAAACATAACCAAATAAGTGAAAGATCTCTACGATGAAAACTATAAAACACTGATGTAAGAAACTGAAGAGGACCAAAAAAAAAGTAAAGATATTCCATGTTCATGGGTTGAAAGAGCCAAGATTTTTTAAATGTCCACACTAGCCAAGGCAATCTACAGATTCAATGCAATCTCTATCAAAATAAAAATGACATTCTTCACAGAAATAGAAAAAAAAATCCTAAAATTTATGTGGAACCACAAAAGACCCAGAATAGCCAAAGCCATCCTGAGCAAAAAGAACACAACTGGAGGAATCACATTTACTGGCTTCAAATTATACTACAGAGCTATAGTAACCAAAAAAGCACGGTACTGGCATAAAAACAGACACATAGACTAATGGAACAGAATAGAGAACCCAGACACAAATCCATACATCTACAGTGAACTCATTTTTTACAAAGGTGCCAAGAACATACACTGGGGAAAGAAGTCTCTTCAATAAATGGTATGGGGAAAGCTGCATATCCACAGGCAGAAGAATGAAACTAGACCCCTATCTCTCACCATGTACAAAAATTAAATCAACATGAATTAAAGACTTAAATCTAAGACCTCAAACTATGAAACCACTATAAGAAAACATCAGGGAAACTCTCTAGGACATTGGACTGGGCAAAGATTTCTTAATACCCCACAAGCACAGACAGACAACCAAAGCAAAAAATGGACAAATGAAATCATATCAAGTTAAAAAGCTCTGCACAACAAAGGAAGCAATCAATAAAGTGAAGAGACAACCCACCAAATGGGAGACAATATTTGCAAACTATCCACCTGACAAGGGATCAATAACCAAAGTATATAAAGAGCTCAAACAATTAAATAGGAAAAAAAATCTAATAATCCTGTTTTTAAAATGGGCAAAAGATCTGAACACACAAAAGAAGACATGCAAATGGAAAACAGGCATATGAAAAGGTGCTCAACATCACTGATCATCAGAGAAATGCAAATCAAAACTACAATGAGATAGCATCTCACCCCAGTTAAAATGGCTTTTATCCAAAAGACAGGCAATAACAAATGACTGGTGAGGCTGTGGAGAAAAGGGAACCCTTGTACACTGTTGGTGGGAATGTAAATTAGTACAACCACTATGGAGAACAGTTTGGAGATTCCTCAAAAAACTAAAAATAGAGCTACCATATGATCTAGCAATTCCGTTGCTGGTATATGCCCAAAAGAAAAGAAATCAGTGTATTGAAGAGATATCTGCACTCCCATGTTTATTGCAGCACTATTCATGATAGCCAAGATTTGGAAGCACCTAAGTGTCTGTATTAGTCCATTTTCATGCTGCTGATAAAGACATACCTGAGACTGTGTAATTTATGAAGAAAAAGAGGTTTAATAGACTCACAGTTCCACGTGGCTGGGGAGGCCTCACAATCATGGCAGAAGGCAAATGGCATGTCTTACATGGCGGCAGACAAGAGAGAATGAGAGAGCCAAGCAGAAGAGTTTCCTCTTATAAAACCATCAGATCTTATGAGACTTACTCACTACCACAAGAACAGTATGGGGGAAATCACCTCTATGATTCAATTATCTCCCACTGGGTCCCTCCCACAACACATTGGAATTATGGGAGCTACAATTCAAGATGAAATTTGGGTTGAGGACACAGCCAAACCATATCAGTGTCTATCAATAGGTGAATGGATAAAGAAAATGTGGCACATATACACAAGGGAGTACTCTTCAGCCATAAATAAGAATGAGATCCTGTCATCTGCAACAACTGAGAAGGCTGAGCCAGGACAGTCGCTTGAACCCAGGAGGCAGAGGTTGCAGTGAGCTGAAATTGTGCCACTGTACTCCAGCTTGGGTGACAGAGTGAGACCCTGTCTCAAAAAAAAAAAAAAAAAAAAGCCAGGCATGGTGGCTCAAGCCTGTAATCCCAGCACTTTGGGAGGCTGAGGCAGGAGGATCAACTGAGGTTAGGAGTTCGAGACCAGCCTGGCCAACATGGCGAAACCCTGTCTCTACTAAAAATACAAAAATTAGCTGGGCATGGTGGCATGTGCCTGTAATCCCAGCTACTTGGGAGGCTGAGGCAGAAGAATCTCTTGAACCCAGGAGGCTGAGATTGCAGTAAGCCAGGATCGTGTCATTGCACTCTAGACTGGGTAACAAGAGCAAGACTCCGTATCAAAAAAAAAAAAAAAAATCAAGATGCAAACAATGCCTTGTCCTAACAAATGGCCTCATGACCCTCTGGTGCCACTGAAGCTGGGGAGTGGAAAACAGCTAAAGAAGGATTGCAGTGGCCAGCCAAGCTTGTGTCACTGTCTGTGTTTCTCCCTTCTACAGGCTTATTTGATGTTGTCTGAGGAAATTGTTCTCTGGGGCCCCCAAGGCAAAGCTATGTCCCAGGGACAAGAGAGGTGGAAGAAGGTGGTCTCTGTGATGGGCCAGAGCCAGGGAGAGAGCCCTGGGCAGGAGGGGGAACAAGAAGCAGCTGTCCTTGCCCCTGGCACCTGGGCTGGTTTCATGTTACTTCCTATGTTTATTTCCCCTTTGTCATTCCTGAACCTTGAACAATATTGTGTTAAGTACCCCAATCTTGACTCAGCTGTATTTAGGGAAATTGAGGCAATGATCCCAGGTGAAACCTGGGCTGGGCCAGCCACCTAAAGCCAGCAGGGAGTGGCCATAGAGCCCTGTATCAGAGAGCCAAGGGGAGCAGAATCCCGGAAGACAAATGAGACTTCAGAATCCAATCTTGAGTCGTAAATGCTAAGCCTGGAGAATTGAGATTTGATTTTATTACGAGTCAGTTCCTGTACAGATCATCTCCCTACAGCTCAGATCTGCTCTCTGGCTTTTCCCTACCATGAGGTCTCCCAAAGGCCACATCACTCAGAGCTTTCTTCCATTCCCTTCTCTAAGGGTCGGGGCAAACAGGGAGTTTTCCATTGATGGGAAAAATCTTCCCATCCTTTTTTACAGCCCAACTCTGCTCTGCCCAAGAGCAAGCCTGCAGTCATCCAAACATGATTATAAATATATTCATACACAGATTCCACTCCTCAAAGTTCTCTCACCGTGGAATGGGTTTATGCCAACAAGGTTATACAGTCAGCCCCCATATCCGTGGATTCTGTGTCCATAGATTCAACCAACCAAGGATTGAAAATATTTGGGAAAAAATTGCATCTGTACTGAACATGTACAGACTTTTTTCCTTGTCATTATTCTGTAAACAATACAGTATAACAATTATTTCCATAGCATTCATATTGTATTAGGTATTCTAAGTAATCTAGAGATTATTTAAAGTATACAGGAGGATGTGTGATGTAAGGTATACAGGAGGTTGCATGCAAACACGACACCGTTTTATATCAGGAACTTGAACATCTGTGGATTTTGGTATCTGCAAGGGGTACTGGAGCTAATCCCCCACACATACTGAGTGACGACTATATATGGAATGTGAACAGAATTTTCCCACTGACTTCCATTAGGCAAGCAGAGCTGTGTTTCTCTCCAAGAAAGGAGGGTAGAGGAGCAGAGCCTGGGAGTGGGAAAAGAAGGGAAGGAGGCCAAACGGAGATCTCATTACTCCAGGATGTGGTTTTAATTCTGTCCTTCTCTCACAGCCTCTGCCCCACCCTCTGTTTATTAAGGGGGCCAAATTAAATACACGAGATATAACTGCAACATGGAGACCCTGCCTCAGTCTCCAGAGACTGTGGGGTGCAGGGGAAAGTGGTGGGGGGGAAACCAAAACAAACAAACCACAAATCCAGAAGGAGAGAGAAGGCAGAAAAGCAAACTATCAGGGCCCATTTGAACAACTCGGACCCTGCCTTCTGTCTGTAAGAAGGGGCCCCGCCCATCTCCTGTGGCAGCCACCCCACCTGAGTGCGCTGGGAGGGCTCTCCGGCCCACAGAGCCACCTCCTGGCCTGCAAGGCCCCAGCCCTTCGGGAGTGACCAGACCTGGCCAGCGACACGCTATTCTCCATCACTCGCTACCGTGCTCATCCTGCGCTGTCAGGCCATCTCTCTGCAATTCATCCCCTCCCTTTCTAGCCAATTTTCCACCTCCACACCTCGTCCCTCCTTTTCCTCCTCATCCTAATCCAGGATGTCCTTTGGCCTGTCTGTTTGATGCTTTCCCTCCGTCAAGCTCCAGCTCAAGTCTTTCCTCCTTCAGAGACAACTGGGACCCTCCAGGCAGCCCCGACTAACTCCCTGCCTGACCCGCCCACGAAACCTTCAGCCTTTGCCTCTTGCCTCCCTCCTCTCCCTCTCCCCACCTCAAAGCCACTCTCAGCCAATGGCTCCTTCCCCATGGCGTAGAACCTGCACACAGCACTTCATTTTTTAAGTCCTCCTCCCATGACCTTGAATCTTCTCAACAGTCTGTCCAGTGCCCTCTGGGCCTTGCTTTTCCAGCCGCACCACAAAGACTGCCATGACCTTTGGAGCCTGGTCCAGTGACACAAGCTTCCTGCCGACTGCTCCGCAGTGCCCGGTGCCAGCCACAGCCATGCCCTCGGCTTGCATGATGTGGCCTCTCCTGCTTCTCCCTGTATTCCTTTTCTGACTTCTCTTCAGCCAGCTCCTCAAATATGTTGTTCTCCAGAATTTTGTCCTAGACCCACTTCTCATGTCATCACCTCCCAGGACGACCTCAAATCCACCCCCTGCTCCCCTCTCCTTTCAGATGCAGAGGGTGCCCCAGGCTTCCACATCCATTTATTTGCCTGATGTGCCAGTGACCCTCCCCACAGTGCTGCAGCCCTCCATCCACCCGCATTCCCTTTGTCCAGGCCTGGAGAGACAACCTCCTACCAGCTCCTGCCCAGAGACCCTCACCCAACCCCTCTCTCTGCCTACTGGCTGCCAGTCTTATAGCTAGGGAATGCAAGGGACATTATTTTATTGATGGTCACCAGATGCCAGGCACTGTGCCAAAAGCTTTCTCATATGCCATGCCATTTAATCTTCCAATGACCCTGTACTTTAGATATTATTACACTTGAGACGGAGCAAGGACCCCTTTTTTAGGGAACTGCAGGCCCCCCAAGCATGAAAATAAAGGAAAATCTTGAATTCCTTCAAGAGAAACTTCAGGGACCTAGCTAGTCCTGAGATGTAAATAAACAACTTGATAAGCAAGAAGGTAATAGTAACTAAAAACAACAGCCAAGAAAGTTAGGGTCAGATGTTTGCTTCCCTATAGAAACTAAAGATAACATCTTAACATATGTCCCTGAGTTGTTTTTCAAACACCTGGACCCCCATCAAACAGATCCACCAGCACACAGGCCTCAGCTAAGGGGGAAGTGGGGACTGAGCCAACGACTGCTCTTGGTTCTCAATTTCTTCCTGTGTGGCCTGAAGGGAGTCACACCCACAAGCCAGAGCGAACATTCTTCTCTGGCCCATTGGCCCAAATTTTTTTTTTTTTTTTTTTTTTTTTTTTTTTTGAGACGTAGTCTTGCTGTCGCCCAGGTCTGGAGTGCAGTGGTGCAATTTCGGCTCACTGCAGGCTCCACCCCACGGGGTTCACGCCATTCTCCTGCCTCAGCCTCCCGAGTAGCTGGGACTACAGGCGCCCGCCACCATGCCCAGCTAATTTTTTGTATTTTTAGTAGAGACATGGTTTCACCGTGTTAGCCAGGATGGTCTCAATCTCCTGACCTCGTGATCCGCCTGCCTCGGCCTCCCAAAGTGCTGGGATTACAGACATGAGCCATTTGGTCCATTTTTAAGTTGGTTTGTTTGGCTTTTTCTTATTGATTTGTGGGAGTTCTTTATATACTCTGGATATGAGTCATTTGCTGAGTTTATATATTATGGCCTCCTTCTCCTGGTCTAGGTTTGCCTTGTCTTTTTTGTGTGTGATTTTTACATTTTTATTTTTTTAATTAATTTTTAAATTTTTTTAATTTTATAAAATTTGTCATTTTAACCATTTTCAGTGACATTAAATACATTCATATTATTGTGCGACCATCACCGCCATGTATCTCCAGAAATTTTTCATCTTCCCAAACAGAAACTCCATGTCAATTACACATTAACTCCCCATTCTCCCCACAATCCCCCTGGAAACCACCATTCTACTTTCTGTCTCTATGAATTTGACTACTCTAGGAACCACATATAAGTGGAATCATACAATATTTATCCTTTTGCAACTAGCTCATTTCACTTAGTATATTTCCCTCAAGGTTCATCCTTGTTGTAGCATATATCAGAATTCCCTTCCTTTATAAGGCTGAATAATACTCCATTATATGTATATACTACATCTGTTGACAGACATTTGGGCTGTTTCCACCTCCAGCTATTGTAAATGATGCTGCTATCAACGTGGGTGTATTATTTTGTCTTTTTTTTTTTTTTGAGACGGAGTTTCTCACGTGTTGCCCAGGTTGGAGTGCAGTGGAACAATCTTGGCTCACTGGAACCTCCCCCTCCCGGGTTCAAGTGATTCTCCTGCCTCAGCCTCCCGAGTAGCCGGGATTACAGGCATGTGCCACCATGCTCTGCTAATTTTTTTGTATTTTTAATAGAGACAGGGTTTCTTCATGTTGGTAAGGCTGGTCTCGAACTCCCGACCTCAGGTTATCCACCCCCCTCGGCTGGGATTACAGGCGTGAGCCACTGCACCCGGCCTACTTTGTCATTTAACAAACAAAATAATCTTATTTTTTTAAGTCAGGTTAATTGAGGCATAATTTACATTAACCCTTTAGGTATAACATTCTATAAATTCTGAAAATATATGCAGTCATGTGACTACCACTGCAATCAAGGCTGAGCGTTTCCATCACCCCAAAACCTTCATCGCAGGCCCCTGTGCAGTCAGCCTTCTCCACTCCAGCCCTGCCAAATACCAGGAGATCGATATTTGTCCTCTGTTCCTATACCATGGTCTTTAACAAAATGTCATATAAATGGAATCATAGCTTACAGATCATACATATCTTTCATGAGATCTATTCTTACGTAGTTTAAGATTTTTGTTGTTGTTAATATACTTTTTTAATTGATTAACTGTTTTTCCTGTTTGTTCCTAGGATCTAGACCCACAGTTGACTTGTGTATATTATTGATTTTATATCTTAAATTCTTGCTAAATTTTCTGTTATTTCAAGTAATTTATCATGTATATTCTTTTGGATTTCCTGTATAGGAACTATATCACTTAGAAGTAACAACAATTTTGTTTCCTCCTTTCTGATCGTGTGTGTGTGTGTGTGTGTGTGTGTGTGTGTGTGTGTGTGCATGCATGCGCGTGCATATAATGTGCTAGAAAGAATGTCTAACATAATGTGGGGAAGGAGTGTAGCAGTAGGTATCCTTGTCTTTATAATTTTATAGGGAATGCTTCTCCCATTTTCCCACTTGGAATAAAGATCAGTAGGGTTTTTCTCAATCCTTCTTTCCAGGTTTAGAAATTCTAGTCTATTTCTATTTACTGAGTTTTTATCAATGGGTATTTAATTTTATGAAATGCTTTTCTCTGTAGAGAAGATCAAAACGTTTTCTCCTTTATTTGTTTAAATAACATCTTGGTTGTAGAATTTTATCTTTTTATTACTATTTTACTCAATTTGCTAACATTTGGTTTAGAATTTTGCATGTATGTTTATTATTTAGATGGGTGTATAAATTTCACACCATCTGTCCTTATCTGGTTTTTGTGTCATGTTATGCTAGCTTCATAGAATGAAGTGGGGAATGTGCCTTCTTTTTCTACTATCTGGATGAGTTGCATAAAATTGCAATTATAACCTTTTCCTTAAAAGTGGGATATGCCAGTCAGAATGGTGATTATTAAAAAGTCAAGAAGCAACAGATGCTGGCGAGGCTGTGGAGAAATAGAAACGCTTTTATACTGTTGGTGGGAATGTAAATTAGTTCAACCATTGTGGAAGACAGTGTGGCAATTCCTGAAAGACCTACAGACAAATACCATTTGACCCAGCAATCCCATTACGGTATATACCCAAAGGAATATAAATCATTCTTTTAAAAATACATCCACGCATATGTTCACTGCAGCACTACTCACAATAGCAAAGACATGGAATCAACCCAAATGCCCATCAGTGATAGACTGGATAAAGGAAATGTGGTACATATACACATGAAATACTATGTACCCATAAAAAGGGGTGAGATCATGTCCTTTGCAGGGACACAGATGGAACTGGAAGCCATTATCCTCAGCAAACTAACGCAGGAGCAGAAAAACAAACACCGTATGTTCTCACTTGTAAGTGGGAGCTGAACAATGAGAACCCATGGACACAGAGAGGGCAACTCACACTGAGGCCTGTTGGGGGTGCAGGAGGAGGCAGAGCATCAGGATAATTAGCTAATGTGTATGGGGCTTAATACCTAGGCGATGGGTTGATGGGTGCAGCAAACCACCATGGCACACGTTTACCTATGTAACAAACCTGCACATCCTGCACATGTATCCCGGAACTTAAAATAAAATGCAATTAATTTTTTTTTTGGTTTACGTGTAGTAGAACTCTCTTGTAAAAACATATGGAACTGATGTTTTAATGTTATAGGGAAATTCCAAATTTTTATTTTATTTTGACACAGTTTTAGTAAGTTACACATTTTCTAGGAATTTTTCCATTTTTTCCAATATCACATTTATTGATGGTATTATTTGTTGGCAGTATATTTTTTTAAACATTGTTACATCTGTAGTTACATCCCTTTACTCATACTGTTAATGTTCTCTCTGTCTCCCTCTCTCTCTTTTTTCTCCCTTTCCTCCTCCTAGTTCCACCAGATGTTTGTCTTTTTTTTTTTTTTTTTCCCCCAAGACAGAGTTGCTTTGTCACCCAGGCTGGAGTGCTGTGGTGTGATCTTGGCTCACTGCAACCTCTGCCTCCCGGGCTCAAGCAATTCTCCTGCCTCAGCATCCCGAGTAGCTGAGATTACAGGCATGTGCCACCATGCCCGGCTACTTTTTGTATTTTTAGTAGAGACGGGGTTTGGCCATGTTGGCCAGGATGGTCTCAAACTCCTGACCTCGTGATCCACCCACATAGGCTTCCCAAAGTGCTGGGATTACAGGCATGAGCCACCGCACCTGACCTGTTTGTCTATTTATTACTCTTTTTAAAAACCTATTTTTAGCCTTCTGGAGTCCTATAGTATCATGGTTTTCTATTTTATGATTACTGCTTATATTTTTACCATGTCTTTCCTTCTGCTTTCTTTGGGCCTTTTCTGTTTTGCTTTTTCCAACCACTCTGATTGGACACACAATACTAATGTTCATTTTTTCTAATATAAAAATTTAAGACTATAAATTTCCCTTAAAACATTTTTTGCTGCATTCAACAAGTTTTTATATATAGTATTTCCATTATTGTTCAGTTTTAAGTACTTTTAAGTTTATGATAATGTTTCTTCTTGATGCATGAGACATTTAGAAGTGTTTTCTTTTTTTCCAAATACGTCATGCTTTGTTAAGTCATGCATCACTTTACAAAGGGATATGTTTTGAGAAATGTGTTGTTAGGGAATTTTGTCATTGTGTGACCATGCTAGAGTGTACTCACTCAAACCCAGGTGGTACAGCCTTCTATGAACCTAGGCTGTATTGTATAAACTATTGCTCCTAGGCTAGAAACCTGTACCGCATGTTACTGTACTGAATACTGTGGGCAACTGCAACACAGTGGTAAGTATTTGTGCATCTAAACATATCTAAATGTAGAAAAGGTACAGTAAAAAAGTGGTATCTTAATCTCTTTAAGCATTTTCCATGTAACTGTTCTATATTTAATACCATCTGCAGTCCTTGAATCTGTTCATCGCCGTCCATTGTTTCTGCCGACCCTTGGGCACAGTGATGTGGCTTCTTATGGGTTTAGTAATCTTTACTCATGAGTTAACTGTTTGATCTTAACCTGGGAGGGTCCTTTGACTTCAGAATGTTTTCTTCCAGAGAGGGTTTGCTAAAGACACCTCTGATCAAGACCACCTCCATCCCCACTGAGAGTTTGGCTCATAAAATGGATGCAGGCTCAGTATCTCCACCTCAAAGCTTTTCCACATGTGAGTAAACACATAACAATGCTGCTGTAGAACCCAGGCTCAGGCTCTCTTTCCCCATATCTGCTAATCCGGGCTAGTTCCCACCACTCTGGCTTCTCTCTGCCCCATCCAGCTTCCTGCTCCCAGCCACCCACCCTCCCTGAAGGAAGTAAGGGAGCTCCTTCCACAACTCTTAGCCATCAAATCCCAGATCCCAGCTGCCACAAATGGTGCCCCTAGCCACTCTAGAACCAGCTCACATTTGTTGGTTGGTTGATTGGTTGGCTGGTTTGGTTTTAGAGGGTGGATCCCTAAAGACCTCTCTTTATGTGAGACCAGCGATGCCTCAAAGATTAGGTCCTATCTGGGACTGAATTGTGGTGGAGCAGGAGGGTCTCTCAGAGACCCTGGTAGTCATAATCCTGGTCCATTTCAGCATTTGTCCATAATTAAGCTGATATTTTTGTCTTCACTGGTGTTTCTGTCTCTCAGTAGGCTTTGAATTCCAGCATGGAAAGAGGTATTATTCATTGGGCCCCCTCAAATGCCACAAGGACCCAGCTGAGAACTGGGAAACACAGCAGGGCCTGCATGAGCACAGACCACCCTCTCCGAGCCTGTTTCCTCTAAAGTAATCCTGCCCTGGCTGACTATGCCCAGGGTTGTTGTAGAATTAAATGAGAAGACAGATGTAAAAGACCTACGAAAACTGGAAAGAACTCAAATCTACAACAATGTCAGTACTGCTAATATCAATATTGTTACTAAAATTAACCACAATGACCAGCACCCCGTTTACATGAACCAGCTCCACAGACACAGGAAAAATATAAAATTGAACTCTTCGCACAATTCCTGGGTTTCCTGCATTGGCAATAGTGTGGAGACTTCACGGCAGCCAGTTGCTCAAGTGTAATTTTATTTCCTAGCCTTGGACAAGCACGGCTACAAAACACCACCCAGACAAAGCCCTTGACCACAATCCCCGAAGGGTTGACTAACAGACTTGTTCTTTTCGGCTTAAAGTGCCCTCTTTATTCTTCATCCCTTGATTACTTGTACCCCACTATTTATAATTCACTCCCTTACAGGAGAAGAGATAGAAGTTGCCATTTAGTCCTGCTGAATGGGAGAAGTCCATTGTTTTGACATTTTTAACTGCAACTCATAGTAAAATATACAATTTACACATCAACCCAGTACAAATACACACACACAAACATAAACACACACGAAGCAATTTTCACAAAACAATTCCTACCTCACTACATATAATGCCCTTTCATATTTTCAATTTCATTTTAAATTATGGTCATAACCTACTAAATTGATCGGCACCTTGAAAAACATGGGAAGTAACAAAGGGAGGGACGTGTCTGCGTTCCTCAAGATCCCAGAGGGACATGGGCTTCTCCCCTCATCTCTCTATATGGGTTAAAGTACAGTTTAACCCCGAGCCAAGGGATGACAGGGTGCTGTCTCTTAATCCCTTCTCTTCTCTTAGGCAATGTCTGCCTTCCTTCCTCTCTTCTTTCCTTCAAAATAAATTTGTACGGAGTACCTGCCATTTTGCCAGGCACTGTGCTAGGTGCTGAGAATGCAAAGATAAACAAGACTGTAGAACAACTCCCCAGGGAGGGGACAGATACCTCCTTGGCTAAGATTTAATGGCTAAGCCCCATGGGTTAATAAAAGAAACTATATCCTGCCTCACAGTGAGGGAGCATGTACCCCAGGTACATCCATGAACTGATGCAGCAATCTGACTTATTGCTATTTCAGCCTTAGGCTTGTTGAGTTTTTGTTTTGATTATTTTGCTTAATTAAAAAAAATAGAAAAGAGAAAAAAAAAAGTCACAATCTCCAACAATGGCTCCTTCATAATGTAAATAGTTCATCTTCATCCAGCCTGACACCTTGTCTTTTTTTTTTTTTTTTGAGATGGGGTTTCGCCATGTTGCCCAGGCTGGTCTTCAACTCGTGGACTCAAGCAATCCATCGGCCTTAGCTTCCCAAAGTTCTGAGACTACAGGCGTGAGCCACCACACCCAGCCTTTGGTCTTAATTTTCAGTTGTTCCAAGATTTAGGCAAGGAAGAGGGGCACCACTTAGAGAGTCACCTTGTACACCTGAACATCTCCCATGGGTGGATCTCGGCCCTTTCCAATGCCTGTCCCCATCCTGGCTTCTCTCCTTCTCTTTCTGCCACTCTCAACAGATTTTTGCTTCACAAAAACCCAGGAGCCAAACTGGTGCAAACAACCATCCCCCAGAGGGCAGGACAGGGGAGAAGATCTTGAGAAAAAGACAGCATTGTCCTTAGTGAGCAGAAGAAGAGAGAAGATGTGAACACTCACATCCACATGAAAAACTTTAATCCTCAACACATTCTTAAAGCCCAGATCCAATCATGTTGCCCCTGTTTCAAACCTTCCAGTGCCTTGTAACAAAACCTCTTCCCTTTTCTAAGAGATCCTCTCTTCCACTGGCTAACATACTCCTTCTTCAAGGTAGCCCTAATAATACCTCCAGAGACTCCCTTGGGCAGAGGGAAGTCTGCTCGGATACCTGGTTTCTACCATGATAGTTATAATCCAGGCATTGGCTGAAGTACTTTGCTCTTTGAGATTTGATGAAATTGACTAGGCCGGGCGCGGTGTCACCTGTAATCCCAGCACTTTGGGAGGCCGAGGCCGGCGGATCACTTGAGGTCAGGAGTTCAAGACGAGCCTGGCCAACATGGTGAAATCCCATCTCTACTAAAAATACAAAAATTAGCTGGGCGTGGTGGCACACACCTGTAGTCCTATCTACTTGGGGACTGAGGCACGAGAATCGCTTGATTCTCGGAGGTTGCAGTGAGCCGACATCACACCACTGCACTCCAGCCTGAGCGACAGAGTGAGACTCTGTTTCAAAAAAAGAAAAAAGAAAAAAAATTTACTAAAATCCCATTCCCCATTCCCACCTCCGCCCCAGTCTCTCTGGAGTTCTAAAGGGGATACTAGCTCATGGTTCTCCATTTACCTCTGCTTCAGTCCTGCTTTTGCCTAATTTATTCAATGAATATTTACATCATCATCTCATAATGCTGCCCCATTCTGCCCTGAAATGACCCAGATGTGAAATCATGCCACACAAAAATCTTTACAAGTTTAGTAGATTTGACTGAAGGTTTGTAGGGGAGAGTTACACTACAGAACCCAAATAATTTAAATTGAACTTAAGCATCCTGTCCTAATAATTGCATCAGTTTCCTTTCTGCCTTCCCACCTATGACTTGGTCTTGCCTTCTGCCCTCCATCATGTCTGATTCCTGTATGTTTCTTTCACAGATTCGGTTGGACTATTGCTCTCCTTTCTCGGAATCTTGCTAATCCATGTTTCCAAGCCCTTGCTATCCATCACCACGTGACTCAGCAAGAAATCTTTCCAAACAGACATGGTTTCTTCCTAAGAGCAATTCCAGTGAAAGTTGTAAACATAAGAGTTTTCACTCCATTGTATATTGTCATACTGTGTTACAATTGCTTGTTTTTAAGTGGTGCTCCTTAGAAATGGGAGAATTTGGCAGCAACTTGAGAGTGGGGTCCACACAGGTCTTACTGTTCCTCAGCTTCAGGCAGAAGTTTTTGAGATATTGATTTTTCCTTGCCATCTTCCCTTTTCCCTTTCCTTTCTTCAAGAGAATTGGCCATTCCTGTTCTTCCTTGCTTCTTTGAGGGCAGAGACTGCTGGTTGTCCCCCAGTAGTTATTATCTTCTTGTTACAATGTTTGAACCCCCACATTTTAGCTGGACACATGGACATCCCGAACAAAGACTCCATTTCCCAGCCTCCCTTGTTGTTAGATGTGGTTAAGGGACTAAATTCAGTCCATTAATATCTGAGTAGAGTGACATGCGTACCTTCCAGTTCTTACTCTTAAAAAAAGGGTCACTCCATTTCCTTCTCCTTCTTTCACTTCCTGCTGGTCAGACATGGACCAAGAAACATGATGGGGAGCTCTGTGGGATCGAGAAGATAAAAACATCGTCCCAGGGTATGGCAGAGTAGCACATCAGAAGTGTGAATCCCCAGCCCCAGCCCCACGTCAGCCCTGATGCCCATGTCCAGACTGCTTCATGAGAAAAAAATTAACCTCTCTTTGGTTTAAGCCACTGTGTTTTGGATTCCTCTGTTGCAGCAGTCAAACACAAACCCTAACTGTTTTAGTTTACCAGGGCTGCCATAACAAAGTACCACACACTGGATGGCTTCTACAGCAGACATTTATTTTCTCACAGCTCTGGAGACGGGAAGCCTGAGATCAAGATGTCAGCAGCGTTGATTTCTTCTAAAGCATCTCCTTCTGCTGTCTTCACATGGTCCTCTCTCTGTGCACACACACATACATGTCCAAATCTCCTCTTCTTATAAGGACCCAGTCATATTGGATTAAGGCCCATTAATGACCTCATTTTAACTTAATTACCTCTTTAAAGCCCTTATCTCCAAATACTTCACATTCTGAGATACTGGGAGGTAGAACTTCACCATATAATTATGGGGGCCGGTGAGGGAATACACAATCCAGACCATAATACCAACTAATATACTTTTCTTCCTGGCTTCTGTTTTCCCCTGAGTGAACACACTAGGTGTCCTTGAGGGAGAGGAGACTTGCTTGTAAACATGGGAAGAGAGAGATTTTTCTGAACTAAAAAGAGATTTTCCTGCTGAGCATAGTGGTTCATGCCTGTAATCCCAGCATTTTAGGAAGCTGAAGTGGGAGAACTGCTTGAAGCCAGGAGTTCGAAACCAACCTGGGCAACAGAGCAAGACCCCATCTCTACAAAATATTTTTAAAATTAGCTGAGCATGGTGGTGCACACCTGTAGTCCCAGCTACGCTGGAGGCTGAGGTGAGAGGATCACTTGAGCCTAGGAGTTTGAGGCTGCAGTGACCTATGAGCATACCACCGCACTCTGGCCTGGGCAACAGACCTATCTGTGAAAAAAAAAAAATTAACTAATTAAAAATTTTTTTAAAAAGATTCCTCTGAGCCAGAGAGGCAAGGAAGAAGATTTGTTTTTGTTTGAGATAGGATCTTGCTGTGTTGCTCAGGCTGGAGTACAGTGGTGTTATCACAACTTACTGCAGCCTCAATCTCCTGGGCTCAAATGATCCTCCCACCTTAGCCTTCCAAGTAGCTGGGACTAGAGTCATGCACCACCGCACCTGGCTAAATTTTTTTTTTTTTTTGTAGAGACTACCGGCCTGGCTAATTTTTCTATTTTTTGTAGAGACAGGGTCTCACTATCTTGTCTAGGCTGGTCTCAAATTTCTGGGCTCAAGTGTTCCTCCTGCCTTGCCCTCCCAAAGTCCTGGGATTACAGGCATGAGCCACCACACCCAGCAGAGGAGGAGGTATCGCCAGCAGTGCAGACCACGGCCTGCTCCCCAGTAGTTCCCCAGTAGTTCCCCAGTGGATGACCAGTTCCACAGAGACACAGCTACATCTTTCCCAGCCTAGCCTGTGATTACCATGTCCTGAGCTTGAGACCTGAAGAGCCCAGCAGAGCAGACCCGAGGGAGCCTCAGCAGTACAGAAAGCAAACTGGTGGCTGCAACCCCGGCCTTGGCTCTACTGTGACCTAGGACCTTTGCACTACCTGGGGCAGGGAGACTTCAAGAGGACAAAGATGCATTTCCCACAGCCCAGTAGAAAGGTGGCTTGGAGTCTAAAGTAAGCTGCCTTAAAGAAAATAAAGAAATGCATTATTTCTTGCATATCTGAGCTAATTAACTAAAATCAGTGCATTTGGATTCCCAATGCCTAACAGAATCAATACAGAACAGCATGTTTGAAAAAGACAAGTGCAGGAAAGGGAAATGGGAACAAAAGAAGACAGACACGGAAAAGCCCGGGCCAGCACCTCCTTGAGCCCCTCACCACCTTCCCCACTGGTGCCATGTTCCCCTCTTCTGAGCTGCATCTGGCGTTGATAAGACCACACATGTGTTACTTTCCTCACATGTGTGTTCTTGCCTTGAAATCCCCATGGAGGATGAGCAACTCTAGGTGAAACACTACACCTTACTCACCCCTCTGCCTCCCACCCACCTTCACCCCAGGTAGGGACTCAATTGGTGTTTTTTAAAAATTGAATGAAATGGGCCCTGGGCCAAGACACAAAAACAAGAAAAAACATGGAGCTGACGCTGCTCAGAGGTGGAGGCAGGTGGAGACAGGTAGGGAAATCTTTCAAAGGAGCTGGGGCTGGCTCTGGGAGAGGAGGAAGATATTGTCTGGAGCAGAGGAGCAGAGAAAGGTGGGTGGGGAAGGAGCTGGGCAACACCCCCAGGCCTCTCAGGAACCAGCTTCCGGCCTTCAGAGGAGCCCGTCACAGTCCCTTCTCTTCCTGCTCATGATTTATTCAACTAAGCTGTGTCTGAAAATATCCTAGGCAGGAGGTTGATTCTCTGAGGACCCAGCATGTGGGAGGACCCAGAGCACAGCCTCCAGATGCAGCCCCGGAACGATGCTGGATGCTTACCCGAGGCCTGCGATGCAGGCAGAGCAGACATCAGCCCGTTTCTCAGAGGATGACACCAAGGCCAGAGGGAGGACAGACCTCTCACCCAGGCTCACACAGGCCAAGAGTTGCTAGAGGAGAAAAGAGAGGAACAGAACTGTCCTAGCAGGAAGAAAGCATTTGTCCTCTGGTCTGGGGCCACGTACAGGTGGTAGTGGCCTAAGCCCCAAGACCCCCCAGCTCCACCCTCTGACCCAGCTCTCTGAGGGGTTGCCAGGTGAAGAGAAAGGAAATCTAGGCCCAAGCTAGAAGGAAGCAGCACCTGCTGGGTGAAATGGAGGAAAATCAGGCAGGAGATGATTTTCTGGAGCTCCCCCCTCAACTTGGGCATGCCCAGGAGCCAGCAAGCAAGCCTCGACCATCTGTGCCACCGTGTCCCCAACTCTCAAAGCAAGGAGTATCTCAGCTGTGTTTCTGCTACATGAAGTCAACATGGTGCTCTGGTCCTGGGTCTAGTCCTCTGAAACAGTCAGAGGACACGGGTTTATATCCCTGCCTCACCTCTATGTGACCTGAGCAAGCCCTTTGAACTCTCTGAGACTCAGTTTCCTCATCTGTAAAATGGGGATACTATAACCTGCTTGAAGAGCTGCTGAAAGGAGCAGATGAGAAGTCATGTATGAAAGGGAGACAGAGACGTGAGCAGCCTGGGCTTTGGAATTTGGGGGGCTTCATTCTTGCGTGGTCCTATGTCACACAGACCTTCTCATCCATGGACCCCACCCCATTCCAGGCCCTCACCCTTTAAATAAAAGGACAATCTAGCTGGAGAGAAAGAAACATAAATCATGGATAAAGAACAAGAATAGAATCTAAGCACAGTTGTGTCTGCCAAAAGATGCTGCTCTAAAGCATGCTGATGAAAGGGCTTTGGGGGCAAAGTAGCGCCCAGAACAGAATGCACCAAGGAATCTTCTACGGTGGACCAGGCATGTGAGCTGAGCCTAGGAACTTGTGGATTCCACCAGGCAGAGCCCTGAAGGAAAGGGAGCGATGGAGGCACAATGCAAGGACGAATGCGACAACAAGACAACCAGTGGGGCCGGGGCACAGTCTGTCCCACTAGGTGTGGGGCAGTGTGGGCACAGAGCCTAATCATCACAGCCCTGCACACGGAGGAGTCTAGACTTGACCCAGAATGCTGGGGCTTCTAAACATTTTTTGATCACGAGAATCCTTTTTTTAAAAAATTAATACATTTATTTTGTAGAGCAGTTTTAGGTTCTCAGCAGAATTGAGCAGAAAGTACAGACAGTTCCCACGTACTCCCCTCCTCACCCACACACACAGCCTCCCCCATCATCAACATCCCCCACCAGAGGGGCTCATTTATGGCAGCTGATGAACCTACATTAACACATCATTATCACCCAAAGTCCATAGTTTACATTAGGGTTCACTATTGGTGTGTACATTTTATGGGTTTCGAAAAATATGTACTGACATGCATCCACCATGACAGTGTCAGACAGAGTCGCCTCACTGCTGTAAAAATCCTCTGTGCTCTGTCTGTTCATTCCTCCCTCCCCCCAACTCCTGGCAACCTCTGATGTTTTACTGTCTTCATAGTTTTGCATTTTCCAGAATGTCACGCAGTTGGAATCATACAGTGTTTGGCCTTTTCAGATTGGCTTCTTTAACTAAATAATGTGCATTCAAAATTCCTCCGTGTCTTTTCATGGTTTGAGAGCTCATTTCTTTCTATTCTGAGTAACATTCCACTGCTTGAATAAGAATCCCCTTTTTAATGTTGAAATAATTTGGATATCCCCCTGATATAACAATCACATTTTTAGAATCCAGATTGAAATGCACAACAGAAATGACAATGAACCCTGCCATGCTGCGTGTGTTATTGACTATAGTCACCTTCAAATTCACATCTCATATCTTTGGGGCCAAAACAAGGCCAACATGACAGTGCTTGATGCTGCACGTGAATTTACAGATCCCAGGGGCTGGCGGCCTAAAGTTAGGGATGCAGCTGTCTAAGGATCTTCAGTCATGCACAGGACTGGTCGGATTTTCACTTTTAAAAGATCGCTCTGGCTAGTTGTATCCTAGGACGGATGCCAGGACGCTCTTCCCACATGCCCCAGGACAACTCTGCAAACAAGAATGCAGCTACACGTGGTAGGCGCAGTCTCACCAAAGTCACGGAGGATCCATTGAAAATCCACATCGACATATTCAACCAAAAACCTTCCCCAGGTTATACTTCTAAACAAAAACTAACTCACTTTAGAAAGCACCACTGAAGAGTCCAGAACCCAAATTTGTTTTCAAAATTGAAGATATGGGTACCTACTCCAGAAAAGGCCAGGGCCTACAGAGGCCTTAGAACCAAGCCAAGACCATGGACAAGACGGAAGACAGGATTCAAGGTAGAGAAGCCAGATGGTGTTGTTCCAAACACACCTTCTCCTAATTACATACCCTAATCAAGGTGTGTGAGAACAACCCTTACTCTGGGATTGATTCCAGAGGACAACTTGCTCTGAAAATTGGGGTTCTACAGCCAAGAGTACAAACTTGGTTTCAAAATTGAAGATTTAGATTCCTGGCTCAGAGAAAAAGAGATCCTGATCAAGCCTTAGAAGAAAAATTAGACCAAAAATAAGAGACATGACCTCTGAGATGAGACGGTTCAAGATACACCATTTTGTGTAGCTTCTGTCCCTCAGGCATCAGATTTCTCTGGAGCCAGGAGTGGGAGCATGGAGGCAAGTTCAGTGTATCTGACGGTGTTGCCCTGGGCTCCAGATCTCTCTTTCACTCTTCCTGGGCCTTCAATTCCCCCCTGGACCTAGAAGCTGAGCCTTCTGGAGATGGTAGGCCAGGTTTCAGGAACCAGAGACATGTAGAAGCATTGCAAGAGGCACCTCATAGAGCTATTGACCCGGTCTGGCTGTAGAGTTCAGGAGAGCTCAAAGACCATGCAAATGTAATTAATACAAACCATTTTGCCATCATCAGGGTAATCATTGATTCAGGCAAAAATCATCAGTGGAGGTTAAAACCTTTAAGTGAATGTTTGATGAGGAACAAGAAATACATTACCTCAAAAAGTCTTCCCACAGATTACTTATTAATTGCAAAAGAAAAATTGATAATTTTGCAGTGGAGAAACCTGGTAGACTCCCCCTTAACCAAGTGATTAAAATTCATTTCACCTATAACAGCAGCAACTGACATAAGGTGCCTGTGATATGACAGACTGAGAAGAACACAAACAGTCACTTCTGTGGTTCGCACTGCCCAAATGCGTAAACTGAATATAATTATGAGGAAATGCCAGACACCCCAAAATTGAGTGACAGGCTACAAAGTAATAGCCCTGCACTCTTTAAAAAATGGACTGAAAACGGCAATAGGAATGGAGAGAAAGCAAGTTAACAGAGGAAAGATTTAGAAAGCAAGTCTAACGAAGTGCTCTCTTCCAGGTATAGTATGCGTTGCCATCTCTTTGTTGAGGGGAGGTACACAGTCAGAGGCCTGTTCGTGCCTACCATTTCCCTCCAGAAATGCTCAAGAAACTGCTCACACTGGGTACTCAGCATTGCTTTTCACTTTAATCTTTTCATCCTATTTAAATGTTTGAAATAATTTAAATGTGTTAATTAAAGTGATTTTTTTTTACTTAACTTGAAAAGGTAGTTCTCAAACATAATATAAAGTGGAAGAAGAAGACACAAAGAATACATGTTATAGGATTCCATTTATATAAATTGCTAAACTAGGCAAAATTAATTCCTGGTGATAAAGGCCAAGCTATGAGACTCACCCATCTCGATTTCAAAACTTACTCCAAAGCTACAGTAATCAAAACAGTGAGGTACCGCCGTAAAGATAGACATGGAGATATACAGACCAATGAAACAGAAAGGAGAGTCCAGAAATAAACTCATACACCTACACCCAATGAATTTTTCAACAAGTGTGCCAAGACTATTCAGGGATGAAAAATAACCATCAACAAACAGTGGGGGGAAAACTGGATATCCACAGGCAAAAGAATGAAGCTCTGTCATACCACACACAGAAATTAACTAAAAATGAATCAACAACCTGTGTAAGTGTTAAAACTATAAAACTTTTAGAAGAAAACATAAGGGTAAATCTTCACAACCTTGGATTTGGCAATGGATTCACAGATATGACACCAAAAGCATAAGCATCCAAAGAAAAAACAGGCAAGTTGGACTTCACCAAAATTAAAAACTTCTGTGCATCAAAGTATATCATGTTAAAAAATATAAATTTCTCAAAAGAAGAAATACGAATGGCAAACAGGTATATGAAAAGGTGCTCAACATCCATCATCAGAGAAATGCAAATCAAAACTGCAATGAGATATTATCTCACCCCAGTTAAAAATGGCTTTTATTTAAAAGACAGGAAATAACAAAAGCTGGAGAGGATGTAGAGAAAAGTGGACCCTCATACACTGCTGGTGGGAATGTAAATTAGTACAACCACTATAAAAAACAGTTTGGAGGTTCCTCAAAAAACTAAAAATAGAGCTACCATATTATACAGCAATCCCACTATTAGGTAGATAACCAAAAGAAAAGAAATCAATATATTAAAGAGGTATCTGTACTCCCATGTCTATCGCAGCACTGTTCACAATAGCCAAAATTTGGAAACAACCCAAGGGTCTGTCAAGAGACGAATGGATAAAGAGAATGTAGTACATGTACACAATGGAGTACTATTCAGCCATAAAAAGAATGAGATCCTGTCATTTGCAACAATATGGATGGAACTGGAGGCCATTATGTTAAGTGAAATAAGCCAGGCACAGAAAGACAAACTTCACATGTTCTCATTTATTTGTGGGAGCTAAAAATTCAAACAATTGACTCATGGAGATAGAGAGTAGAAGAATGGTTACCAGAGGCTGAGAAGGATAGTGTGGGGGTGGGGAGGAAGGGTGGATGGTCAATAGTAACCAAAAAAAAAAAAAAAATAGCCAACAGATTATTATTCAATAATAAATTAATTGTACATTTTTAAATAACCAAAAAGGTATAACTGGATTGTTTGTAACTCAAAGGATAGATGCTTGAGGTGACAGGTATCTCATTTGCCCCGATGAAATTATTACACATTGTATGCCTATATCAAAATATCCCATATACCCCGTAAATATATACACCTGCTACAATATATACACCTAGCCACAAAAATTTTAAATCAAAAACAATTAAAAGAAAAAAATTTTAAGTGAAAAGACAATTGTTATGGACTGAATGTTTGTGTCCCCCCAAATTCATCTGTTGAATCCCTAACCCCCAGTATAGCTATATTTGGAGATGGGGCCTCTAAGGAAGTAATAGAGGCTGGATGAGGTCACAAGGGTAGGGTCCTAATCTGATAGGATTAGTGTCTTTATGGAGTGATACAGTTTGGATGTTTGTCCCCCTCCAAATCGCATGTTGAAATGTGATTCCCAGTGTTGGAGGTGGGGCCTGGCGGGAGGTGTTTGGGTCATGGGGGTGGATCCCTCACAAATGGCTTGGTGCCCTCCCCCGTGGTAATGTGTTCTTGCTCTATTAGTTGATCTGAGAGCTGGTTGTTTAAAAGAGCCTGACACCTCCTCCCTTCCTGTCTTGCTCCCGCTCTCCCAATGTGATGCACCTCCTCCCCCTTCACCTTCCTCCATGAGTAAAAGCTTCCTGAGGCCTCTGCAGACGCTGAGCAAATGCTGGTGCCATGCTTGTACAGCCTGCAGAACTGTGACCCTCTTTTATTTTATTTATTTTATTTTTTTAAGACACCCAGACTGGAGAGTGGTGGCATGATCTCGGCTCATTGCAACCTCTGCCTCCTGGGTTCAAGCGATTCTCCTGTCTCAGCCTCCCAAGTAACTGGGATTACAGGCATGTGCCACCACGCCCGGCTAATTTTGTATTTTTAGTAGAGACGGGGTTTTACCATGTTGGCCAGGCTGGTCGTGAACTCCCGACCACAAGTGATCCACCCGCCTCAGCCTCCCAAAGTGCTGGGATTACAGGCGTGAGCCACTGCACCCAGCCCTCGTTTCTTTATAAAATACCCAGCCTCAGGTATTCCTTTACAGCTACATGAAACACTAGTACAAAGAGATATGAGACACCAGAGAGCTCTCTTGCTCCTTACCCCACCCCCAGTGAGGAAAGGCTGCATAAGGACACAGGGCGAAGATAAGAGTCTACAAGCCAGGAAGTAAGCCCTCGCCAGAAACCAAACTGTCTGAAACCTTGATCGCGGACTTATGGCTTCCAGAACTGTGAAAAAATAAAATTTCTGATGTTTAAACCACTCAGCCTATGGTATTTCATTATGGCAGCCTGAGCAGACTAAGACAGCAACTTACAAAATGTGAGAAAATATTTGTAAATCCTGTATTTTAAGTGTCTAGTATCCAGAATACATAAAGCATTCTTACAACTCAACAACAAAAAGACTACCAACCCAATAAAAAGGGGAAGGGGTTCACAATCTGAGAGGATGGAGGTGAAAAAAGAAAAAAAAAGGGCAAAAATCTTCAATAGACATTTCTCCAAAGAAGATATACAAATGGCCAATAAGCATATGAAAAGATGCTCAACATCATTAGTCATTAGGAAAATGCAAATCAAAACCACAGTGAGAAACCACTTCACAACCACTAGAATGACTGTAATTTTTAAAAAACAGAAGAAGGAGGCCGGGCGCAGTGGCTCACACCTGTAATCCCAGCACTTTGGGAGGCCAAGCTGGGGGGATCACGAGGTCAGGAGATTGAGACCATCCTGGCTAACACAGTGAAACCCCGTCTCTACTAAAAATAAAAAATTAGCCGGGCGTGGTGGCAGGCGCCTGTAGTCCTAGCTACTCAGGAGGCTGAGGCAGGAGAGTGGTGTGAACCCGGGAGGCGGAGCTGGCAGGGAGCCGAGATGGTGCCACTGCACTGCAGCCTGGGAGACAGAGCGAGACTCCATCAAAAAAAAAAAAGAAGAAGAAGAAGGAATAACTGTTGGTGAAAATATGGAGACACTGGAAGTTTTGTGCATTGAGGGTGGAATATGAAATGGTGCCACTTCTGTGCAAAATAGTTTGGTATTTCCTCAAAAAATTAAACATCAAATCTTCATGTGACTGAGCAATTCTGCTTCTAGGTATATACCCAAAAGAATTTAAAACATTTATTTATTTACTTTTTATTTATTTGTTTTTTGTTTTTTTTTTTTGTTTTTGAGACAGAGTCTCACTCTGTCACCCAGGCTGGAGTGCAGTGGTGCAACTCGGCTCACTGCAACTTCCACCTCCCAGGTTCAAGCGCTTCTCCTGCCTCAGCCTCCCAAGTAGCTATAGGGACTATAGGCGCATGCCACCACACCCAGCTAATTTTTGTATTTTTAGTGCAGACGGTGTTTCGCCATGTTGGCTAGGCTGGTCTTGAATTCTTGATCTCAAGTGATCCACCCACCTCGATCTCTCAAAGTGCTGGGATTACAGGCTTGAGCCACCACACCTGGCCAAAACAGCTATTTAAACAAACACTTGTACACGAATGCTCTTAGCAGCACTATTCACAATAGCCAAAAAGTGGAAATAACTCAAATGTCTATCAACAGATGAATGGATAAATGAAAATGTGCTGTAGACATACAGTGAGCTATAATTCAGCAATAAAAAGGAATGAGGTGCTGATACTGATACATGCTACAATATGGATAAACCGGGAAATTGGTTTCATGGGTAAACCTTGAAAACATTATGCTAAGTAAAAAAATTAGACATAAAAGTTTACATATTGTAATTTCACCTACAAGAAATATCCAAAATAGGCAAATTCCTACAGATAGATGGAGGCTGATGATTACCAGGGGCTGGGAGTAGGGGGAATAAATGGTAGCTGCTTAATGGACACAAAGTTTTCTTTGTGATAAGGCCGGGCGCAGTGGTTCATGCCTGTAATCCCAGCACTTTGGGAAGCTGAGGTGGGTGGATCACCTGAGGCCAGGAGTTTGAGACCAGCCTGGCCAACATGTTGAAACTCCATCTCTACTAAAAATACAAAAATTAGCCAGGCATGGTGTCAGGCTCCTGTAATCCCAGCTACTTGGGAGGCTGAGGCAGGAGAATCTCTTAAGCCTCCGAGGCGGAGGTTGCAGTGAGCTGAGATCGTGCCATTGCATTCCAGCCTGGGTGATAGAGGAAGACTCCATCTCAAAAAAAAATTGTGATAAAAGTTTTCCTTTTGTAAGAGTCATTCCCAAGCAATAATAAAAAATAAAATTTTTAAAGTTTTCTTTGAGATAAAAATGTTTTGGAACATGACAGAGGTGGTCATTGTGAATATACAAAATGCCACTGAATTGTACACTTTAAATAGGTTATATGTTATGTGAATTTCACTTCAATGAAAAAAATCAAGAAAAAAAGCCAGGTTAAGGATTAGCTCACCTTGCAGTGGGGTTAGTGCCTGGAATGGGGCCTGAGGGTAGCTCCTGGGGGTTCTGGTCCACTCAGGTTCTTGGGCTGGGTTCTGGTTGCACTTGTGTGTGAATTTGCAAAAAGTCATCAAGCCACATACCAGTGATCTGCACATACCGTCTATGTGTTTTAAACTCCAACAAAAGGAAGTTTTGTCTTTTTATAAAAAGGAAGTTCTTCCTGCTGCGTTTAGGATGGTAACAGTAGCTTTTATCCAGTGACAGGGCCAGGGTGAGGGTAACATGAAACGATTCACACAAGTGCAGGGTCAGATCCTGTCTTTGTTTAGAATCTTGATATTTTGGCCAAGGCTCAGTGGCTCACGCCTGTAATCCCAGCACTCCAGGAGGCTGAGGCAGGCAGATTGCCCGAGCTCAGGGATTCAAGACCAGCCTGGGCAACATGGTGAAATCCCATCTCTGCTGAAACACACACACACACAAATTAGCTGGGTATGGTGGAGTGTGCCTGTAGTCCCAGCTACTTGGAAGGCTGAGGCATGAGAATCGCTTGAACCAGGGAGGTAGAGGTTGCAGTGAGCCAAGATTGCACCACTGCTCTCCAGCCTGGGCGACACAGCGAGACTCTGTCTCAAAAAAAAAAAAAAAAAAAGAATATTGATATTTTATTCCCCAGGCTTTCATAATAGTATTTATATTGGTTATTGAGGTTTTTGGCATCCCCTTTGCTATATATAGTCTGAATGTTTGTGTCACCCCAAAATTCATGTTGAAACTTAACTCCGAAGGTGATTGCATTGAGATGCAGGGTCTTTGAGAGGCAATTAGGTCGTACCGGCTCTGCCCTCGTAAATGGGATTACTGCCCTTATAAAAGAGGCCTCGGTTGTGGAGAACTAGGCACGCTTTTACACTGTTAGTGGGAGTGTAAATTAGTTCAACCATTGTGGAAGACAGTGTGGTGATTCCTCAAGGATCTAGAACCATAAATACCATTTGACCCAACAATCCCATTACTGGGTATATACCCAAAGGATTATAGATCATTCTACTATAAAGACACGTGCATGGCTGTGTGCAGTGGCTCACGCCTGTAATCTCAGCACTTTGGGAGGCCGAGGCGGGCGGATCACCTGAGGTCAGGCGTTCGAGACCAGCCTGACCAACATAGAGAAACACTGTCTCTACTAAAAATACAAAATTAGCCGGGCATGGTGGCACATGCCTGTAATCCCAGCTACTCTGGAGGCTGAGGCAGGAGAATCGTTTGAACCCGGGAGGCAGAGGTTGCAGTTGGCCGAGATTGCACCACTGCACTCCAGCCTGGGCAAGAAGAATGAAACTCCATCTCAAAAAAAAAAAAAGACACATGCACATATATGTTTACTGCAGCATTATTTACAATAGCAAAGACTTGGAACCAATGCAAATGCCCATCAATGACAGACTGGATAAAGACAATGTGGCATATATACACCATGGAATACTATGCAGCCATAAAAAAGGATGAGTTCATGTCCTTTGCAGGGACGTGGATGAAGCTGGAAGCCATCATTCTCAGCAAACTAACACAGGAACAGAAAACTAAACACCACATATTCTCACTCATAAGTGGGAGATGAACAATGAGAATACACGGACAGAGGGAGGGGAATATCACACACTGGGGCCTGTTGCGGGGTGGGGAGCATGGGGAGGGAGAGCATTAGGACAAATACCTAATGCATACCAGGCTTAAAACCTAGATGATGGGTTGATAGGTGCAGCAAACCACCATGGCACATGTATACCTGTGTAACAAACCTGCATGTTCCCAGAACTTAAAGTAAAATAAAAAAATTAAAAATAAAAATGAAAAAAATTAAATAGAAAAATGAAAGAGGCCTCAGGGAGCTTGTTTGCTTCTTCCATCATGTGAAGACACAGCAAGGAGACACCATCAATGAGGAACAGACCCCTCACTAGGCACTGAATCTGCTGATGCCTTGACCTTGGACTTTCCAGCCTCCAGACCTGTGAGCAATAAATTTCTGTTATTTATCAATTACCTGGTCCAAGGTATTTTGTTACAGCAGCCCAAAGTAAGACACTCTTCAATTTTGCACCACAGGCAACTCTCTCACTCACCTCCCCCTAGTCCTGGCTCTAAATTTCAACACAGCAACCTTGGGAAACCATCACAAATGTGGCCTGATTAGCCATCAAGGGGGAGCCTGCCCTCATCTTCCTCTCACTGGCTCCAACCCCAGAGCAGACTGAGAAACACAAACACGTGAGGGTGCTTCCTGCAGAGTAAGGTGCTTCCTGAAGTGGCAAACTCAGCCTTAGACAGCACAAACCCAGGCCTACCCTTCTCCCTGATACTCCACTCAGTCTCCAAAACCCAGCAGTCTCCTGGCCCCCGAGTGAGGATGCATCACTCAGTAGCAGGGGCTCAGGGCCCCACATTACCTGCAAAGGAGCTGGATACAAAGTAGTAGCCAGAGCTTGGAATGGGGGCTCTAGGGAGGGCCCAAATAGATGGGCACATCCCATTTCCATAATCCTTAGCAACATTCGTTTCTGCAAGGGTCTTTTGTTTTCTGAGTGGACAAAGATAAGGGCAGGCATCCTGAGTGCGCATTTCAGAAGAAGGCAAAATGGAGGATGTAGCAGTACTTCTTCGGCACCCGCTCTCTTTCTTGTACTCCTGGAGGATTCATTTATGGAATTAGATCCTCTCATTATGAAGGGAAGTTTTAAGACTGTGTCACTTTCCCTTGGATGAAACAGAAACTGTTTAAGTAAGTATATAGTCGTGCATCACTTAACGATGGGGATACATTCTGAGAAATGCATCGTTAGGCAATTTCATCATTGTGGGAACATCACAGAATGTACTCATACAAACCTAGATGGTACTGCCTACTACTCACCCGGGCTGTATGATACAGCCTTTTACTCCCAGTCTATAAACCTGTACAGGCTGTGACTGTACTGAACACTGCAGGCAACTGTAACACCACGGTAATTACGTGTGCATCGAAACATATCTAAATGTAGAAAAGGTACAGTAAAAATATGTTTCCAACTAAGGAAACCTAGAATAGCTCACTAAGGAGTTTTTTTTGCTTTTTTGTTTTTTTGTTTTTAATGAAGATTAGAAACAGTGCCTCAGCACTGAACCCAGAAAACTAGAAAAAAGAACAAAATGAAGCAAAAGTACTAATCATTAGGAAAATGATAGTGATAACTTGCATAGGGCTTGAGGCTGGCTCTCTTCTAAATAGAAGAGTCAGGGAGACATTTCTGGGGAGGTGATATTTTTAGCCAACATCTGCCACATGGAAATGAATGAAGCATGCAAAGATGCAGTGGCTTCCAGACCAGGGTTTACCAACTATTGGTTGTTATTTTAGGCCAGGTAACTCTTTGCTGGGGACTGTCCTGCACATTGTGGGACGTTTAGCAGTATCCCTGGCCTCTGCCCACTAAAGGCCAATACCATCCCCAGCTCACCCCAATTGCAACAACCAAAAATGTCTCCAGACATGGCCAAATATCCCCAGGGGAAGGGAGGGGAGCAGAGGGTGGGAGAATAACCCAAGCAGGGAAGCACCGTTCCCTAAAAACAGGCTGTATTCAAGGGCCCTGAGGTGGGAAATGGCTGAAACCTCTAGGGACCAAAAGAAAGGCTGTCAGGTGTGATGCTGGTGAGGAAGATGGTGGCAACGTGGAGAGGGGCGTTAGGTCTCCACATGCAGCCCCTTGTGGGAATTTGAGTTTCCTTCTAAGAGAAATGGGAGGCTGAGCCACTGAAGGTTTTAAAGTTGGGCAGGCCATGATCTGCTGAATGCTGGGGAATGGCCTGTAAGGGGTGTGAATGGAGGCAGAGGATCATTTAGGAGGTTCAAAGAACACCCAAGAATAGTGTTGAAGAGCTCAGCCCCTTACCAGCTGGTGAACTTCTCAGTGTCTCAGCTTCCTGGTTTGTGAAAGGGGGATGGTGATAGTACAGCTACCCTGAGGGTGGCTGTGAGGGTGAAAAGCAGCTGGTGTGGGCAATACACCCAGCACAGTGCTGACACACCACAAGCACTTTGGACGCCATGCTCTTATTATGACTGCACTAGTCCAGAAGGAGATGATGCAGGCTCTGAGTGGGACAGTGAAATCACTCCTGTGGAGGGCTACAGCTGAAGGGGCTGTGGAGTTAAAAGGGTTACTGATGGTGCAAGAGCATGGAGAGAAGTAGGCAAAAAAGAAAGCTAATAGGAGGTGAAGCACATGGGAACCACAATGGGCTAGACAAGCAGGTGCAGATGAAGACATCACAGACAACTTCAGGGGCTTGGCTTAAGCAATTGCATGCATGGGGGGTGCCATTTATGTGATGGGAAAGATTGGAGGTCAATTTAGGACATAGTAAATGATTTGATATACCCATGTGGATATATTAAGTCATGGCTAATTGATGAGTCAGAGCTCAGGGAAGAGTTCTGGACTGAAGATAGAGGTCTGCTCTTCATCTTTTACAAAGAAAACATTTAAATAATTTAATTTGAATTAAATATTTAGTAATAATAGTCAAAGGAGCTGGGCATGGTGGCTCACACTTGTAATTCCATCACTTTGGGAGGCTGAGGCTGGAGGATTGCTTGAGGCCAGGAGTTTGAAACCAGGCTGGGCCATACAGTGAGACCTCATCTCTTCAAAAAAGAAAAATTATTACTGGGTGTCGTGGCACACACCTGTAGTCCCAGCTACTTGGGAGGCTGAGGTAGGGGATCACTTAAGCCCAGGAGTTCAAGGCTGCAGCAAGCTATGATTGTGCCATGGCACACAAGTGTGGGTGACAGAGCCTATCTAATAATAATAATAATAATAATAATAATAATAATAATAATAATGGCACTCAAATTCTAAAGAATTTGTCCTACAGATAGATCAAACACATGAAATTACATTTGCATAAATCATTCATTAGAGCATTGTTTGTAATAGTATAGTTTGTAAATCACCTAAATAGCCACTGATACAGGACTGATCAAATATATAGTAATATGTCCATAAAATGGAATATTATACAACTGATAAAAATAAGTCAACTTCATATGTCCTCATACAGAATGACCCCCAAGAGACATTGTTCAGTGAAAAAAAAGCAAGAGGCAAAATAAAGTGTATAATAGACTACAATTTGTGTGCTCCCCACACCCACCAATAAAACAGATTTGCTGATATTGTTACATGCATGGAAGATTTCTGGAAGTTACACAACTGCTAACAACTGTAGCAATAGCTAGAGGACAGGAGTTGATGAAAGATTTACTTTTTATTCTATGTTCTTTCTTCCATTGTATTTGGAACCACATACATGTATTAGAATTTTTTTAAGTAAACAATTTCTTAAAAAAAAAACAAATAAAATGGCTGGGAGATGGTGAATTACTCTAGTAGCAGCAGGGAGGGAGAGACTGGAGACAGGATACCAGCTAGCAGGCTACTGCAATGGTCTAAGCAAGAGAGACAAAGACTAGGGCTAAGGCTGTGTCAGTGAGGATGGAGAGAAAGACCTGGCTCCAAGGAGCATTCTGCAGATAGAATCCAAACTTGGATGAATGACTGGATATAGGGGTGAAGATGAGAAAGGATGACTCACAGGATTTGGCTGACAAAGATTTCAGGCTTGGAGTCACTTGCCTCAGGTCTGCCCCTTCCTCCAATACCTTCTGGGAGGCTTAAAGGACAGAGATCTGCCTGGGTGAGCTGAAGACAGGGGTATCCAAGGCTGAGGTTGTACCTAGGTGAGCAGAGAGCTCCTACTGCTGCCAATTCCCACACGTGCACACATGCACGCGCGTGCACACACACACATGCACACCAGCACGTGGACTCTCAGGCTGCTCCCTATGCTCTCACCCACAGAAGTTGAAACTCACATGCTTTCCTACACAGTGCACTTTGGAAAAATGAACACCCACGACATTCTCCTTTCCTTCCTGCCAAGGAGCAGCAGAAATGCCTCTATCATAAAGAAAGTATTTCTGACTTTCTTCCTCTTCCCTATCTGGGAGTTGAATTTCCCCTCACTTTGGAGCAGCCCGACCCAGAGTAGCTGCAGCATGCTTCATTTGCATTCTGCTACTACTAATTGAAGCCAGCTGGCAAGGGACGTTTGGGGGAATTGTCGGCTTCTTTGGAAGGTGGTGGGGATGCTACAGCTCGTATATCAGGGAGCAGCGGCTTGCTTACAAAGCACTTTTGCTGGTGATGGGTCCTGGACAGTTGAGGTGGAAGTGGCCTCGGACAACCGTGGGATCTCTGCTTGTATATTTTTTCTTCAAAAGACATTAAAAAAAAAAAAAGCTAACTCCTCACATTCCACAAGGATGAGTCTTGCTTATTCCCTAGGCGTAGCTGTCCCTGCCAAAAAAAAAAAAAGCTAATTCATTTTCTCTTTGCTGGAGAGACTGAATCAGTCTCGGGGGGCTATCCTCACCTCTCACACAGCCCTGTCTGGCTCTCCCTTAGCTTGGTGCACACTGAGAACAGCTGAGCTCAGCCAAGCCGAAACCACAAGGTTGAAGCTGACAGTCCGAGCGCCCCACACCTCATGCCTGGAGTGTCCATGCCAGATGCTGCTGCCCAGTCGGCAGGCACAAGGAGGATCTCACCAGGAGGCAGGCCCCGGTTTCCACAGAAGACGCTGGCCGTCTCTCAGCCACCCTGCAACCCACCTCCCAGGCCAGCCCCTCGGGAGAAGGGACCCTGTGGGCCTCAAGCAGCCGCTGCTCATTTACAAAGCTCCTCTTTGCTTTGCAGCCTCCATCTTGTCTCCCCACTCACTCCTCAACCCATGACTATATTAACCATGTCTTTTATTTTCTCTATTATGACGTTTTACCATCTGAGGTGACTGTCCCTCCCACGGTTAGCCAATTCATAGAGATCGGAGATAACTCTCCCACCCAACCAGTCCAGAGAGCACGCTCCAAACACCTCTATTGACTCTCACACTCAGAGCCACCAGCCACCTGCCCTGATTGCCCAAGGCCAGGTTCCACACAACTAGGACAGCCCCTATGCCCAGAGCCCACTGCAATTATTCAACATAGCCAATCCTAAGCCTGCTCACCCTGCCTTGCCCATTTGTTCCCTTGAAAACCACAATGAAGGTGCCCGCCCACAACTGCCCCCTCCCCCTGTGCCTCCTGACCGACCCAGTGCTTCCCAGTGACCCCCACCATGTGGCGTGCCCCCTACTCGGGATCTACGAGTTTAACAAATCATCTTTTCAATGGAGGCCGCCTCCTGCCCTGCGGCCCTTGCTGTACCTAATAATAAAAACTGTATCTTGAAACAATGACTTCAGACCTCAGTTACCACTGTTCTGAAACTGTCCTCACCAGGTGACCTCCTGTTGCCAAATCTAATGGATAGGATACATTTTTGTCTGTACTTCACACCGCTGACCACACCCTCACTGAACTCGCCTGTTTCTGTGGCTTCGCCCTCTCCTCATTCTCCATCCTTCTGGCCACCTCCTCAGACTCCTCAGCTGCAACCACTCCCTTAAGTGTCAGCGCTCTTTGGGGTCCTGTCCTGGGTTCTGTTTTCTTCTAGGTCTACACATGCTCCCGGGGTGCTCATTACCACCTACTTGCCAACAACCAGCAGTTAACCTCTCCTCTCCTCCGACCTCGCTCCTCAGCTCTGGCCTGAACCTCTCCATGTGCACATCCCACAGGCTCTCAAGCTCAACGTGGCCAGCACTGAATACATGATCTTTTGCACTGAAGCTGCTTCCTCTCTCTGATCCTTCAGAGTAGCCAACCCCAAAATCTCAGAGTCCTTGTGATGCCTCCCAAAGACATCCAGGAAGGCACTGAACATCCCCTGACTTGGGTCTCTCCCATCTGCCCCACCTTCTCCACCTCCACTGCTCCTGCCCCATCTCAGACCCTCATCCCCCTCACTGATGCAGCTCCCAGGTGCACTTCACACCTCCACCCTTGTTTCTGGGGCTCCCTCTGTCAGGAATGCCTTTCTTCCCCTTTCCAGAAAACAACCACTGCTTTCTCCCAAACCCTTCTTTGAATTCCCTCCTTCTTGCCTCATGGGCAGCACCTATGATACTTGAATGCCCTTACTCCTTATATTTATCCAAAAATATTTATTGTGTGACTCTACTTTGTGCCAGGACCTGGAAGCCCCTGAGCTACAGCAGCAAATAAGACGGATATGGGTCTTGACCCCAAGGAAGTGTGCGTCACATCACCCTCTCTCCCAGAAGCCACCTTCCGCCTCCCCACCTCTGCGCTGAGTGCACCGCAGGGCAAAGAACCACAGGCAGGAGAGGATTCATGGGGCCCTCCAGTCACTCGCCATGCTGCCCCCACAGTAATCTTTCTTTTTTTTTTTTAAATTTTTTTTTTTTTGAGACAGAGTCTCACTCTGTCGCCCAGGCTGGAGTGCAGTGGTGCGATCTCAGCTAACTACAACCTCCGCCTCCCAGGTTCAAGTGATCCTTGTGTCTCAGCCTCCCGAGTAGCTGGGACTACAGGCGCCTGTCACCTCAACTGGCTAATGTTTGTATTTTTAGGAGAGATGGGGTTTTGCCACATTGGCCAGGCTGGTCTGGAACTCCTGACCTCAGGTGATCTGCCCATCTCAGCCTATTGAAGTGCTGGGATTACAGGCATGAGCCACTGCACCCAACCTCCCAGAGTAATCCTTCTAAAAAATACACCTATCCAGCCATTTCACACTCTTCCTGTAAGCCTGTCATGATGCCTCATTATCCAAGTCCAGACAGACAAGGACTTCCTCGACTGCCTCTTCCCCATTTCTCCATCATCCTCTCTCAGCCTTCACCGCCACGAGAAATAAAACTGCCTGTTTTTTCCTGCCTCTGCTTTGCTTTGCTGTATTTCTGTTCCTTTGCTCACGCTGCCTCCTCTGTCTTAGATCCTCTCCCCTCTCCTCGCCTGGTTTCTTAGTTAGCTATTGTTCTGTAACAAATCACCCCAACTAGTAACCAAAGGCAGCTTTTCTGTGGGTCAGCAGTTTGGTCAGGGAACAGCTCCATACGGGATTTGCTGGGCTCACTCCTGCATGTGTGGCCAGGTGACAAGTGGGCTGGACACTGGGTGATCCTGGAAAGGCTCACTCAGTGATGGGCAGCTCCCAGATTGGGGCGGGGGATGGTAGCCACAGCACTTCTGTTCAGGTCTCTCCACTGTGACCAGCTCGAGCTTCCTCACAGAGCCCCGGGGTCCTTGCCTAAGATGGCAAGCACTGAGGAAATCGCTTGCACCACGTTTGCTGAACTCCTGTTGGCCAAAACATGTCTTATGGCCAAGCCAGAGTCAGTGTGAAAGAGGCATGACTGGCTGAGGGCATTAATGTGGCACTCCACCACAGTTTGCTCTCTACTCCTAAAGATGCTCTGTCCTCCCACTTGTAAAATACACCCACCCTTCCCAAAGCACCCAATCACGACATCAGGCTCCAAGACCATGATCTCAAAATGTGCAGTAGGTCTGGCTGTGGCTGAGTCTCCTTGGGTACAACTCCTCAGGGGTGGCTCCTCTTCACTCAGGGACCTGTGAGCTAAAAAGACAAGACCACACGCCCAATGTACAATGGTGACACAGGGACAGGATAAGCTCAATAGATACTCCCATCAAAACGGGAGAAATGAGAGGCACATAGATAGCAATCACTAGTTCAAAGCAATTCTGAAATCCAGGCAGGCACATGTCATCAGGATCCCTATGCTAGAGGCAGGGAATGTTACTTGAACAGGACCCAGTTCTCCCTGGCTCTTAGTTACACTCTCTGGGCTGTTGGTTTTGCCTTCCAAGAGATCCTTCTTTTCCCTAAGAGAAGGACCTCTGTATAGGGGCCAGCTTCCTGCCCATAGAAAGTTGGACGCCCAGAGGCTTCTTTTCATTTTGAACTGTTTCAGTTCCTTTTACTCCAAACTGGCGGAGCTTTTGCCAATACAATACTCCTTAAAACTTTATGGGTTTTCTGTGAATATTACTGGGGTCTACTTCATGCACCCAAAGCCACACACATAATTAATTTCAAAAAGACTCCATTTCAGCTATAGGACAATGCGTTTTTTTTTTTTTTTTAGGCAGGGCCTTGCTCTGTTGCCCATGTTGCCCAGGCTGGGGTGCCTCACTGAAGCCTCAACCTCTCAGGCTCAAGAGATCCTCCCACCTCAGTCTCCCAAGTATCTGGGACCACAGGCACGTGACACCACACCCAGCTAGTTTTTTATTTTTTGTAGAGATGAGGTCTCATTATGTTGCCCAGGCTGATCTCAAACTCCTGGGTTCAAGTGATTTTCCTGCCTTGGCCTCTCAAAGTGCTGAGATTACAGGCATGAGCCACTGTGCCTGGCAAGGACAATGTCCTTAACATTCTTAGAAACCCTTCTGTCTTGTCAAGAAGGTCTAATGAACACCATTTAAATCTCCTGGGGTCTTAACGAAGGTTGTAAAATCGTACCCTTGATTTAATCTCTACCTTTAGGCCAGTTCTAGTTTTGAGAGCCCATTGCCTGATACTGAAACTGGCAATGAGATCTGGTTTTCTTTTCCACCTAACAAACTGAGCAGGTCCTTTTGTAGCTCAGCTCTCTTGTAATACTTTATCATGCCAACTAGAAGCACCCAAATGACACTTGGAGCATTCTGTCTCCAGGTCCCTTTAGCCAAATCTACAAATTCATTAAGCACTTCTTCTGTTGTCTAAGTTGCCACGAGAAATTTTGTTTTTGCCAGTTGTTTCACCACTACCTGAGTCACCCTTGTTCCAGCCACCAAAGAGTCCCTCCTTACTTGAAATTGCCTGGAGCCAGGCATGGTGGCTGCAGGTGGATAGCCAGATGTTTTCCATGTTGGCTCCAAGAGTGAGTGTTCTGGCAAAAAGGATAGAAGCTATGTGGCCTTCTAAGGCCTCAGTGCAGAAGTCTCTTAGCATCACATCTGTCCTACTCTATTAGCTGAAGCAGTCACAAGCCCACTGAGATTTAAGACAAGGGGACATAGATGTCACCTCTTTTTTTTTTTTTTTTTTGAGACGGAGTCTCGCTCTGTCGCCCAGGCTGGAGTGCAGTGGCTGCCATCTCGGCTCACTGCAACCTCTGCCTCCCAGGTTCACGCCATTCTCCTGCCTCAGCCTCCCGAGTAGCTGGGACTACAGGCACCCGCCATCACGCCCGGCTAATTTTTTATATTTGTAGTAGAGACGGGGTTTCACTGTATTAACCAGGATGGTCTCGATCTCCTGACCTCATGATCCGCCCACCTCAGCCTCCTAAAGTACTCAGATTACAGGCATGAGCCACCGCGCCCGGCCTAGATGTCACCTCTTGATGAAGGAATGTCAAAGAATTTGTGTCCACATTTTAGAATCACCACGGTAGCCTTATCTGGGTGGCTCATTTCTCTTCTGTATGGCATCACTTGGAATTACACATGCTTTTGTGGTCCCATGACAGGTCACATGCCTGTGTGGTCCCATGGCAGGTCACAGGCCTGTGTGGTCCCATGGCAGGTCAACTGGGGGCTGGCAGATCCCAAATGGTGATTGATGTAAACTGAGATAGTTCAGACTCCCTCAAGTGGCAACTGAACTCCAAAAAAGCAAGCTCCAACGTACAAACATTTCACAAGCTTCTGCTTTCATCACATTTGCTGATGGCCCATTGGCCAAAGCAAGGCACGTGGCCAAGCCCAGAATCAGCACGGAAGGGATTACACAAAAGCATGGACACCGGGCGGGGGGGGGCATGACTCACTGGAGGCCATTGATGTGACAGTCTACCATACCTGGGCAACTCCCATTTATCTTTAAAAGCTCAGTTCATGCCTGGCCTCCAAGAAGCCCTCTCTGACAGATTGGGTCATCACCTGTCCCTCCTCTGGACTCCCACAGTACCCTTTACACGTCTCTACCTCTGTGTCTACCCTCTTTTTTCTAATTATCTATGTATCATTTCTGTTTCCCCCATTGGAACAAGCCTTTGAGATGGTGTTCTACTAATCTTTGTATACCTAGCGTCTAGCCCCGTGCCTTGGAACATTATTGGTACCAATAATGTCTTAATTATTTGGTCAATTAAACCATCCATGAATAAAGTTTTTAAAATAACTATCAAAGATTAAAGTGTCTCCATTGGTGCCTTCTCTCAACTTCTGCCCTGCATTCCAAGAAATAATGTTTAGTTTGTATTTGTCACATTCTCCAACCAAATATGCAGTTCTTCAGGGAGCTGACCTTGCTCAGGAAGTTGACCTCGACTAGAGGTTAGGAGAGGTAGCGGAGTGTAGAGCAGCAGTTCCAAGATATTTTAATTTCATAGACTTAGTCACATTTCCAAAGAAGTGTGAGGGTTAACAGGAAGTTACCAATTTTCTTTTTTTTATATATAAAGTAGGACATTAAAAACCACACATACACACATATCAATACCACCATCTCTTCAGAAAAATGGAAAGGTATAACCTTAGAATGAAAGTATAGGAAAGGCAGGTGTATAGTCTCAATTAGTCAAAGATTAGAGCTCAGTATTATGGCTGCCTTGATATCAGGGAGACCTCAAATGGCCTAATTACAAGATCCCCTCCCTACTTTGCTGATGAGGTCCCCCAGCCAAACCACCCTCCTTATTGTGGGGGCCAGGCACAATTTCTGCTTAACCCTGAGTACTGGGCTTCAGCACCCTGCCAGCCCACAGAATTATGCAAACAGCCAATCACATTCTCTTACAGGAAACGGGGGCATTCCACCGTTTTGACATTACAAAGCCTGCCTCCCACAGCTCCTGGTAATACCTGTTTCTGAGTGCAACTCCCATGAAGCAGTTCATGGCGTGCAGTGTTATCCTCCCAGGTATGAGCATATGTGACTAATAAACTGCTATTGCTCTCATTCGTCCAGTGTTGAGGTCATGTGATCCCCCTAACTTTAGGGGATGGGAATCTCTCCCTCATCAACAGGGTGAAGAACATAAAATCAAAACAAGGTGATAACCTGACAGCTATGTTCAGAGTACCCCGGACTGTCCTCGTTTTACTTATTTCACCGTGAACCAGGGAAATGAGTCTAGCAGAGATCTGAGGGTCCGCCCTGGGAGCACTGGAGAGCACAGTGGGAACATGGAGTCAGGAGACTTAAGATCTAATAGTCCAGACCATGCTTCAAAATATTTGTCTGACCTTGACAAATCATTACCTTTCTCGGGCCTCAAGTCCCAGCTATAAAATAGTGGGGCAAGCCAGGTGCAGTGGCTCCCACCTGTAATCCCAGCATTTTGAGAGGCCAGGCGGGAGGATTACTTGAGCCCAGGAGTTCAAGATCAGCCTGGGCAACATGGTGAGATCCCATCTCTACAAAAAAAAAAAAAAAAAATTAATTAGCTGGGCATAGTGTCAAGTGCCTATTGTCCCAGCTACTCAGGAGGCTGAGGTAGGAGGATCACTTGAGCCCAGGAGGTCAAAGCTTCAGTGAGTGGTGATTGCACCACTGCACTCTAGCCTAGGCAACAGAGTGAGACCCTGGCTCAAAAATAAAATAAAATAAAATTTAAAAGATGGGACCACTGTAGTCACCTCTGTGATTCTAGAAAGACAATCTGATGAAATGAGGGAATGGCTGGCAGTCCCTAGGTCATGCTAAAGGACTGTGTGTTTTTAGAAGAGTTTTTATCCCCATATGTTTCTGGGTGGGAAAACAGGAGATGGTGGGAAAAGAGAGATCTAAGAGACCAACAGGGCAGCCGCAGTCTTCTGGCAGGAAGTCTTGCCTTAGCTGGATTCCTCTAAAGCCTTGCTGGTTTCAGCACTCCGATCCTATCCACAGTAAATGGAGTTTTAAAATCTCCTCCCTCCACCACCTTGTGCTCTATCCCCTGACCTCAGATGTCTAATCAGAGCCATTAATTCCATCCAATCAGAGATCTTGCTTGGCAGACACAGAATTGCCACACCTTCTACAGTCTATACTCCCCTCCCCTGCCTAAAAGCAAGGTGCTTGGGGACCCAGAAATTAGGCCAGGTCCTCATAACCTTATCAAAATAGCACTGCTAGGCCTTCCACCCAGCAACACTCAGAGACAGGGCCAAAGAGTGGGAAACGGAGCATCCAGGGCCTCAGCCAGCAGAGCCCAGATGCCTTCTGCAGTTAAGATCCCTGGACTCAGAATCAGAAAGCTGTTAAGCAGGAAGGAGTGCGCTGCCATGAAGAGGCAGACAGAAGCCAGAGCCAGTGTGTCTGGAATGCATCAGGTAGATGAATGGGAAGATGGCTGGGATGGAGTTGGAGGGAGGAGGGAAGTCAGCAGCCAGGGGCCAGGACATTCATGGCCTTAAAAAGTATCCTACAAACAAGAAGCCAGGTTAGCTCACCTATGAAGAGGGACAGTCTTACCAGATCATGTGTTAGAGTCCCCAGATCCTGGGGAGCGTGAGAAAAGTGCAGACTCAGCTGGCTCTAGTACTAGATTAAGGAGGTCCTAGGTGGGCAAGGCCAGCTGCATTTTTCATAAAATGCCCTAGAAACCTCTGCAGTTTACCAAAGTGAATAGCTCCTTTGGACTTAACCATCTGCAAGGCTCATTCCAGTTAGAGTGTTCCATCACCCTAAATGCTGGGAAACCAAGCGAATCTCCTCCCACTTGCAAGCTTCCAACAGTGGCTTCCAACAGTGCCACTGCAGTATCAGAAACTGCAGGGAAGGTGCCAGGGCTGACTTCCATGAAGAAATAGGAGAACAGGCAGGCAGACATTGGGGAGGCCCACAGAATGTCGTGATCAGAATTCATAAAGAGGCTGGCAGGATACAAATCAATCAAATAAACGTTAGTTCAAAAAAATTCACTACACCTGTGAGTGAGAGAAAGTCATCAGCACTGTCTCTAAAAATGAGCCTAGGGCTTCTGGTGACATCCAATCGGTGGGTTATCAGGAGTGCCCCAGGTGATCAGGAGTTGGCCTCGACTCAGTCCTTTTTGTGCTGTCTCCTCCTCTTTCCCAGAGTTCCTCTCTCTCTTCTCCCACTAGGCAGGGATGAGCAAGAGGAATGGCTCACCCTTGAGAGCTGGGGTCCATAGCCCAGGTCAGTTCTCCAGCTCTCCCACTTACCAGCCAAGACAGGAGGTGAGGATTGAGATGGGATGAACCCAGCAGGCGGCCATGGGTTAAAGGTCGCCATGAATGTAATGTGCCCAGCACAGTGCCTGCTAAAAGGCAACACTCCCTTCCTGGTCTGAAGACCAAACAAGCAGACTGTACTCAGGAAAGCCAGAAGAACCTTCCAGCTGTCTGGACCAGAAGGTGCCAGCCCAGGGGCTGAAGAAGACGTAATGCCCAGAGCAAAAAGCGCCTGCAGCCCCCTGAAGGGCTGGGTGCTCTGGAATAGATGAGGGGGCGAAATGGGGCTGGGGACCAGGGACGGACAGGGTGGGTCCAGCACCTGCCTCGCTTCCGAAGGGCTGCTCCAACACTGAAAAACACCCAACCAGCTTCCTTTCAGAAAGACTGGAATATTCCAAAACTTCTCACTGGAGGCTCCGGAGGAGGTGGGCTCCAGCTGAAAAGGAAATGTGGAGGCGTGGGCGCTCCCGGCCTGCATCCTGCACCTCTTACACTTTGGTTTTCCCACAGACTCCTGAAGAATAGGTCAGAAGAAAGGGTTAAAGCCTTAAAAGGGGAACAACCATTGCGGGGCTCAGGGAGGAGGATAATGTTCTTTGGGCTGCCGCACCCTGATCCCCGGGGTCCCGAACCCTCCCGTCCCTGGCCAGGCCTGCCAGCCACAGGGTGAGGGCCCCCTTCCGCCGCAACCTGCCACTCTCACACCAATGCGGGACCGCCTTCTCTTCCTTCCCCACCCCCCACCCCACCCTGCCGTCCTTTCTCCCCCAATCTCCGCCTCTGATTGGCTGAGCCCCCGGCTCCCCGCTCCCCCTCTCCTCCATCCCCGGTGAAAACTGCGGGCTCCGAGCTGGGTGCAGCAACCGGAGGCGGCGGCGCGTCTGGAGGAGGCTGCAGCAGCGGAAGACCCCAGTCCAGGTGGGAACTGGAGCCGGTGGGACCTGGGGCTCGGGGACCGCCGTCAGGCGCCCATGCAAGACTTCCCAACACTAGGCTTCGGGCCACGGTCCGAGGGCGCCCAGGGAAGAAGGGCGCAGAGCTTAGGGAGGGGCCTGCTTTCCAGGCAGGGGCGGGAGGGGGATGCTTCTGCAGGGCAGGGGCCGCGTGGCACCCTGATGTCTTTCGGGGAAGGCGCTCCCGGGCTTTCGCCCGCTGGGGGACTGGTGTCTGGGGCTGGGGCGCTGGAGAACAGGGAGGAAGGGCACCAAGGACAGCCTGTGGGTCTACATTCCACCCAGACGTCCCCAAACCCAGCTCGCAGAGGCGGGGAGGAGGACGGATGAAACTGCGGGGAGAGGATGGAGGATGGCGAGCTAGAGGGAATCTGCCGGGTGACCTCGCGGCGGGCTGGGTGCGGGGCACCGGAGGAGAAGGAAGCCGCAGTGCCGCAGGCGGGGACTGGGTGGAAGGCGGGCGGACGGGGGAGGGGAGAGCTGGAAAAGGATGAGAGAGGGGGAAGGGGGACTCATTTGGGAAAGGAGAGGATTGGAATACGGAAATGGATTAAGGATGAGGCCCGCCGGGGGCTTGAGAGGGAGGAAGAGCAGACCTTCTCTGGGTCTGGAGCCGCCTGAGGACACAGACCAGAGGAAATGAATACAGACTGCACCTCCCCAGCCGCTCTCCACCCCTCCCCTGGCTCTTCTACCCTCTCCAGCCCCAGACCCATTTCTTCCCTTTCTTGCTCTGGCCATTGCTCCCCCTTCCCCTCCTAGATCCCAAGCCCGCACAACATCTCAAACAAGAGTCCTCGATTCAAAAGCCAGATGCCGACCCCCCTTCCTCCTGGATCTGGCTCAGGGCAGCAGCTCCACCCCGGGACAGAGAGAGCATTGATTGTAGCTGCAGCCGCCGCGGGATCCTAGCCTCACCCGTCAAGGGGCTGAGCGCCAGGGACCCTGAACTCGTCTAGTGGTGCGCCCTGCGCACCCGGGCGCACTCAACCGAGGCAATGCCCTGCGCGCTCTCGCGGGTGCACGCCCCTTCTGTGGCCTCTCCTGGGCGAGCACTGCTCTGCAGATAGGCTAGACTACCGGCTCCGCGTCGCCTCGCCAAGGGTTGGTTCAGCCAAGGCTGCAAAAAACAAAAAAAGACCAGGCAGACAGCCTATCCAGGGTGGCTATTGAAACTGGGCTGGAAAACTGCAGTCCCAGGAACTCCAGAGAGCTGGACATTGGGAAGCATCCTTGGCTCACATACAATCGGAGATCACTATGTCTTTCTCTCCTCCAGGAACACGATTAGCTTGTGTCCTATCCAGATAGGAATAGATGCTCCCTATCTGGGAGCATCCTTAGCTATGGTGAATGGTATCTAGCCATCCACTGGGGATGGCGAGTGACTTAGGGATTTGTGTCTCACGTATATGAAGCAGTCATCGCCAGATGTTGGTTGTTTTTCTTAACCCCCATCATAACCCGGTGGGTATGTAAGATTCAGAGAGATTCATTCATTCATTCACAATAAATATCTTTGGAGTGTATGCTATATGCCAGTAATCTGCAAACGGAAACGGTTTTGAGCATTGGGGATTTTCTTCTGAACAGGAAATGGGAAGTCCCTAAATGGGGAGTCTTTGTTTAACAGATACAGAGTTTTACTTTGAAAGACAAAAAGAGTTCCGGAGATGGGCTGCATAGCAACGTGAATGTATCCAGCACTGCTGAATATACTGAATTTAAGTACTGAATTTAAATGGTTAAAATAGTAATTATTATGCTTTTTGTATTTTACCACGATTAAATTTTTTTTTTAAATACGAAGCCTCAGCCCTCATAGGTCTTATATTACCATACACTATGTTAATGTAAGAAGAGGAGAAAGAGTGGTAAAGTTACTTAAAGTCACCCAGCTAGTAAGTGCTCCATGGCCAAGCGCAGAAACACACCGTGACTGGGCTTGTTCTCCCTCCTTCCTTGCTTTCCCTGAGCAGGAAAGAGCCAGTGGCAGTATCATGTTCAGTGAGATGCAGGGACGAGAGGGGGAATGGAGAGAGGGACTTAGATGACTGCCATAGCCACTATGCCATGTTCCCAGGGACCCCCAGCCCTGGTGGTAAGTGTGGCACAGCTTGGCTGATTCCCATCCTGTTCCCACCCCAGATCCAGGACTGAGATCCCAGAACCATGAACCTGGCCATCAGCATCGCTCTCCTGCTAACAGGTACCCGGCATGGGGCAGGACTGGGGCTCCAGGCGCCCTGGCTTCCTTCCCTCCAGAGAAGCAGCTTCTCCCTCACAGTCTCAGAAAAGCGCAGGTGACAAAGAGAGGGCTCTTTTTCATCCTGAAGTCAGCCAATCCACCGCGCTGATATTCTGACGGCCTGAGGTGGTTTTTGAAAACACAGTTTGCTGAGCCCTCCTTCACACTATTGAACTAGAATCCCCAACTGAGAACCCGGAACCAGCATCAACTCCCTAAGATCTCCTGTCCTTGAAACACATTGATAGGATCCAAGGCTCAAGCAGAGTGGGGAGGGAGGCTGGGGTCTGCAAAGGAGAAGTGGGATCCCTGGGGTGGGGAAAGGCACTCAGAGAGCAGACCCCGGTCCCCTCCCTAGCCAGGCCCATCTCTCCACTTCAGGTGGGTGGGAGGCCCCTGTGCCGCAGGCCCCTCCAGTTTGAAGGAGGCACTGCTGGTGCCAGTCTTGCAGGTCTCCCGAGGGCAGAAGGTGACCAGCCTAACGGCCTGCCTAGTGGACCAGAGCCTTCGTCTGGACTGCCGCCATGAGAATACCAGCAGTTCACCCATCCAGTACGAGTTCAGCCTGACCCGTGAGACAAAGAAGCACGTGCTCTTTGGCACTGTGGGGGTGCCTGAGCACACATACCGCTCCCGAACCAACTTCACCAGCAAATACAACATGAAGGTCCTCTACTTATCCGCCTTCACTAGCAAGGACGAGGGCACCTACACGTGTGCACTCCACCACTCTGGCCATTCCCCACCCATCTCCTCCCAGAACGTCACAGTGCTCAGAGGTGAGACAAGCCCCTAACAAGGTCAAGTGAGCTGGGAGAGCCAGGCTCGGGGACAGCAGGCAGTTCCCTTGGCTGGACTAGAGAGGAGAATAGCCCCATAACGCTCTCACCCTCTCCCAACTGCTGCCTGGTCAACTGGGGAACCATTGCCTTCGGTGTGAATGGGGTGAAGAGCTCAGGGCCAGACAGGCAGAGCAGTGTGGTTCCACCAGAACTGTGGGCAAGGCCTTTGGCCTCCCTAATCTTCCTTCTCCCAGCGGGAAAACAGGGATGACACCACCTCCCTCAGCCAGTTTTCTTGTCATGATGTTTAGTAAGGTTTTCATAAGATGATATGTGTGCAAGAGATCAGTAATCTGCAAATGGGAAAGATGGCTGGTTCTGTGAGACCGGGCTGTTCCTGGTCCCAGCTAAGACATTGCAGTACCCACCTCCCAAAGGGAGTACACCCTTGCTTTGGGCCTGTGCCTGCCTGAGTCCTGATCCGTCTTCCTTCCTACCCTGCCCCCGGCCCCCTTCTCTTTCTGCAGACAAACTGGTCAAGTGTGAGGGCATCAGCCTGCTGGCTCAGAACACCTCGTGGCTGCTGCTGCTCCTGCTCTCCCTCTCCCTCCTCCAGGCCACGGATTTCATGTCCCTGTGACTGGTGGGGCCCATGGAGGAGACAGGAAGCCTCAAGTTCCAGTGCAGAGATCCTACTTCTCTGAGTCAGCTGACCCCCTCCCCCCAATCCCTCAAACCTTGAGGAGAAGTGGGGACCCCACCCCTCATCAGGAGTTCCAGTGCTGCATGCGATTATCTACCCACGTCCACGCGGCCACCTCACCCTCTCCGCACACCTCTGGCTGTCTTTTTGTACTTTTTGTTCCAGAGCTGCTTCTGTCTGGTTTATTTAGGTTTTATCCTTCCTTTTCTTTGAGAGTTCGTGAAGAGGGAAGCCAGGATTGGGGACCTGATGGAGAGTGAGAGCATGTGAGGGGTAGTGGGATGGTGGGGTACCAGCCACTGGAGGGGTCATCCTTGCCCATCGGGACCAGAAACCTGGGAGAGACTTGGATGAGGAGTGGTTGGGCTGTGCCTGGGCCTAGCACGGACATGGTCTGTCCTGACAGCACTCCTCGGCAGGCATGGCTGGTGCCTGAAGACCCCAGATGTGAGGGCACCACCAAGAATTTGTGGCCTACCTTGTGAGGGAGAGAACTGAGCATCTCCAGCATTCTCAGCCACAACCAAAAAAAAATAAAAAGGGCAGCCCTCCTTACCACTGTGGAAGTCCCTCAGAGGCCTTGGGGCATGACCCAGTGAAGATGCAGGTTTGACCAGGAAAGCAGCGCTAGTGGAGGGTTGGAGAAGGAGGTAAAGGATGAGGGTTCATCATCCCTCCCTGCCTAAGGAAGCTAAAAGCATGGCCCTGCTGCCCCTCCCTGCCTCCACCCACAGTGGAGAGGGCTACAAAGGAGGACAAGACCCTCTCAGGCTGTCCCAAGCTCCCAAGAGCTTCCAGAGCTCTGACCCACAGCCTCCAAGTCAGGTGGGGTGGAGTCCCAGAGCTGCACAGGGTTTGGCCCAAGTTTCTAAGGGAGGCACTTCCTCCCCTCGCCCATCAGTGCCAGCCCCTGCTGGCTGGTGCCTGAGCCCCTCAGACAGCCCCCTGCCCCGCAGGCCTGCCTTCTCAGGGACTTCTGCGGGGCCTGAGGCAAGCCATGGAGTGAGACCCAGGAGCCGGACACTTCTCAGGAAATGGCTTTTCCCAACCCCCAGCCCCCACCCGGTGGTTCTTCCTGTTCTGTGACTGTGTATAGTGCCACCACAGCTTATGGCATCTCATTGAGGACAAAGAAAACTGCACAATAAAACCAAGCCTCTGGAATCTGTCCTCGTGTCCACCTGGCCTTCGCTCCTCCAGCAGTGCCTGCCTGCCCCCGCTTCGCTGGGGTCTCCACGGGTGAGGCTGGGGAACGCCACCTCTTCCTCTTCCCTGACTTCTCCCCAACCACTTAGTAGCAACGCTACCCCAGGGGCTAATGACTGCACACTGGGCTTCTTTTCAGAATGACCCTAACGAGACACATTTGCCCAAATAAACGAACATCCCATGTCTGCTGACTCACCTGGCTGGAACAACATGCTTACTGCCAACATGTGGGCCGAACCACATGGCCCTGGCTCTGGAATGCACAAGTGGCTTTGCGTGAATCTGCGCTAAGCTATGCAGTCTGCTTTTTCTTCTCAGCTCTGGTAGTTCTTCAGAAATGTACCCTCCAGGCACATCCACTATTGCGAGGGTGAGCACGAAGGGTGGGAGATGCCCATGTCCTCAAGGCATCACTTCCTAAATCCAAAAGCATCGGCAGGAGAAAGGACTGGGGACAAATACTGTCCCTTCGGGAGTAGGGAGGGAACACTGAGGCCCATCCCTGGCTCCTTCCCTAAAAGTAGAGTAAAATGGAAGCGAGCATCCTGGGATTGGGGGCAAGAGGGGGACCGCAGGGTAGCTGTGGGTTCCAACTGCTGTCAGAGTCAGAGAGGCAGCCCCAAGCCAGCCTCCCTGCTTTGCCAGGGAATTTGGGGGAGGAAGGTGACAGCTGCCCAGAGGCTGACTCATCTGATATTTAGCACTGGGTAGGATGATTGTTTCTGAGCATTTTTCTTAAAGGCCTCAGATCTAAATTATGCCACCGGCTCCCACTCTTGCTACCTCCCGTCAACTTCTCTGCCTTGCCTTCCACCCCTGTAGTTACCATACACAGAGGAGGAGGAGCTGTCCTTGTCCCAGGTTGGGAGGCTGACAACCCCTTAGCAAGATGCTGCCAGCCCAGAGCTCTCCAAGGGGAGGAACACCCCTGAGACTCAGGCCCCTCTCCTTCAGCCCTGCTTGGGCTGCAAGCGCCGTGCCAAGGAAAGGCATCTTGGTGAGAAGAGCTGCTGTGGGGGAAGGGAGATCAAATGCCAGAGAAATGTGGGGTGCCCCACCCTCAGGATAGTAAAAGAGTATGGAGGTATTTCTGGAAGGAAATGAGCGGCACTGTGTGAAGCCTCGCACCTGTGTGACACTTCCTATGGGGTCTTTGTCACACTCTAGTACTATGTCCCTGAAGAGTTTAGCAGCCACACTCTTAGAAGGGTGCTGGGAGATGGTGTTGCCCTCTGCAGCCATGTTTAGGGGAGCGGAACCTGAGGCCCACAGTGGGTGAGATTAGCTCAAGAAGCCACAGAGGCCACCAGAGGGCCACGGACTTCGGAAAGGAGAAGAGAAGAACAGGGCATCAGGCCTCACAACGCAAACCTACCCAGAGATGGGCACAGTGGCTCATGCCTGTAATCCCACCACTTTGGGAAGAGGCGGATCGCTTGAGGTCAGGAGTTCGAGACTAGCCTCGAAACCCTATCTCTACTAAAAATACAAAAATTAGCCAGGCATGGTGGCCTGCGCCTGTAATCCCAGCTACTCAGGAGGCTGAGGCAGGAGAATCACTTGAACCCGGGAGGCGGAGGTTGCAGTGAGCCAAGATTGCACCACTGCACTCCAGCCTGGGAGATAGAGTGAGACTCCATCTCAAAAAAATAAAAAATAAAATAAACCTACCCGGAATGACCATGCTGAGGACTGGGAGCCCGCAGACTTTCAGCCACAGGCCGCGACAGCCGTGGGTCCCTCCCTGGTCAAGTCAGCAGGCCTTGTGGAGGCTGTGGGGTATCTGTGGTGACTCAGGTAATTATAGAGGGCTGGCCCCCAGCCCTGGTTCCTGTACACATGCCCCAACCCCATCCCCATCCACTCCCTCGCCAGTCCTAACCTCTTTCCTGGGTCCCCCCCCTTCAGCACCTAAGTCCATACCTAGGGCCGTGGAATTCCCGCTCAAGAGCAACAGAAGCCCCTCTCTGCACCCCCATTTCTGGACTGGATTGTCCACTGAGACGCGCAATGTCTGCATCTCTGACATCTAGAGGCTTCCTCGGGAAGGGCATGGGGATCTCCGTGAGATGTGGGGACTTTCACTGGCCAACCAAGAAATCTACACAGCGTCCGGGGACCTGTGACACACATCCCTCCCGCCTCCTCAACCTGATGTCCCTCTCTGAATCTGCAGCTTTCGTGCTGTGAAGGTGTCTTTACATGTGAAACAAACAAACCCAAGTCAAGAGTAAATCATCTCATTTACTAGTGAGAAAATGTTGGAGCTGGAGTCCTTCAGAGAGTCCTGGCCAGGCAAGAGGGCCATCAGCTCTCTTCTGCTCAACAGGGGCTCTCAGCCTCAGGACACTCTCAGGCCTGGAATGTCCCCAACACACTCAAGGAGAAACATGTCCTGTGCAGACCCACAGGAGGCATCTTTGCCCGGCACAAGGAAGAGCTGGGGTCAGTGGGACCTGTAGATGTAGACACATCATATGGAGGGTGGGTAGGACCAATGTGGCAGCTTCATGGAGGCCAAGTGTGGCTCTGCACCAGGAAGGGGCTGTGATGGCTGGAGGTGCCCAGCAGTGCAGGCGGGGAGTGCCTGGCAGTGGCGTGGCCAGGTGGAGGCCACCTGTCAAGTTTGCAATAAAGCAGTTTCCTGAATTTGGTGAGAACATGGACTAGAGGACTCTAGCCTCTTCCCCCTTTAGGGTTTCACTTCAGTAAGTCTTAAAATTAGAGTGTGGTGACTCACGCCTGTAATCCCAGCACTTTGGGAGGCCAAGGCAGGTGGATCACTTGAGGTCAGGAGTTTGAGACCATCCTGGCCAACATGCAGAAACCCTGTCTCTACTAAAAAAAAAAAATAAGTAAATAAATAAAAATTAGCCAGGTGTGGTGGTGCACGGCTGTAATCCCAGCTACTTGGGAGGCTGAGGCAGGAGAATCACTTGAACCCAGGAGGCGGAGGTTGTGGGCCGAGATCATGCCACTGCACTCCAGCCTGGGTGGCAGAGTGAGATTCAGTCTCAAAAAAAAAAAAAAAGGATTAGAGCTTGGTGCAGTGGCAGCCACCTGTAATCCCAACTTCTTGAGAAGCTGAGATGGGAGGCCCCCCTTGAGCCCAGAAGTTTGAGGCCAGCCTAAGCAACACTGTGAGACCTTGTCTCAAAAAAATAATAAAAACAATAATTCTTAAAATAAGCTGACTGGGCTGAAATCATGTATTTGTACAACAAACATTAAGCATCTAAATGCACCTGGCTCTGTGCTAAGCTATAAAAGACACAAGCCCCTAACTGAAGGGGTCCACAGTCCAATAAGAGGGAGGAATCAATTTCAGTGCAGTGATCAGCACTATGAGGAGGGGAAGTTGTGGAAGACACCAGTGGGGGTTCCCCAACATGCATTATCCTCTTCCTTCTCAGCAATGGGACCCATAAACTAGAACTGAAATGTGTGATCCAGAAGAAAGACTATTTCCCAGTTCCATTGCAGTGAGATGGGCCTATGTGATTAAGTTCTGTCCAATGGGATATAAGCACAAAATAGTATGTGTAATTTCTGTGAAGAGCTCTAAAAGAGAGAAAGTGTGCCTTTCTCCCACTTTCACCTTATGCTAGCTGGAATGTGGAGGTGATGGCTGGAACTGGAGCAGCTATTTTGTACTATGAGATAGATGGAAGTTGTGTGTTACAAATGACAAAGCACAAGATAGGAGCCTGAGTCCTCCATGATGGTGGAGCTGTCAGGGAAGCCGTGGACAACCTTATTTAAGTGACTGTTATTTGGGCTTTTCTGCATTCATCGCTAACTAAACCTAAAACTACCTTAAAAAGAAACTGCAGGCCCGGCACAGTGGCTAACGCCTGTAATCTCAGCACTTTGGGAGGCTGTGGCGGGTGGATTGCTTGAGCCCAGGAGTTCAAGGTGAGCCTGGGCAAGGTGGCAAAACCCCATCTCTACAAAAAATACAAAAATTAGCTGGGCATGATGGCACATGTCTGTAGTCTCAGCTACTCAGGTAGCTGAGGTGGGAGGATTGATTGAGCCTGGGAGTTTGAGGCTTCAGTGAGCCAAGATCACACCACCACACTCCAGGGTAACAGAATGAGACCCTGTCTTCAAAAAAAAAAAAAAAAAAAAAAAGCTGCTACTTAACACTGCTGAATCTTACACTTAAAAATGGTTAAGATTGTAATTTATAACTTTTTAACCACAACTTTTTAAAAGAAGCCAAAGGTCAAATTAATAGAGATAGAAAATAGAATGGTGGTTGCCAGGAGCTGTGGGGAAAGGGAATGGGGAGTTATTGTTTAATGGGCACAGAGTTTTGGATTTGCAAGATGAAAACAGTTCCATGGATGGGTGGTGGCGATGGCAGCACAACAGTGCAAATGTACATAATGCCACTGAACCGTATACTTTTTTAAAAATAGAGGTGGGGTTTCACTATGTTGCCCAGGCTGGTTTCAAACTCCTGGGCTGAAGTGATCCTCCCCCCTCAGCCTCCCAAAGTGCTGGGATTGCAGGTGTGAGCCACCACACCCAGCCTGAATCGTACACTTAAAGGTGGCTGAGATGGTAAATTTTATATTCAGTGTATTTTATCACGATATTAAAGAAATAGAAGAAGCCAAGGCACCAGGAAACTCTTTGGAGTGGTTACCTTTATCAAAACTCATCAAACTGTGCACTTAAAATAGGTGAATTTCATTGAATATAAATTACACCTTATCAAAGTGCTGTGGGAACACATATGTAGGGCCCTTTTGCCAGGCGACAGCGGCTTCCCAGAGGAGGAGTCATGAGTAAGAGTGCAAAAAGCAGCCTCTACTATTTTGCAAACTAATTGCAAAAAAAGAAATTTTATGTTATTTCTTCTATACTCTGCAAAACCAGGGAAAAGGGAGAGGAAGCCATCGTGGGTTCAGTCTGAGGACAGGACTTAGCTCCTCTCTAGGTTAACACACAACTGCTGGTGGATATAACAGCTCTTAGAGCACACAGGCCCATCAGAAGAATCCCTGATCCAGTCAATATTTATTCAAACATTTATTAGGTGCACACTCCATGCCAGGCCTTATGTGGGGTAATGAGACTAGAACAGTGGATGGTACAGACAATCTCTTGTTCTATAACATTTATATTCTAGTATGGGAGTTGGATATTAAGCAAGTAAACCAATCAATAAATCAAATAATTATAGATTGGGATCATTTATATATAGAAGATAATAAAGAATAATAAGTGACATAGCCAGGCATAGTGGCTCACGCCTGTAATCCTAGAACTTTGAGAGGCCAAGGTGGGAGAATTGCTTGAGCCCAGGAGTTTGAGGCAAGCCTGGGTGACATAGTGAGACTTTGTCTCTAAAAAATAATAACAATATTAAGTGACCTATTAGTTAGGGTGATGAGGGAGAGCCCAAGGGAGTGTCCTTTGAGCTGAGACTTCAAAGGTGAGAACAAGCCAGCCATTGGAAGAGCTGCAGGAAGCACAGCCAGATGGAGGGAATGGTAAGGAGTGGTCCATGATGTTACTGAAGAGGCAGACAAGAGCCGGATTCAATAGGAGCCTTGGAGGTCATGGTGAAGAGTTTGAATTTTATTGTAAGGGTAACAGGGAAGTGTTGAAGGATGTGATCTGGTCATATTTTTATAAGATCCCTCTTGCTGCTCTGTAGAAACATAAAGGAGAATGACAGTAGAACAAGAAATCAGGAGGACATTGCCATGGTCCTAAAATAGATGACAGCAACTTTGACAAAAGTTGTAGTGGTTAAGATAGACAGAAGCGGTGACTTCAAGATACGTTTAGAGTTAAAACAGAGAGGACTGGGGAAATCTAAATAAGGTCTGTGGATTTTACCAATATCAATTTCCAGTTTTGATACTGTACTCCAATTATACAAAATGTTGCCATTGGGGGAAACTGGGTGAAGGGTACATGAGACCTCTAACCTCTGCACCCCAAGGGTACAGACAAGACCTCTCTGTACTATTTATGCAATTTCTTGTAAACCTATAATTTACTTTAAATATTTTTAAATATTTTAAATTTTCAACACAACCCAAAAAAAAAAAAAGATGGCAAATATTTAACTCCAGAGGGAGGAGAAAAGAATGCTCATAACAGGTTAGATGGATTTACTGTGAATAATATTTACGTAGTCATACTGATATAAACATTCCCTTTGGTCTGAATGTTTGTGTCACTCAAAATTCAAAATTCATCTTTTGAAATCCTAAACCCCAAGGTGATGATATTTGGAGGTGGGCTCTTTGGGAGGTGATTAGGTCATCAGGGTGAACCCCTAATGAATGAGATTAGTCTCCTTATAAAAGAGGCCCCACAGAGATCCCATACTCCTTCCACTACATGAGGCCACAGCAAGAAGACGCTGTCTATAAATCAGAAAGTGGGCCCTCAACAGGTACTAAGTCTGCAGCACCTAGAGCTTAGACTTCCCAGCCTCTAGAACTCTGAGAAATAAATTTCTGTTGTTTATAAGCTGCCCAGTCTGTGGTATTTTGTCATAGCAGTATGAATGGACTAAGGTAACACTAAATAGGGATTTTAACCAAAAATTATGATGACGATATATTGGAGGATGGGAAAAGGTTAAGTGTATGTATTTGGTGAAGGAGAAAATGGGCATATAAGAAAGCTAAAACCACATTTTCCATAGTTGAAAGTCAACAGAGGCTGGGCATGGTGGTTCACACCTGTAATCCCAGCACTTTGAGAGGTCAAGGCAGGTGGATCACTTGAAGTCAGGTGTTTGAGACCAGCCTGGCCAACATGGTAAACCCCATCTCTACTAAAAATACAAAAATTAGCTGGGTGTGGTGGCACATGCCTGTAATCCCAGCTACTCAGGAGGCTGAGGCAGGAGAATCACTTGAACCCGGGAGCTTTGGTTGCAGTGAGCTGAGACCATGCCACTGCACTCCAGCCTGGACAACAAGAGCGAAACTCCACCTCAAAAAAAAAAAAAAAAGAAATGTCAATAGATCCTACTTAACACTGAAAAAAAAATCAAGAAATAGTTCTATATGTATAAAATATACTTTATATACTTTTATATGTTACATACTTTATATATATACACTTTATATATATATATACATATATATGAGAGAAATTTTTAAACATAGAAGTAAATAGCAGAAGAAATAGCTAGAGTTGAGAGGGTTGCTTTGGGGAGTAAGAATTTAGGATGGGGTAACAGACTGCTTTTATATTATAAAACTAGTAATACTTTTTTGTCACTATAAATGTATTGGTTTGCTAAACAATATAAATCAAATATATCTAAAGAAATACCTTAAATGTTTGGCAAAAAAAAAAAAACCCCACAGGACTTGCTTACTGGTGGTTTGGCTGTTTCAGGGATGGATTGAGAGGAAGTGAGAAGGAATCTAGGATGATCCTTGGGCTCTTGTTTGAACAAGTGGATGATGACGACATCTGTTGAGAAAGAAAAGGCTGGGGAAGCATTGAGGTGGGAAAGCAGATATATTAAATCTGTGATGCCCATTAGACATCCAAATGGAAGCATCAAGAAAACAGCTGGATATCCCAGTCCTGAGCAAGAGGTAAGAGGTCCAGGCTAGAAACAAAAGTATGCTGGAAATTTTATTTGGATGGTAGACATCGACCATGGGACGAGTAAGATCATGCAGGCAGACATGACAGAGGAATAATTCTATAATTCTAGGCCCAGAGTAGAATCTGAGACAGTCCAATATTTAGGCTTTTGAGGGTGCAAAAGAGATTAAAGAGCAGTCAGTGAAGAAAGAGGAAATCCAGGGGTCTGTGGAGCCAAAGAAGGGAGAGTTTTGAAAAACAGTGATCAACTGGGTCAACTGCTATGAAGTCAAGTAAGATGAGGACCAATGCGCTGGTGACTATGGTAGCTAGTCTCCAAAGATGGCCTCCTATGTAAACTGGGCCCCTGGGTAATCCCTTCTGTTGAATCTGGCATGGCCTTGTCTTGCTTATGACCAACAGTATATAGTAGAAGTCACATGGCATGACTTCCAAGCCTGGCTCATAAGAAGTCTTGCAGCTTCCACCTGGTTCTCCTGGAATGCTCACTCCTGGGACACTCCCTCCTGGAACCCAGCTGCCATTCTGAGAAGCCCAAGCCACACAGAGTGGCCACATATAGGCACTCAAGTTGCCAGCACAAGCTAAGCTCCCACCCAACAGCCACCATCCACTGCCAGCCATGTGAGTGAGCCATCTTGGATGTCCAGCTCAGCTGAGGCTTCAGACGACTCCAGTCCCAGCTGTTGACTGCAACCTCATGAGAAACAGACCCCAAGAAGAATTTCCCAGCTGAGCCCAGTCAACCACAGAAGTATGAGACATAATAAATTGTTTTTTAAAGATACTAAATTTTGAGGAGGTTATTACACAGCAATAGGTAGCCAGAATAGTGACTTTGACAAGAGTCACTTTTGACGGTCCAGTGGTAACAGGAGCCAGGTTGGAAGTGGGTGAATGAAAGTGAATGAAGAGTGTAGACTTCTTTCTCAGGAAGTGTGGCTGTGACTGATGTGGGAAGTGGAGTCCAGGAGAGTCCGTTTATGTTGAAGATGGGCAATCCTGGAGTATGGCTGTATGTTGATGGCGATGATGCCTGGAGACAGGGAAAGACTGATGAATAAGAGGGAGAAGAAAGCGAAGAATTAGAGTCTTTGGAAAGGCAAGAGCTAGAATTAAAGGCAAAGAAAGGTGGGTGCAGCAGCTCATGCCTATAATCCCAGCACTTTGGGAAGTTGAGATGGGATGATCACTTGAGGCCAGAAGTTTGAGACCAGCCTGGGCAACATAGCAGGACCACATCTCTACCAAAAAAAAAAAAAAAAAAAAGTTATTTAAAAAAAAGTTAAAGAAGATGGGTAAGGAAGTGGAAATTTTGTGAAGTTGAAGTTTCTTGGCTTTGCATATAAGTGTTCTCTCCTTTCTCAAGGAAGTATATGGCAAAGTCATCAGCCGAATGAGATGGTGGGAATATGGAGAGGAGGCGGGGGAAAGTTTGATAAAAAGAGCTAATATAAAATAGTCATATCAGAAAGTGGGAGTGGTAGCAGAATTCTAAAAATAGCCTCCTGAGATTCCACATCCAATGCATGGAAACTGAATGTGATGAGATTTTACTTCCATGACTGTGTTTCGTTATATGGCATAGCTGATCCTCAGAGACAGAGATAAGATGATCTGGGTAGTCATAATTGAATAACATGAGCCCTTAAAAGCAGAGAAACTTCTCTGGCTAATGGCAGCAGAGGGCCTCCGGGAACATCAAGGAACCAGGCAAAAGGTACCCACGGAGCCCCTTGAGCTCCCTGCTTTCTCACAGCTTCTGGAGGTCCCAGATAAGTCCCTCTTGGATTTCTGCCTCTGCAATTTGCATCCTGAACTCTCTGAATTCAAGTAATTTTATTTATGATTGGATCCAAGGGTTGACCTGGATGTTTGACAGGAACTGGATTGTATTCAGTCTACATCTGGAATCCAGACTGGAATCCAGAAATCAAACTGGGTGTTCAACAGGAACTGAACTGGATCTAGCTGGAGACCTCAGGAAAGCACAATTTTAGGACAGAATTTAGATTGTCAGAATCTAAGGAGTCTAGGACTCCTCCATCTAGAACTCCAGCTAATTTTATGTTCAGAAATTATGGGCCCAGAACCTGTGCCTTTCTAGAGAAACAGGTATACCTCAGGAAGATTAGCAGAATGACAGCAACCACAATGGGGAAGTTTTATTCTAGATGAGATTTTATTTGGGCTGAGTGCAGTGACTCATGCCTGTAATACCAGCACTTTGGGAGGCCGAGGCAGGTAGATCGCTTGAGCTCAGGAATTTGAGACCAGCCTGGGCAACATGGTGAAACCCTGTCTCTACAAAAAATACAAAAATTAGCTGGGTGTGGTGGTGTGCCCCTGTAGTCCCAGCTACTTAGGAGGCTGAGATGAGAGGATCACTTGAGCCCAGGAGGTCGAGGCTGCAGTGAGCTGTGTTTGTGCCACTGTACTGCAGCCTGGGCAAAGAGCAAGACCCTGTCTCAAAAAAACAAAAAAGAAAGATTCATTTATGTGTGCATTAGAAAAAAAGGGGAGGATCTTGAAGGCCTCAGAAACAATGAGATACATTTTTATTAGTATACAGAGGTTTCTAAAAGACAGAATGACTTTTTTTTAAAGTAGGCCCTCTAAAGGAATCTCTACTGCCTGCTAATGAAAAATTATTCTGAACTCACTAACCTCTGTGATCTCTTGCTCTTTTAAAAATTTTTCAATTTATTTTAATTTTTAATTGACAAATAATAATTATACAGGCTGGGCATGGTGGCTCATGCCTGTAATCCTGGCACTTTGGGAGGCCAAGGCAGGAGGATAGCTTGAGCCTGAGTTCGAGGCTCCAGTGAGCTATGATGGCTCCAGCCTGGGCACTCCAGCCTGGGCAACACAGCAATACCCTGTCTCGAATAATAATAATTATTATGATTATTGCATACATTCATAGAGTACATAGTGATATTTTGATACATATAATGTATGCTGATAAGATCAGGATAATTAGCATATCCATCTCAAACATTAATCATTTATTTGTGTTGGGAACATTCAATATCCTCCTTCTAGCTATTTGAAACTATAGAGTATATTGTTGCTAACTATAGTCATCCCGCAGTGCTGTAGAACAGGGTTCCCCAGCCCCCGGGCCATGGACCTGTACCAATCCATGGCCTATTAGGAACCCAACAACACAGCAGGAGGTGAGCAGCAGGAGAGTGAGCGTTACCACCTGAGCCCCGCCTCCCGTCACATCAGCATTAGATTCTCACAGGAGCGTGAACCCTATTGTGAAATGTGCAAGCGAGGGATCTAGGCTGCACGCTCCTTATGAGAATCTAACTAATGCCTGATGATCTAAAGTGGAATGGTTTCATCCTGAAACCATCTGCCGCAGCCCCTCACCCAGTCCATGGAAAAACTGTCTTCCATGAAACTGGTCCCTGGTGCCAAAAAGGTTGGGGACAGCTGCTATAGAACACTAGAACTTATTCCTCCTGTCTAGCTTGTAATTTTGTATCCTTTAAGAAGTCTCTCCATCCCCACATTCCCTCTACCCTTCCCAGCCTCCAATATCCTCTGTTATCTACTTTTTGTTTCTATGAGATCAACTTTTTTTTTTTTTTTTTTTTTTTGAGACGAAGTCTTGTTCTGTCGCCCAGGCTGGAGTGCAGTGGCGCGATCTCAGCTCACTGCAAGCTCCACCTCCCGGGTTCACACCATTCTCCTGCCTCAGCCTCCCGAGTAGCTGGGACTACAGGCACCCGCCACCACACCCGGCTAATTTTTTGTATTTTTAGTAGAGACGGGGTTTCACTGTGTTAGCCAGGATGGTCTCGATCTCCTGACCTCGTGATCCGCCCGCCTCAGCCTCCCAAAGTGGAGATCAACTTTTTTTAGCTTCCACATATGAATAAGAACATGCAGTGTTTAACTTTCTATTCCTGGCCTATTTCACTTAACATAATATCCTCCAGTTCCATCCACATTGCCATGAATGACAGGATTTCATTCTTTTTATGGCTGAATAGTATGCCATGGTGTTTATATACCACATTTTCTTTATCCATTCATCTGTTGTTGGACACCTAGGTTGAGCCCATATCTTAGCTATCATAAATAGTGCTGCAATAAACATGGGGGTGCAAGGTGTCTCTCCAATATAATGATTTTTTTTTCCTTTGGATAAATTCCCAGTAGTTGGACTGCCAGATCATATGGTAGTTCTATTTGTAGTTTTTTAAGGAACCTCCACACGCCCCACAGCATAATGGTTATACTAATTTGCATTCCCACCAACAGCATATGAGTTCCCTTTTCCCTACATCCTTGCCAGCATTTGTCATTTTCTGTCTACTTGATTATAGCCATCCTAACTGGGTGAGATGATACCTCATTGTGGTTTTGATTTGCATTCCCCTAGTGACTAGTGATAGTGAGCATTTTTTATGTTTTTGTCAGCCATTTGTATGTCTTTTTTTTTTTTTATAAGAGTTGTTTTTTGTTTTTTTCTGTTAATACCTTCGTTATGCCAGGTACAATGGCTCACGCCTATAATCTCAGCACTTTGGGAGGCCGAGACAGGTGGATTGCTTAAGCCCAGGAGTTCTAGACCAGCCTGGGCAACATGGTGAAACCCCATCTCTACAAAAAATACAAAAATTAGACGGGAGTGGTGGCACATGCCTGTAGTCCCAGCTGCTTGGAAGGCTGAGGTGGGAGGATAGCTTGAGCCCAGGAGGCAGAGGTTGCAGTGAGCAGAGACTGTGCCACTGCACTCAGCCTGAATGACAGAGTGATAGCCTGTCTCAAAAATTTAAAAATACCTTCATTACATTTATAAAAACAAGATTTACACAGCACCCCATCAAAAATTAAAACCCCTGGCCGGGCACGGTGGCTCATGCCTGTAATCCCAGCACTTCGGGAGGCCGAGGCAGGTGGATCACTTGTTAGGAGTTCAAGGCCTGCCTGACCAACATGGTGAAATCTCACCTCTACTAAAAAACATACAAAAGTAGCCAGGCATGTTGGCACATGCCTGTAATCCTAGCTACTGGGGAGGCTGAGGCAGGAGAATCGCTTGAACCCGGGAGGCAGAGGTTGCAGTGAGCTGAGATCGCGCCATTGCACTCCAGCCTGGGCAACAAGAGCGAAACTCTGTCTAAAAAAAAAAAAAAAGTAAAACCCCTTACAAATATCTACATATATTTTATATCCATAAAACTTTCAAAGGAGTGCTCTGTTAAAGGTGGGCCCTAGCTAGCAGTCCATTTACTGGTGCAGCAAAATACATATAAATTTGTAGTTTTCTTTGTCCACAAAACATCTCAAGAAATTATCAAGACATTCATTGTGAAACTGAGCTTCATAAAACCACAATATTTCGGAAAGGAATTTGATGTGCAGCATTCCATGAGATTCAAAAGTCAGATAAACAGATTGAAATAAAGATTAATTGAAAACAAACACATACCACAGAGCAGTTAAGGCAGGAGTGTGACAGATGAGAAAAATTGCTTGAGAAGCAGGACATGGGAGACATGGGAAGGAGCAAATCATAATAATGCATTGTGAGTCTGAACTTGGATATAAACTCTACTAGTATCTACTGACTAACTCTCATTCTCGCTTAGGAATTTCAAAATTTTAAAAACTTTCTTGGAAGCACCCTCCACTTTCTATATTGCCACCAGAATGCTTGAGGGGTTTTTTTCCTTCTGTAAAATCACCTTGGATCCTATCAGGTTACTAAGTTCATAAATCTGAGTTGCAAGTTCTACACGATTTAAATTTATAAGAAAAAGCTCCTTCATATAATAAAGGTAATCACTATTAAATATTATTAATGTCCAGAGATGTATATATGTTGAGTTTCATTCTAGCCAAGAATAGGAAGTAGAGAAAGTAAAAGGAGAGTAAAACTAGGTTTTCATTTGACCTTTGAACAAAGGCAATAGATTCCTGAGTGACTCTTAAGAGTGGCCACTCAGCACCTATGGACTAATTAAGAGAAACAAGAAGGAAGAAAATAAGAAGGGATTCTTTACCTGAAATCTTGCCAAATATGGCAGTCCCCCTCCAATCCTGCACCTTCTGCTGGAAAGGGCATGGAAAGACTGTTGTCACTCTTACTTCAGAGTCATTACAGAAAAGCCATCCTTTCTCCCAGAGACATGACTTTTCTATTTGAGTTTTACCTTGAGAGTTGCACATTATTTGCAGAGAAGTATTCCAAACCTTACCTTATTCTAATGTACGAACAGAAAGAAAAAGAATAAGAGGAGGGAGAGGAGGAAGTGGAGAAGGATAGAGTGGGTATTTACAAAACTTGGCCCTCCCATCCAGCACCACAAAGTCTCCATGTGGTGTGGTTCCCACCTGGCTCTCAGAGATGGGATCCCCTTTTTCTGCCAAGTTATATTTCAGTGCACTGATTCTCAGGCTCCTTGAACAAAGAGAGCTCCCAGATGCTACTGTCTTGCAGCAGTGGCTCACTGTCCTCATCACTGCCCCATTCTGGGATGTTGGTCAGGCTGTCACTGCCACTGCTGCTATATTTTTGAACTCCCCTGCCTTTCCTGTATTCAGGGATGAATAAGGCAACCAGAAAAGACATAGGAACTGTACATGCCCAGGTAAAAATGGCAGGCCTGGGATGACAGCTCCCTGCAGGGTAACATCGTTAGTATTCAATTTCGGGCCCGATCTGGTCAGTTCCACATGGAACATGTAGAATATGAAGCCATACAGTGCTGGCCCCAGACCATTGCATAGTCCTCTTATTCCAGTTACGATCTCTTAGGCAACTCCTTGCCAATCTGACTCTGCATTCTGAGAGACAAAGGCATTGATTACTGGAAATGTAATGGTGAACATGGTGGCCACAGTCCCCACTGACCACATCATCCAGGCTTCAGATCCAAAAGCATACTGAGCTAACTGGAGTCTCTAAAAGCCCATGCCAAGGAAGACAATATTCTTATTCCCTAATGATCTCATCAAGATGGTAAGAAAGACCATCTGAGCCATAACAAACAATTTCTACCATAGCTATGAATGCTGCAATTTCAACAGATCCAAAACCTATGACCTGCATGAGATAAAAAAAAAAAAAAAAAAAAAACTTAAACACTGTCCTGCTTCAGGAAGGCATGCAAGAAACACAGTGATGCAGGTTAGTAAGACAGTAGAATTTTTTTCCAACTTTCTTCAATGACGCAAAAGAGACAGCTTGTTTCCAAGAAATCTGAACTCCCCGGGAAACTGTCTCATTTTCTCAGACAGAGATTCCAGAACAGCCACTAAGATGAAGCAGCTGTCCAGAGAGCAAGCCTTGCAGCAACCAGCCCGAGGCTGTCTCCACAGCTGGCAGAAAGGTGTGTTCCGATGGCCGGGCTGTTGCCCAGAGGAGCTATAAAGGTGGCTGAGGCCCAGCCATGAGCAGTACTTTGCTCTGCTCCTGAGTGACATCAGCTACACAAGTAAACATCACAGAGAATGGGGCTGAGAAGACACCAGACACAGAAATAATAGCAAAATACCACCATGGGCTGATCCTCATTAGTGGGACTGGGGAGCAGGGAAAGAAGACAGTGCAGAGGAGAAATTGTTTCTTGCTCCACACGTTGGCTAGGGTACATATGAGCAGGGAACTGGGAAGAGAACAAGCCCTTTACACCTTGAAGGAGACCATGCCTAAGGAACGTGTTGAGGAATTGTTTCGTGCAGAACAGCCAACACTGGAGGCGTCAGCAGGCCCCAGGAAGGAAGGAAGATGGCAGTGGCAGCATGGTGTCCATGTGGTCTTGGAGCTACTGGCCCACCAGACTCCTGCCTGGGGCTCCCGTGGGCTCCATGCTCACGCCACGGCCAGGCCCATGCCAGCTGGGGGTACTTGGGGACCACCACTACACCACGCAGATGGTGGCAGGGCCTGCACCTTCCTAAGCAGCAAGGCTGAAGCCAAGGAGGAAGCTCTAGGAGCTGCTGCACTGAGCGCACCCATCCAGGCTCTCTCTGGACTCTTCTTTTGAGAAATGTCTGTTCAGATCATTTGCCAATTTTTTAATTGTATCATCTGGTTTTTTACTATTGAGATACTTCAGGTCTTTGTATATTCTGAACATTAATCCCCTGTCAGATAGATAGTTTGCAAATATTTCCTCTCATTCTGTAGGCTGTCTTTTCAATTTGTTGTTCCTTTGCCGTGCAGAAGCTTTTTAGTTTGAGATAATCCCATTTGTTTATTTTTGCTTTTGTTGCCTGTCTGTTTGAGGTCTTATTCATAAAATATTTTCCCAGGCCAATATCCTGAAGGGTTTCCCCTATGTGTTCTTCTAGTAGTTTTATCATTTCCAGTCTTACATTTAGTTCTCTGATCCTTTTTGTGTTGGTTTTTGTATATGGTGAGAGGTGGGGGTCTAGTTTCATTCTTCTGCATATGGATGTCTAGTTTTCCCAGCACCATTCATTGAAGGGACTGTCCTTTCACCAGTGAGTGTTCTTGGTAACTTTGTCAAAAATCAGTTGGCTGTAGATAGGTGGATTAATTTCTGGGTGCTCTATTCTGTTTCATTGGTCTATGTGTCTGTTTTGTAGGCCAGTACTATGCTGAGTTGCTGCAGCTTTGTAGTATATCTTGAGGTCTAGAAGTGTGATCCCTCCGGTTTTGTTCTTTTTGTTCCAGATTGATTTGGCTATTCAGGATATTTTGTGAGTCCATACAAATTTTGGGATTTTTTTTCTATTTCTGTGCAGAATGTCATTGGTATTTTGATAGCGATTGCACTGAAACTGCAGATTGCTTTGGGTAGTATTGTCATTTCAACAATATTAATTCTCCTGATCCATGAACATGAGATATCTTTTCATTTGTAACTTCTTCAGTTTCTTTCATCAGTACTTTGTAGTTGTAAATGTGACTGCCTTCTTGATCTCTTTTTCAGCTAATTTGTCATTGATGTATTAAAATGCTACTGGTTTTTTATATTAATTTTGTATCCTGCAACTTTACTGAATTCGTTTATCAGTTCTAAGAATTTTTTGCTAGAGTTTTAAGGTTTTTCTGTACAGAAGATCATGTCAACTGCAAAGAGGGACAATTTGACTTCCTCCTTTCCAATGTGGATGCCCTTTATTTCCTTTTCCTTGCCTAATTGCCCTGGCTAGGACTTCCAGGACTATACTGAATAGAAGTGGTGAGAGTGAGCATCCTTGTTGTGTTCCAGTTCTTGAGGAAAAACTTTCAGCTTTTCCCCATTCAGTAAAATGTTAGCTGTGGGTTTGTCATATATGTCCTTTATTATGTTGAGATACTTTCCTTCTATACCTATTAAGAGTATTTAGCATAAAGTGATGAATTTTATCAAAAGCTTTTTTTGCATCTATTGAGAGAACCATATGTTTTTGTCCTTCATTCTATTGATATGATGTATGATGTTTATTGATTTGCATATATTGAACCATCCTTGCATTCCTGGAATAAATCCCACTGGATCATGGTGTATTATCCTTTTGATGTGTTGTTGGATTTGGCTTGCTAGCATTTTGTTGAGGATTTTTGCATCTACATTCATCAGGGATATTGACCTGTAGTTTTGTTGTTGCTGTTTTGTCCTTGTCTGGTTTTCATATCAGGATTATGTTGGTCTCATAGAATGAGTTACAAATAATTCCCCCAGCTTCAAATTTTTGGAAAAGTTTGAGAAGAATTGGTATTAATTATTCCTTAAAGGTCCAGTAGAATTGAATGCTGAAGCCATCCTGTCCTGGACTTTTCTTTGTTAGAAGACTTTTTACTACTGATTTAGTTTCATTACTTGTTTTTGGTCTTTCAGGATTTCTATTTCTTCTTGGTTCAATCTTGGTACTTTGTATGTGTCCAAGAATTTGCTCAATTCCTCTAGGTTTTCAAATTTATTGGTGTATAGTTGTTCAGAGTAGTCTCTAATGATCCTTTTTATTTCTGTGGCATCCATTGTTACATCTCCTTTTTCAATTCTGATTTTATTTGGGTGTTCTCCCTTTTTTTCTTAGTCTAATAGTTTGTCAATTTTGTTTATCTTCTCAAAAAAAACAATTTGTTGTTTTGTTGATATTTGTATTGGTTTTTTAGTCTCAACTTCATTTATTTCTGCTCTGGTCTTTATTATTTATTTTCTTCTACTAATTTTAGGCTTTACTCAGTTTTGCTTTTACAGTTTCTTGAGGTGCATTGTTAGGTTGTTTATTTGAAATATTTCTAGGTTTTTTTTATTATTTTTAAGATATAGAGTTTCACTCTGTCACCCAAGCTGGAGTACAGTGATGCAAGCATAGCTCACTGCAGCCTTGAACTCCTGGGCTTAAGTGATCCTCTGCTTCAGCCTCCCAAGTAGCTAGGACTACAAATTTGCACCACTACAATTGGCTAAGTTTTTTATTTTTGGTAGAGACGGTCTCTACCTGTTGCCTAGGCTGGTCTCAAACTCCTGGCCTCAGATGATCCTCCTGTCTTGGCCCCTTCAAAGTGCTGGGATTACAGATGTGAGCCGTGGCATCCAGCCATTTTCTAGTTTTTTGGTGTAGGCATTTATTGCTATAAACTTGCCTCTTGCTACTGCTTTTGCTATCTCCCATAGGTTTTGCTATGTTGTGTCTCTATTTTCATTTGTTTCAATAAATTTTTAAATTTCATTCCTAATTTCTTCCTTTACTTAGTCATTCAGGATCATGTTGTTTAATTCCCATGTATTTGTATAGTATCAAATGTTTCTCTTGTTCTTGATGTCTAGTTTTATTCCATTACAGTCAGATAAAATACTTAATATGATTTCAATTGTTTAACAAATTTTGTGAAACTTGTTTCTCTCCTAATGTATGGTCAATCATGGAAAATATTCCATGTGCTAATGAAAAGAATGTATATTCTGCAGCTGTTCGGTGAAACATTCTGTAAATGTCTGTTGTTAGATCCATTTAGTCTATGATGCGGTTTAAATCTGATGTTTCTTTGTTGATTTTGTCTAGATGATGTGTCCAATGCTGAGAGTGGGGTGTTGAAGTCCCCAACTATTGTTGTATTGAGGGTTTATCTTCCTTTTAGATCTAATGATGCTTGCTTAATATATGTGGGTGCTCCAGTGTTGGGTGTATATGTATTTACAACTGTTACATTTTTCTTGCTGAATTAATCCCCTATTATATAATATCCTTCTTTTTCTCTTTTTACAGGTTCTAACTCAAAGCCTATTTTGTCTAAGTATAGCTATGCCTGCTCACTTTTGGTTTCCATTCACATGAAATATCTTTTGCCATCCCTTCACTTTCAGTCTATGTGTATCTTTATAGGTGAGGTGAGTTTCTCACTGGCAGCATATAGTTGGGTCTTTTTTTTTTTAATCCATTCAGCTAATCTTTATCTATCTATCTATCTAATCTATTTAGAGGCAGGGGATTGCTCTGTTGCTCAAGCAGGAGTGCAGTGACATGATCATAGCTCAGTGCAGCCTCAAACTCCTGGGCTGAAGTGATCCTCCTGCCTCAGCCTCCCAAGTAGCTGGGACTACAGGCATGTGCCACCACACCCAGCTAATTCTTTAATTTTTTTTAAATAAGAGGTCTCAATATGTTGTCCAGGCTGGTCTTGAACTTTTGGCATCAAGCAATCTTCCTGTCTTGGCCTCCCAAAGTGCTGGGATTACAGGTATGAGCCACCACAGCCAGCTTCGATCTACATCTTTTAAATGGGAAATTTAGTCCATTTACATTCAAGGTTATTATTTATAGGTGAGGACTTACTTTTGTCATTTTATTGTTTTCTAATTGTCTTGCACATTGTTTGTTCCTTACTTCCTCTCCTATTGCTTATGTCTGGAATTGAGTGGTTTTCTGTAGTGATAAGATTTGACTGCTTTCTCTTTCTTGTTTATGTATCAGCTCTACCAATTAGTTATATAGTTTTGCATGTTTTTATGATGGTGGTTATCGTCGTTTCTTCCCAATGTAAAACTCCTTTGAGCATTTCTTGTACAGCTGATCCAGTGGTAATGAATTCTCTCTGTGTTTGCTTATCTGTGAAAGATTTTATTTCTCCTTCATTTCTGAAGAGTAGCTTTGCTGGGTATATATTCTTGGCTGACAGCTTTTTTCTTTCAGTACTTTGAATATACTATCCCATTCTCTCCTGGCCTGTAACAGGGTTTCCGGTGGGAGAAATCCACTGTTAGTCTAATAAGGATTCTCTTACATGTGACTTGACACTTTTCCCTTCCTGCTTTAAATTATTTCTTTGTCTTTGACCTTTGACAATGTGACTATAATGTGCCTCAGAGAGGACCTGTTTGGGTTGAATCTATTTGGGGTTATTTGAGCTTCCTGCACCCAGATGTCCATTTCTCTCCTAAGACTTGGGGAGTCTTTCGCTATTATTTCATTAAATATGTTTTTCTCACCTTTTCTCTTCTCTTTTCCTTCTGAAATGCCCATAATATGAATATTTGTCCACTTAATAGTATCCCACAAATCCTGTAGGCTTTCTTCTTTTTTTTCTGTTTTGTTTTGTTTGTCTGCCTGTGTGATTTCAAAAGACTTGTCTTCAAGTTTAGAAATTCTTTCTTCTGCTTGGTCTAGTCTGTTGTTAAAGATCTCCATTGTATTTTTTATTTCCTTCATTGAATTCTACAGCTCTAGGATTTTTATTGGACCCTTTGTTATATACTCTGTTAAATTTCTCATTCATATCATGAATTATTTTCCTGATTTCATTGAATTGTCTATTTGTAGTCTCTTGTGTCTCACTGAGTTTCCCTAAGATTATTATTTTAAATTCTTTTTCTGACATTTCATATATTTCCTTATGATTGAGATCTGTTACTGGAGAATTACTGTTTTCCTTTGTAGGTGACATGCCTATCAACAGATAAATGGATAGAGAAAAACTGGTGTATGTACACACAAAGGAACACTGTTTAGCCATTAAAAAAAAAATCTGAAATCCTAACTGGGCACAGTGGCTCATGCCTGTAATCTCAGCACTTTGGGAGGCCAAGGTAGGAGGATTTCTTGAGTCTGGGAGTTCAAGACCAGACTAAGAAACATGAGACCCCCCATCTCTACAAAAAAATTTTAAAATTATCCGGGCATAGAGGTGCACTCCTGTAGTCCCAGCTACTTGGGAGGCTGAAGTGGGAGGATAACTTGAGCCTGGGAGGTAAAGGCTACAGTGAGCCATGATTGCACTACTGCACTCCAGCCTGGGTGACAGACCAAAAGTGTCTCAAAAAAAAAAAAAAAAGAAAAGAAACTCTGTCGTTTGTGGCAACATAGATGAGCTTGGAGGACATTATGTTAGGTAAAATAAGCCAGGCACAGAAAGATAAGTAACACTGTTATCATTCATATGTGGAAGCTAAAAACATTGATCCTGTAGAAGTAGAGATTAGAATACTTGTTACTAGAGGCTGGGGAGGGTAGCGGAAATAGGGCAATAGCCAAAGGTTTGTTAATGGATTCAGAAGTACAGTTAGACAGGAGAAATAAGTTTTAGTGCTTTATTGCACAATAGAATGACTATAACCAACAACAATTGATTTTATTATTAAAATAGCTAGAGGAGCAGATTTTGAATGTTCTCAACACAAAGAAATGATAAATGCTTGAGGTAATGGATATGCTAATTACCCTGATTACATTGTAAACATGTATCAAAATAGTACACTGTATCCCATAAATATATATGATTATTATTTGTCAATTAAAACTAATAATAAAGGCAAAAAATAAAATATAAAAAGGAATAAAATTGTAAAAATCAAAATTACAAAATCACGTGCTTCCTTTCCACTAGAAAGGAATTGTCACTAGAAATTAAGGTTACTAGGGGTTAAGAATTTTAGGCTGGGTGTGGTGGGTCACATCTGTAATCCTAGCACTTGCGGAGGCCAGAGCAAGAGAATCACTTGAGCCCAGGAGTTTGAAACCGGCCTGAGCAACATAATGAGACTCTGTCTCTACAAAAAAAATGTTTAAATACCTGGGTGCAGTGGTGTGCACCTATAGTCCCAGCTACTTAGGAGGCTGATGTGGAAGGATTGCTTGAGTCCAGGAGGTTGAGGCTGCAGTGAGCCATGATCACACACCACTACACTCCAGCCTGGGTGACAGAGCAAGACCCTGTCTCTAAAAAAAAAAAAAATGTGTTTAAGAATTTTAATTCACTTGAGCCCAGGAGTTCAAGACCAGCCTGGGCAACATAGTGAGACCCCATCTCTACAAAAAATTTTAAAAATTAGCCAGGCTTGGTGGCACATGCCTGTAGTCCCAGCTACTTGGGAGACTGAGGTGGGAAGATGGCTTGAGCCCCAAAGGCAGAGGTTCAGTGTGCCGAGATCATGCCACTGCACTCCAGCCTGGGCAGCAAAGCGAAACTCTGTCTCAAAGGGGAAAAAAAAAAAAAAAACAAACCTAGGCACCATGGTAAAACCCCTTTTCTACCAAAAATTAAAAAAAAATAAAAATAAAAAATTAGCCCAGCATGGTGGCGTACATCTGTGGTCCCAGCTGCTCAGGAGGCTGAAGTAGAAGGATTACTTGAGCCCAGAAGGCAGAGGTTACAGTGAGGCAAGATCACACCACTGCACTCCCAGTCCGGGTGACAGAGACCTCATCTCAAAAAAATAAAAATAAAAAAGAATTCTAATTAATATATGTAATAAAGACCACTAGAAGTAGTAAAGATGAAAGAAAATAACTCAGCTGGGTGCAGGGCTCAAGCCTGTCATTCTAGCACTTTGGGAGGCCAATGCAGGTGAATCACTTAAGGCCAGGAGTTCAAGACCAGCCTGGCCAACATGGCAAAACCCTATCTCTACTAAAAACAGAAAAAAAAAATAGCTGGGTGTGGTGGCACATGCCTGTAATCCCAGCTACTTGGGAGGCTGAGGCACAAGAACCATTGGAACCTGAGAGGCAGAGGCTGCAGTGAGCTGCTGAGATTGAACCACTGCATTCCAGCCTGGGTGACAAATGAAGACTCCTAAAAAAAAAAAGAAAGAAAGAAAGAAAACAACTGTATATAAAAAATGTATTTTAAAAGTAGATGAGTTTTTAGCAAGAAAAAGTATATAAGGAATGTGTTTCCTTTAAAGGAAAAAGAGAATGATGTTATCTTAAAAACAAGAGGATTGTTCCAGAATAATAAAGAAGAAAACAAGTAAGATGCAAACTGAACAAATATAGAGAGTTGTAAAAGATCTGCAAGAAAGAGCATATTGAGGAAGAGCAAGATGGCAGAATAAGAGACTCCACTAATTGTCCCCTCCTCCCTGGCAAGGACACCAATTTAACAACTATCTACACACACACACACACACACAAAAAGCTCCTTCATAAGAAACAAAAATCAAGTGAGCACTCATAGTACCTGGATTTAACTTCATATCGCTGAAAGAAGTGCTGAACAGGTAGGAAAAACAGTCTTGAATCGCTGACGCCATCCCTCCATCCCCCAGCAGCAGCAGCTTGGTGTGGAGAGTGTTTTTGTGCACTGGGGAGAGGTAGAGCACGGCAATTTTGAAGTACTGAACTCAGTGGTGCCCTGTTATAGCAGAAAACAAAACCAGACCAAACTCAGTTAATGCCCACCCATGGGGGGAGCATTTAAAGCAGCCCTAGCCAGAGGGGAATTGCCAATCCCAGCAGCGTGAACTTGAGTTCCCCACAAGCCTCGCCACCATGGGCTAAAGTGCTCTGGGGCTCTAAAGAAACTTGAAAGGCAGTCTAGGTCACAAGGACTGCAACTCCTAGGCGAGTCCTAGTGCTGAACTGAGCCCAAAGCCAGTGGACTGTAGAGGCACACAACTTACTGAGACATCAGCCGGGGTGGCTAAGGGAGTGCTGATACCAGATAGTTTTAAAAAACTAAAGTTGATGGATACAAAGTCAGTAAAGCCCCTTGGATATTACCAAAGCACTGACTAAAATATCATATTTTAAAACTTACATGGAATTAATATCTGTGTTGCACTTATATAATCAGATCTACCTTATTGAAACAAGACTTATTTTGTTAAAAAAATTTAACTGTGACTATTTTTTATAAAAATGAGTGACTATTAAAAAGATTACATTTCAATAGAAAACTGTAGCGCACCAATTACCAAATTCTAGTCCTGTTTATTTTCTTTGAGATTTGTTATCCATCTATAAACTGGATTGAATCCTCAAGTTTTCTAGTTTCATTAAAAACTAAAACTGCCCTTTTCTCAAGTCCTAAAAGCTGAAACTGGATGACTTCAAACTTCAGAAAAAAATCACTGCAACAGACCATGTATAGACAACCTTTATGCCTGCTGCTATGTGAGTTCACCAGAACACCACCTGATGATATAACCAGCTCTCAAATGCCATCTTCATTCCACCATCTAAAGATACTTCAAAGTCAAATCTACAAATCTTGACCCTCCAGACACAAAGACTAAGATCATAATTTGCTCCAAATATTAATCTTCGTTTTTCCTTTGTTTTCATAGAATGATAACTTGAATACTCTTCGAGCAATATAATCTGAAATGAACAATTTAGCCTCAAAAATACTCCAAAACAGGAGTGCTTGATACCTCACAGTTTAACAAAGAAGAGCTTGTGCTTTTATTGATTAAAAAAATGTTTTACCAGGTATGGTGGCTCACACTTATAATCCCAGCACTTTGGAAGGCCAAAGTGGGCAGTTCACTCGAGCCTAGGGTTTTGAGACCAGCCTGGGCACTGTGGAGAAACCCCATCTCCAAAAAAAATACAAAAATTAGTCAGGTGTGGTGGCATATGCCTATAGTCCTAGCTACTTGGGAGGCTGAGGTGGGAGGATCCCTTGTGCCTGGGAGGTCAAGGCTGCAGTGAGCCTCGATTGCACCACTGCACTCTAGCCTGGGTGACAGAGTGAGACCCTGTCTCAAAAAAAAATGTTGTTTCTATGTCAATAAATTAGAAATTATTGCCCCATGGGATAACTGGAAAGCCACATATAGGAGAATGAAACTGGATCCTCATCTCTCACCTTATACAAAATCAACTCAAGATGGATCAGGGACTTAAATCTAAGACCTGAAACTATAAAAATTCTAGAAGATAACATTGGGAAAAAAAACTCTTCTAGACATTGGCTTAGGCAAAGACTTCATTACTAAGAATCCAAAAGCAAATGCAACAAAAACAAAGATAAATAGGTGGGACTTAATTACACTAAAGAGCTCCTGTACAGCAAAAGGAACAGTCAGCAGAGTAAACAGACAACCCACAGAGTGGGAGAAAATCTTCACAACCTATACATCCAAAAAAGGACTAATATCCAGAATCTACAGGGAACTCAAACAAATTAGCAAGAAAAAAACAAACCATCCCATCAAAAAGTGGGCTAAGGACATGAATACACAATTCTCAAAAAAAGATATACAAATGGCCAACAAACATATGAAAAAATGCTCAACGTCACTAACGATCAGGGAAATGCAAATTAAAACCACAGTGTGATACAGCCTTATTCTTGCAAGAATGGCCATAATCAAAAAATAATGGGGGCCGGGTACAGTGGCTCACACCTGTAATCCCAGCACTTTGGGAGGCCAAGGCGGGTGGATCACAAGGTCAGTAGATCGAGACCATCCTGGCTAACACAGTAAAACCCATCTCTACTAAAAATACAAAAATTAGCCGGGTGTGGTGGCGGGCGCCTGTAGTCCCAGCTACTCGGGAGGCTGAGACAGGAGAATGGCGTGAACCCAGGAGGCAGAGCTTGCAGTGAGCCGAGATCGTGCCACTGCACTCCAGCCTGGGAGACAGAGCGAGACTCCATCTCAAAAAAATAATAATAATAATAACAATAATAATAATAATAGATGTTGGTGTGGATGCAGTGATGAGGGAACACTTCTACATTGCTGGTGGGAATGTAAACTAGTACAACCACTACGGAAAACAGAGTGGAAATTCCTTAAGGAGCTAGAAGTAGAACTACCATTTGATCCAGCAATCCCACTATTGAGTATCTACCCAGAAAACAAGTCATTTTACAAAAAAGATACTTGCACATGCATGTTTATAGCAGCACAATTCACAACTGCAGAAATATGGAACCAACCCAAACGCCCATCAATCAATGAGTGGATAAAGAAACTGTGATATATTTATATATATTTATATATATATATATATATATATATATATATATATATATATGAATACTACTCAGCCATAAAAAGGAGTTAATGGATTTATAGCAACCTGGATGAAACTGGAGACTATTATTCTAAGTGAAGTAACTCAGGAATGGAAAACCAAACATCATATGTTCTCACTTATAAGTGGGAGCTAAGCTATGAGGATGCAAAGGTGTAAGAATTATACTGTGGACTTTGGGGACTCAGGGAAAAGGGTGGGAGGAAGGTGAGGGATAAAAGACCATAAATTGGGTTCAGTGTACACTGCTCAGGTGATGGATGCAGCAAAATCTCACAGATCTCCACTAAAGAACTTACTCATGTAACCAAATACCACCTGTTCCCCTAAAAACCTATGGAAATAATTTAAAAAAAAAAAAGAAATTATTGCCCCCAATTCAAATGATCTTAAACAAATGTAAGTTCCTCATCAGATAGGTGCGATCTACCTGATCTACTGATTTATTTAATGGGTTAATTCTTGGCTTTTTGTATTTTTAGTAGAGATGGGGTTTCACCATGTTGGCCAGGCTGGTCTTGAACTCCTGAGCTCAATGTCTGCTCCAGAGAATTTTCAATTATTGGCTATTATTCTCCTTATAATCATGGTTTTCATCTCTGTAGTCCACTGTATCCTCTCAAGGGATTTGAATGCTTTCCAGCAGCATTCAGGTGTGAGACCCTAACCACTCACACATCAAACAATTGCCGTCAGGATTAGACAACTAGAAGAACGCAACAACCCCACCACTCAAGCCTATGATGACTCTGCAACTGCAGATAATGATAACTACCTGACCTTACATTCCAATGCAACTGTTGAGAATGACAACATCTACACGATTCTTTGTTCCAGTAACTAGTCAATAATGGTAACCTGGTTACCGAGAGTAATGCTATACTGTTCGGTCACACTCTCAGCTTGCTGGGAGAATGACCAAAAGCGGGGAGCTCTTAGAGTAAATTTAAAGAGATACTAGGCCTGAAGAATCCCTGAGCAGACAAAACCAGTGAGGCTTCATAACGAGACCTAAACCTTGCTTGATTTGCAAACATAAGTGAAACTTGACTTTTTTCTTATAAATGCCTATATTAAGGAAAAACAAATCATAGGCTCAACCAGTCAGAAATAGCCAAAACAGTTATACTATATAACCAAGGACTTTCCAACAGGATAGGCCAAATAAGGCAATTGTATAATTGCAAACAACCAAATAATTTATTGATTTTGCTTCTGTATTTACCCCATAAATACTTGCCCCTGATGGCTTGCCGCCAGAACAGACCTCTTCAGTTTGGTGTTTCCCAATTCATCAATTGCTTCTTACTCAAATAAACTCAAAAACATTATTGCGCCTCAGATTTTTCTTTAACGCAAGGAAATAGGGGCCACACACCTGCAGCCATGAGGAATTGGAGTCTACCAACAACCTGAATGAACCTGGAAGTCGATCCTTGCCCCAAGCCTCCAGACATGAGTCCAGCCCAGCTGACACCTTGAATTTGGTCTTGTGGGACCCTGACCAGAGAACCAGCTGAGCCCACCAGGACTTCTGACCTACAGGCTATAAGATAAGAAATGGATATTGTCCAGGTGCAGTGGCTCATGCCTGTAATCCTAGCACTTTGGGAGGCTGAGGCAGGAGGATTGCTTGAACTCAGGAGTTTGAAACCAGCCTGGGCAACATATGAGACCTCATGTCTATCATTTTTTAAAAAATAATAATAAAATAAATGGGTATTTTTTTAGCCACTAGATTTTGGGGCATGTGTTATACAGCAATAGAAAATATGGCAGGCAAATAAACATACCAGGGAAACATAATAGAGATGCTGGGCAGTGCTGAGTATGTCCATCTGAGGTCTGTGGTCCTGAACGTAAAGTGGACCTAATCAGGTGATCTGTATCTTCCAACTGTGTGAGTGCAGGCACAGGGAGGTGGAGAAGATGGCTTCAGCAAAGATCCAGGTGTTTCCAGGCAAGAACAGCAGAAAGAAGGAGGGGCAAAAAATTGAAGGAAGTTGGCAAAGGAGAGAGTCTAATGAGGCATTGTAGAGTCTACTGTGTAAGGACGTGAAGATGCTGGCGGGTGGGCAGATGAGCCACAATGAGAAAGGGACTCAAGAGGTCCAAAGTGACAGGCCAGCTCTCTGGCTGCTGACATCCCAAGATGATGAAGGAGAAGGGCAGAGAGGAAGACAATGGGCCAGGAGCCAGTTGTAAAGGAGATGAAGTTCCCTGAAGCCAGCAGCTGCCAGCAACAAAAGATGGCGATACCAAAACCAGACACCAGGAGCTCCAGAGAGCAGGGCTGCTTACCAGAAGAGAGGTAAGCAAGACACTTATCCCCACCACCTGTCAAAGTGACCGCACCTGGAAACAGGCTCTGCAGGTGTAATCAAGTTAAGATGAGGAGGGCCCTAATCTAATGACTAGTGTCCTTATAAAACAAGGGAAAGTTGGACACCGGGAAACAGGAGACAGAGAGAAGAAGGCCATGTGAAGACGGAGGCAGAGATTGGAGTGATGCAGTCACAAGTCAACAAACACCTGAGGCTCCAGAAGCTGGAAGAGGCAAGGAAGGATCTCTCTCTGTTGCCAGGCTGGAATGCAGTGGCATGATCACGGCTCACTGCAACCTCTTCCTCCCAGGCTCAAGTGATCCTTCCACCTCAGCCTCCCAAGTAGTTGAGGCTACAGGCCTGTGCCACCACTCCTGGCTAATTTTTTGTAAAGACAGGGTTTCTCCATGTTGCCCAGGTTGGCCTCAAACTACTGGGCTCAAGCAATCCACCCAACCCGGCCTCCCAAAGTGCTGGGATTGTAGGCGTGAGTCACCACACCTGGCTGCAACCTTTTTTTTTTTTTTTTTTTTGAGATGGAGTCTCGCTCTGTCGCCAGGCTGGAGTGCAGTGGCACAATCTCGGCTCACTGCAACCTCTGCCTCCCAGGTTCAAGTGATTCTCCTGCCTCAGTCTCCCGAATAGCTGGGACTACAGGCGCCCGCCACCACACCCGGCTAATTTTTTGTAATTTTAGTAGAGACGTGGTTTCACCATGTTGGCCAGGATGGTCTCGATCTCTTGACCTTATGATCCACCCGCCTTGGCCTCCCAAAGTGCTGGGATTACAGGCGTGAGCCACCATGCCTGGCCTGCAACTTTTAAATAGTTTTTCCTGCTTCCCCTTACCAAGGTTTCAAAAATCTCAGGATCTAATCTCAAACCAGGTCCCCCAAAGCTGTTTTGAAGACCACGATGGGGCCAGTGAGGGCAATAACTGGAAATCCTCAAATCAGAAGGTATTGGATGTCTGGATTAGCAACTTGACCCAAAGAGAATATCTAACAATATATCATCTGCATCAAAACAAACTGGATTTACCACTCTCTTGTTGGAACTGCAGGGAAATCCTAAAAACATTAAATCACCCAGGGATACGTGGAAATTACACAATACACACTACTACTAATTTCAGATCTGTTGTTGATAATTTATTTAGTGTGCTAAATTTTAGTTGTGATTCTAGTGAAGATACGGTATTTATCAGGCATTTCATAGGTCGTTCAGTTTTCTGAATCTTATCTTTTATCAAGGATCTTCATCTGCAAAACCTCCCATTGTTTCAGCAACCTAACCCTGTGATTAGGAAGGGAATACTCTCAAACCAGAAGAAATATAACAATAAAACCCCAAACTACGACAGAAGCAATGTGGGTGAAAAGGGGGAAATTTTAGGGTGGCTAAAGACGTAGAATCCATGGCGCCCACTGGATATAGGGGATATGATGACATCTTACAATATTATTTGTGGTTTCTTCCCCTTCTCTCCTATGGCCTCAGCTTGAGCAGCCCAGCTTTTGCGCTGATGTCTCAGTGAAAAGATGCAACAAAAACGAGGGGAAACAGAAAGCCACTTCTGACTTTTGAATTTCAATCGCCTAGGCAGGCCCTTAGGAAAACAGAAAGGACTCCCAGTCTGGATAGAAGATGTGCAGGAAATATTCTGGATAAAGCAAGGCCTCGCACTGATTTCACCCCAGTTCCATGACATGAGCACAACTCGCAGGCAAGAGCCAGCGGGAACGTAGTGACAGCACAGACAGTGGTGGGTTCTGTCCTCAGGCACCTGAGTGCAGAGAGACAGCAAAACCCCCAAGTAAGTTTCTGAGACCTGATGGCAGTGGAGCCCCAGAACTATATCCAAGGCAGAGCCTTAGGAAGGAGACAAGACCCCCCAAAAGAAGACATGGCTGCAGAGGGTAGCCTATTGTGGAGGCAGCTTGAACCATAGACAGTGCCACACTTTCTCATGCTACTCCAGGGCATGGGAGCAGTAGAATGAACCCTGTGTCCAAGAGCAACTGAGAGGTAGCACACAGACACCAGACCTAAAGAGGCCATACAAGCAGGAGCCAGGCAGAGGATATCTCAGAGGACATTGAGTGGCCACTTAATAACAGGACCCACTTCCACCAGTGCTTTGGCAAAATATATACATAAGAGACACCCTCCCAGAATTAAGGCAATCCCTGGAGAGAGGAGGGGTGATTCCACCAATGGATTAAAATGAAGCATCCAACATTCCAGGAGAATAGAAGCTGGCTCAGAATAGAAACATAAGAGCCAGGCACTGTGGCATACATCTGTAGTCCCAGCTACTTGGAGACTGAGGCCAGAGGATCCCTTAAGCCCTGGAGTTCGAGACTAGCCTGCGCAACATAGCAAGACAGTCTCAGAAAAATAAAAAGTGTGTAAAAAATATTATAAATGTAGTTATATTATAGAAAAAACAATGTTATGTGTATGCTCCTGCATATGAGTCTGTAGAATAAGATAATACCACTATAAGAATCAAGGGACTGTGGCCAGGCACAATGGCTCACATGTGTAATCCCAGCACTTTGGGAGGTCGAGGCGGGTGGATCACCTGAGGTCAGGAGTTCAAGACCAGCCTGGCCAACATGGCGAAACCCCATCTCTACAAAAATACAGAAATTAGCCAGGCATGGTGGCAAGCACCAGTTATCCCAGCTACTCGGGAGGCTGAGGCAGGAGAATCACTTGAATCCGGAAGGTGAAGGTTGCAGTAAGCCGAGATCGCACCACTGCACTCCAGCCTGGGCAACAGAGCAAGACTCTGTCTCAAAAAAAAAAAAAAAAGAAAGAAATCAAGGGACTGAGAGAAGCTAGAAACTACCAAATTTCTGACCAGGGAACTGGACAGATGGTGGTGCCATTCATGGATGTGGGGAATAAAGAAAGGGGGAAAACTGAGTGAAAAATGCTGAGTTGAAGGTTTGGGCATGTCAAGGCTGAGATGCTGATGAGGCATCTAGGGATGTCAGGAGGCAGGTGGATAATTATGACTGCTGCTCAGGAATGAGGCCTGCTTGAAAATACAGATTTTTGCATCATCAGCCTACACAAGTAGCACCTGACGGATGAGTAGTAGCTCGGAGTGATGACCTTACATACTCACTATGTGCCAGGCATTGTTGTAAGCTTTTTATGCATACTGACTCATTGGATCCTCAAATGAGAACCCTGTGAAGCAGGTACTACTACTATCTTTTTTTTTTTTTTGAGACGGAGTCTCCGTCGCCCAGGCTGCAGTGCAGTGGCGCGATCTTGGCTCACTGCAAGCTCCGCCTCCCAGGTTCACGTCATTCTCCTGCCTCAGCCTCCCGAGTAGCTGGGACTACAGGCGCCCGCCACCACGCCCAGCTAATTTTTTTGTATTTTCAGTAGAGACGGGGTTTCAGTGTGTTAGCCAGGATGGTCTCGATCTCCTGACCTTGTGATCCGCCCACCTCGGCCTCCCAAAGTGCTGGGATTACAGGCGTGAGCCACCGCGCCCGGCCTATCTTTTTTTTTTTTTTTTAAGTGGCAATGTCTCCCTATGTTGCCCAAGCTGGACTCAAACTCCTGAGCTCAAGCCATCCTCCCACCTCAGCCTCCCAGGCAGCTAGGACCACAGGCACATGCTACCATGCCCAGCCTCACTTTTGTAAATATATGAAGAAACAGATATAAATGTTTCATGTCTCACAGCTAGGAGCCAGAGAAATCAGAAGTTATCCCAGTAAATCTACAACCTTCACATATAACAACCACTGTGCTATACGCTGCTCTGAAAGGAGGATAAAGGAACATCAGGGGAAAAGGAGAATGAGAAGGTGACAGCTGTCAGGAGGAAAACCAGAAAAGCAGTGTGTCCACAAAACCTAAAGGAGGACACAGCTGAGGGAGGAAATGGTTGGAGGTATCAGATTTGTAGGTGGTCAAGTGCCTGATTACAACTAAAAAGTGCCCATTGGATTTAGCATCTAGATCAGTAATGATGCCTAACAGAAGAGTCCTGAGGTTGGAGGGAGAGCAGATGTGTTGTGGATGCTGCATAGACTAGGAGGTAGGAAATATAGCATGCACAACTCTGCCAAGAGAATTGTGAAGAGGGGAGAGCTAGAACCTAAGTTAAAGATTTTCATTTTTTAAAGAGGAAGGGTGTGGAGCCTTTTATATGTCAAAGGAAAAGTCAGTAGAAAATGGAAGTTTTAAAGAGATAGGACTCCAAACATGTGCAAGCAATTGTGAGTGGGATGTGATTGGAGACACTTTCAAATCATGATTTCTAACCTCAGCTGGGCCCCTGATGCTACCTGACAACCACACTGCATTTGTGGGAATTCGAGTCCAGTCACTGCCCCACTCTCTCACACAGTAGTTCTCAAAGGGTCATCCCCATACAGGCGACTGCAGCATCACCCGGAACTTGTTAGAAATGCAGATTCCTGGGCCCATCCTAGACCTACTGAATCAGAACGTCTGGGGGAAAGGAGGGCTTTTTTTTTTTTTCTTTTGAGATAGCATCTCACCCTGTAGCTCAGGCTGGAGTGCAGTGGCACAATCACAGCTCACTGCAGCCTTGAGCTCCCAGGCTCAAGCAATCCTCCCATCTCAGCCTCCTGAGTAGCTGGACCACAAGCGCACACCACCACACCTGGCTGATTTTTTTATTTTTTGTAGAGATGGGGTCTCTCTATGTTGCCCAGGCTGTGGGAGGGCTTTAATAGGCTCTCTAGGTGGTTTTGATACACACTAAAGTTTGAGAATCACTGTTCTCAGTGACTTTAGAACTCCACCTCTAGGTTCAAACTTCTAAGCCTTTCCCCTTCATCCTCACAGTCAGCTGACCCTGCTTCCTAATTCACTAAGAGAAAAAAAAAAAAAGGCTACAAAGAGATAATATCCACCAGCTTCCCCCACATCAATCCGCCTTCCCACATCTATGCCCAAATATCGTGCCTTCTCTCTTTTTACTTTTCATGAGCCATCAGTCCTCTAACCAAAGCCAGCCCCTCTGCTTCTGGACTCTGTCCAATCCCTTCTCCCCTCATCAGGGACATTTCTTCAGACATTCTCCTCACTCCCCACTGCATTGTCAATCTTCACTCTCTACTGCCTCTTCCCCATCAGCATATAACATATAACTATTTTTTCCCACTTAAAAAGTTTTCTTGACCTCGCTTCTCCTTTTAGCTCCCATCCAATTTCTCTCCTTCCTTTACAAGAAAACTCCTCCAAAGAGTTGTCTATACTGCTGCCATCCCTCTCCTCCCATTCTTTCTTAAACTCATCCGCAATCAGACTTTTACCCCCACCACTCCACCAAAACTGTTCTCGTCAAAATCACCAATGACCTTCAATCAATTATCTTTGCTCTATATACTTTCCAGTAGGGGGGCAAGGGAGGGACAAAACATAAAACAAAAAAAAAATCAATCAATCAATTCTCAAACTCATCTTACATAATTTATGGGCCACATTTGACACAATTGACCTTTCCCTCCTCCTTGGTAAGTTTCCTTCTCTTGGCCTTTAGCATACCACCATCTCCTGGGATTTTTTCCTCTCTACACTGGTCCTATGCCTCCATCTCTCTGACAGTTCCAACTGATCTCAAGCTCATATTGGAGAGCTCCAGAATTAAGTCCTTGCACATCTTTTCTATCTACACTTGCTCCCTTGGTAATTCTTCTCATCTCCTGGCTTTAAATAACTTCCATATGCTGATGACTCTCAATCTTTTATCGCCAGCCCAGACCACACCAAACTTGCATATGCAGCTGCTTTCTTGACATCTCCATTTTGATGCCTAGTAGACATATGTTTTTTGTTTTTTGTTTTGAAACTGTGTCTTGCTCTGTCGCCCAGGCTGGAGTACAGTGGCACCATCTCGGCTCACCGAAACCTCTGCCTCCCAGGTTCAAGCGATTATCCTACCATAGCCTTCCCCTCCTCAGTTAAAGTTCAGGTGAAAAATTCCTCCCTCCTCCCCACACTGCCTAATTCATCAGAAAATCCTGTTAGTCCACATTCAAAATACTTCCAAAATCCACCACTTTGCATCACCTGTCCTGCTACCACACTAACCAGACGCTCACAATGACCTCCTAAATGGTCTCCCGCTTCTGCTCTCTTCAGAGCTGTTCTCTACACAGTAGCAAAAGGTATTTTGTTAAAACAAAAATCAGATCCGTGTCCCTCCTCTGCTCAAAACAAACTTGTCCAACCCACAGTATGCAGGCCACATGTGGCCCAGGATGGCTTTGAATGTGGCCCCACACAAATTCGTAAACTTTCTTAAAACATTATGAGTTTTTTTTAAAGCTCATCAGCTATCTTTAGTGTTAGTGTATTTTATGTGTGGCCCAAAACAATAATTCTTCTTCTACCATAACCCAGGGAAGCCAAAAGATTGGACAACCCTGTTTCAAAACCTTCCAGTAGCTTCATAAAAGCCAAAGTCCTCAGAATGGCCTTGGGGACCTACAGGCTGGGTCCTTCTCTGACCTCTCTGATCGCGTCTCCCACTCTTTCCCTATCTTTCTCTCTCTTCACTCCAGCCACATTGACTTTGTTCTTCCTCGAAAGTGGCAGGTCGCTCCCACCTCAGGACCTTTACTTTTACTCTTCTCTCTGCCTAGAACATTCTTTCCCCACATTTATGTGTAGTTCACGCCTAGCCTCCCTCAGGTCACTTGAATGTTACCTTCTCCGAACGCACCTCCTCCTTGCTTGATGTGCCCCATAGCTCTTAGCATCATCTAACATATTACATATTCTACTTATTTAGTCCTGCTTCTACTAGAATGTAAGCTCCCTGAGGGCAGGGATTGTGCCTGTTTTGTTCCCTGCTATATCCCCAGTTTCTAGAAGAGTGACTGGCATGTCCAATATCCATCTGTAAAATGAAGTGATGGAATGAGGGCCCTAAGGAAATATAACATGGTGAAACCCCATCTCTACTAAATACAAAAAATTAGCTGGGGCCGGGTGCAGTGGCTCACACCTGTAATCCCAGCACTTTGGGGGTCTGAGGCTGGTGGATCACCTGAGGTCAGGAGTTCAAGACCAGCCTGACCAACACGGTGAAACCCTGTCTCTACTAAAAATTCAAAAATTAGCCAGGCGTGGTGGTGGGCTCCTGTAATCCCAGCTACTCGGGGGAGGCTGAGGCACAAGAATCACTTGAACCCGGGAGGAGGAGGTTGCAGTGAGCCGAGATTATGCCATTGCACTCCAGCCTGGACAACAGAGCAAGACTCTATAAAAAAAAAATCGGCCTGGCGTGGTGGCGCACGCCTGTAATCCCAGCTACTTGGGAGGCTGAGGCAGAATTGCTTGAACCTGGAGGTTGCAGTGAGCTGAGATCGCGCCATTGCACTCCAGCCTTGGCAACAAGAGCGACGACACTCCGTCTCAAAAAAACAAAAAACAAAAACAAAAACAAAACAAGAGTTGAAATCAAGAAGGGAATCGTGCCTTGGACAAGAACAGGGGTGCCTCTTTCACTGCTCCTGATAAGAATGGATTCAGACATGTTTGTAGGTAGAAATTTAAGAATTCCCCTCTTGATTGCGTCTGATTTCTCTGGGAAATAGAAGAGAAGGAAGGACTTGAGGAGAGTAGCGATGGAGAGAGAGATCTATGGTGAAGATGGGAGGAGTTAACGGCAGCTGCAAGGGTTGATGGAGCAGCTGAAGTTGAAAACCTGGATTCGCCTTGGTACCCAGCTACCTGGTTGTGCGATTTTCCTCATCAACATCGGGGGAGTCGGGAGAAGGTTACATAAAAGGAATGGGAGCAGCAAAAATTCAAGTTTTGTCTCGGCTTTTTCTTGAAAAGACCAAAGAGAATTCTTTCATTGACTCAGTGCCTCCGTTTACCCACTCAGGCATTCATCACTAATCACTGGTCCCATGAAAGTAAAATGAGCGGAGAGTGTCTTTGACAGCAGAGAAAAAGAGAAGAGGCTGAGGAACAGGACCTCCCCCAGCCCAGTGAGAAGGGGAGTGGGGGACGTTTAGCCTTCCCTAAAAACTGAAAGTTGATACGCCCCAGGGCTCAAGTTCCGAGCCTTCTCCCATGACGCCTCTTCTTTCCCAATACCTTCCAGCTGCCCCGTCGTGTGACATTCCAGTCCACCTCTGTTCCTGCTCCACCCGCTCCAAACTCGCGTGCTTTTCCTCCACGTGGTTCTCTGTGTATATCGGTTGCCTGGGTGGCCCCAGCCGGAGGCCGGGCTCTAATGACGCCACAGTAGGAACAAGCCAATAGCCGTGACGCGACTCAGTGACGCGAGACGCGGGGTGTGGCTCTGCCGGCCCAGGCGCGATGAGGCGGCTGCCCGCTGGGTGGCGCCGATTTCCCGGGGAGGTCCCTTCTGGGCCCCCGGCGGAGGTGGGAGAGAGTCAGGCAGGAGCCGAGGCCGGGGAGCCCTCTTCGTCAGCTGGTGCTCACTGCGCCGCGCCAGCGCCAGCCGGGACTCACCCGCAGCTCCATGCTTGTGCCCGGTTCGACTCGTCCATACTCCAAGAAGAGGCAGGTACGTGCCACCTGTCGGGGATCCGGGAGGGGGGATTCGGGGATCAGTGCCGGTTTGGAGCTCAGAAAGTAAGGTGTCCACGACATTCTGGGCAGAGTGGACACTAGAAATATAGGGAGAGAGCCGGCTGTGCAGGGACGCTCCAGCTGTGTCTGCCAGTTGTGTGAGGGCTGCCTGCTGACAGCCCAGGGTGCCAGGAAGAGCCAACTGTGTGCTGATCAGTGTATTCTAAGGAAATGCTGCTTTGGCGGGTCCTCCTCGCTGTGCCCCGTGTATATCGGTGGTATGTGGCCTGAGCGACACTGACAAACCCCCTCCCCACGTGTGCGTGCAGCTCACTCGCTGCTCTTAAAGCTCCCCGGTCAGTTTGCTAAAGGGGGTTAGGGGCGGGGGTTGGGCAACAATTAAGCGGAAGGGGAGATTTTCCACCAATCCCAAACCAGAAAGAGGCAGCTTTGAAATTCTCACCAGTCCCAAACCAGAAGCAGGCACGCGGTGCTCCGGAGAGAGCAACTTCTCAACAGTCAAGGGAAGCCCTAGCCAACCCATTCTAGCCCTTCCCTGAAGAGTGAACATCCTACCTCCTGACCTGGCTGCCTTTAGAATGGGACTGAGCTGGAGGTAGTGGTAGGGGCTGCTCACCTCCCCTGGAATGGGCATGAGAACATCCCCCAGATGGACCCCCGTAAAGCAGAGGAAAGGAGAGCTGATTGGGCTAAGGTCGAGGCAGGCCCCCTCCTTTGATGCTGTAGATGCATGTCAGACTGGAGTCAGAATGAGGACTGGAATGAGGGCGTCCTCTGAAGTGCATCATTAGGACCTGGGCTGAGTCAGTAGCCTGTGCTAAGACAGGGTGGAGGCACCAGGCTGGGTACTCCCAGTCCTCGGGGAGAGCCATCGAGAAACGTCCTGGGAGCAGACAAGTGCACCAAGGCCAGAGAGGCTAAGAACCCCGTTCCTTCCTCTTGTGACCCTGCCCAGCCCGGCTCTGTGGCCCTGGAATCCTGAGCCCTCCCACAGGTAGAGTGGAACCACCCCAGAGGGGCCAAGCATTCTCCTGGTGGCCTGGGGGAAGCTGCACTTGCCGTATTTTTCTAGGCAAAGGGGGAAGGAGCCCAGATGGGCTTGGCCTTTCTCTGCTTGGTGGACTGGACGTCTAGGAAGATGGCAAGCCTTGTTTGCCCTTCCCAGTTATGGGACATGGTCAGTTCAGAAAACCAAGGGACTGTTCTCTGGCATTAGAAAGGCACACTTCCGGCCGGGAGCAGTGGCTCAAAGTGCAGTAATCCCAGCACTTTGGGAGGCCAAGGCGGGCGGATCACAAGGTCAGGAAATCGAGACCATCCTGGCTAACACGGTGAAACCCCATCTCTACTAAAATTACAAAAAAATTAGCCGGGCGTGCTGGCGGGAGCCTGTAGTCCCAGCTACTCGGGAGGCTGAGGCAGGAGAATGGCGTGAACCCAGGATGCGGAGCTTGCAGTGAGCCAAGATCGCGCCACTGCACTGCAGCCTGGGCGACGGAGACTCCGTCTCAAAAAAAAAAAAAAAAAAAGAGAAAGGAACACTTCCCCAGGAGTAACCCTCCTTTTCTCCCTAGGAAGGTTCACCTGGTAAGGCGCTATTATTAATAATACCACTAATTATAATAAGAAGTGGAAGTATTCAATATAATCATCAATGTTTATTGAACTCTATGGGCCATGAAATTTACAAATATTATTTTATTTAATCCTCACAACTGAGATAGACCACTATTATTACTATTAGTCCCGTTTTGCAGATTAAATAGCTAAGGTTCAGAGAACTTAAGTGACTTATCCACTATTTCAGAGCCAATAAGGGAAAGAACTAGCCTCCAATCCCAGGCCTAGAAGTCCATTAGAAAAGAATATTGGACTGAAACCTGAGTACTAGTCCCCTTTCTGCTTCTCGCTATCTGCACATGCCCTTGAGCAAGCTGCTTTCTTTCTCTAGGTCTACTCTATCTCAAAATTAAGAGTGGGGCTAACTGTATGGCTTCTTCCTGTTCTCTAATTCTGTGACTGACTGCTCTGGAAAATCCACTTTCTCCATATTTTTGTCTCAAGTTCCACCCCCACCCCTCTGTGCTCTTTTCAATGCTCTTTCCTCTTGAATCTCCCGATTGTTCCCCTTCAAAATGCCCCCCTTCCAAGAGTCCTCACAGACCTCCTTGGCTGGCACTGGCCCGAAAGGGCAGCCCCTCAAGGTGAGCACGCCACTGCCCCTTTAATTCTCCTGGGGCTTGGAATGCAAGTGAGTTGCACTCGCCATCTCTGCGAGTCTGCGAGGTCAGATAAGATACTATATATATCGGAGTCAGTAACCTGAGCTCCGGATTACCCAGCCCAGAGTCAGGCTCCAGCTTCTGGGCTTTCCACTGCATTCCCTGCCCTGCTGGGGAAGGAGAAGCCCCCAGCTCCCATCCAGTGCCCCTGGACACAGGTCAGTAGCTGCCCCTTTGGTATCTGAGCTTCTCTGGGACTCTACCTAGAGGAAAGACATCAGTGAATCTGGGAGAGCATGTGAGAGGCCACCCCATTGGGCCCGGTGGGTGTCAGGGGCAAGACCAAAGGCTCCTCCGGAGGCTGAGAACAGAGGAAAGATGACGCCCTAGAGGAGAAGGAAGGAGACCGGGGCTCTCCCCTTGGGAGGGGGCACCAGGAGAGTACCTGGGCAGAGGTGCTTGGAAAAGAGAATTTAAGGATCCCAATACTACCTGGAGGCCCATTTCTTTGCCTTGTCTTGGAAGTGTATAGATGCCCACCCACTCACAACCCCAAATCAAGGAGCACCCTATAGAAACTGCCCTGGGCCCATCCACTTCTTCTCCACCAGTCAGGATTCTTGCCTTAATCTCCAGTCTCTTTATCTTACCTCCTCCCCTCCCCCAGCTCTTGGGTAACTACTGGGAGCACAAGAAAGAGAAATGGACCCAAATTCCCTTGGATGACCCCCTGCCAGGGGAGGCAAGAGGATTAGGCTGGTGGATCAGCGGGTGCTAGCCCCTGATAGACAAAGCCTAGTGACAGGCTGGAGGGGAGGAGGCCAGCCCAGGCCCTGGGGCCTGAGAGGAGTAGGCGGAGTTCAAGGACTGTTTGAGCATAAATATGCCCCCGCCCCCCCATCCCCTACTCTACCCATGTCCTCTACACCTGCCAGGATTCCCTCATCCCATCCTCCAGGACCAGACACTTGTGCCCAGATAGTGCAGCAGGTGACCCAAGCAGCTGGGAGGCAGGGTCAGAGTGCAGATGGAAGGATACAGGGCCCCCTCTCACCCACCTTGTCCTTCAAGGTCAGCACATTCTGATGCTGTTAGCAAGTGGCTTTAGGAAGCTCTGAGGTCACCACTGTGGGGGCTCCCAACCACCTGGCGGGACTGGCTGGGACTCCCCACTCACCTTTTCCGGGCACCTGAGTAGGAGGGAAGAGACTTAACCCTGTTTAGGCGTGCTTCTGAAACTCAGCTAGAGGCTCTCTATCCAGGCCCCAGTAGCAAAGCAGGCTTTCACCCCAGAAAGCCAAGCAGATCTGGGCAGAGAGAAGCCATGAAGGTTACTGGGATGTGGGGCATCACCCATCCCCTGCCCCCAGGGCCAGGAGCGCCTGGAATTCCTGGGGAGCAAGTCCCTCCCCTGGCTGGGCAGGTTAGGGAGCCCTTCATGTGAGCAACAGGAAATGACAGTGGCTGAAGCAAAGGGGTTGGCTGCCCCACGGGGACAGGGTTCATTTTAACCCCTGACTCACCCAGCATGGGTACCTTGAGGAGTGGGCCAAGCTGCAGCCAGGGTAGGAGGCTAGGGACTTGCTCATAACCAGGCCAGGGACCCAAGGCCCCGAGCTGGGGTAGATGCTGGTGCCAGGGGACATGCAGGGGCTTGGCACAGTGGGTGAAATGGAGGCTTCCTGGACCATCTCTCGGCCTATCAGTATTGTTCTGGGGCTCGAGTTGCACCTGGCTTCACTTTCATTCACCTGCAGTGGAAAATCCAGAGGGCTGCTCCTGCCAGAGTCTGTACACCGCATGCTGTTACTGGATGACGGACACCTGGATCCTGTGGTGGTCCTTCCCTCAAACCCCACCCACAGGTCCCAGTCCTGACCCGTCCCATGGAGAGCCAGGGAAGAGTGAAGCAGGGGTCTGGGCTTCAGGCCAGATATAGCAGACAGAGCACGAGTCCAGCCCAGCTCTGCCACTGCTCCCAGTGTGACTTTGGGAAATCCACATCACTCCCAGCATCGCCAACTTCCTCATCTGCAAATGGACGTGATAACAGCACCTACCGCTTAAAGGAGCAGGGAGGATTCAGTGAGTTAATGCACTGTGTCCCAAGCCTTAGTGCAGTTTTAAGCTTTAATAACTTCAGAAATATGAATGCTAAAAACTTCATTTGAAAGTTTCCATATTTAAATTTCTTGTATATTTATTTTTTAATTGTGAAAATGTTTTTAAATTTTAATTTAAATAATTTAATCTGTCCAAAGAGGTGTGTAAGTTGGAGACATTTATGTCTGAAAGAATCCCAGCTTAAACCTGCACTAAGACTTTTTGGGGTGCTCTGTGTATGAAGCACATCTAGAAGAATGCGTCACATGGCAAGGGCCGATGAGAGCTGATGTGAGACTGCAGAGAAGATGGACTCAGAAGCTGCATGTGAAGTACTCAACATGCCTGGGGCCTGGTTCAGAGGTGATCAGCACCAGCCAGCTGGGGTGACAGCTGCTTGGCTCAGATGCCCTGACAGGAAGCCCAGTGCCTCTGTGCAGAGGAACTCTGCTGCACCTCCCAGGAGAGGGAAACTGAGCAAAGCAACAGGAATCTCTGACAGAGAAGGAAGGGTCAGGACACCTCAGTGAAGATGGCCAGGAGGAGGAGCTGGGCAGGGGACTGCCCCCATTGTCCAAGGTGGCGGACACCTGGAGAGGCGCTGCCTGGAGCTGCATGCCTGTACTTGCCAGCTCTGGGTAAACAGTGAAAGGAGCTGGGCAGCAGGGGCCCCCCGCACTGGGCAGGGAGGGGTATGGGGGATCCCAGCCAATTGGCTTGCCTCCCACTGCCCCATGAAAGGGCCATTCAGTTCAGGCTGTTCCTGTGGCAACAGGGAGACTCGCAGCCACGTGAGTGCCCGTCCTGTCCCTGTCTTGCGCAGCGAGACTCCGGCCAGGGCCCCAGCCCGCTCTCCTGCCCATAGTGCATTCTGTGGCCTCCAGGGACAGCTGTGCAGGTAATGCCAAGGGGCACCAACCCAGGCTGTGCTTTCACCTGGAAGGTGCTAGGACCTTTGAGAGTGAAACTGGGGGTTGCGGGAGGGGAGAGACATGTGGAAGGCCCCGGCCCCAGTAGGAACCCTCTCCGCAGGCATGGGAACTGTAGCTAGAAGTCAGAGCCGAGAGGCAGCTTCCATGGAGTATTAGTGATGGCATGACTCCCAGGGCTGCTAGGAGGAGGCGGAGGGGTCTGGCAATCACCTGCCAGATGGGAGGGAGAGTGGGGATTTGGGAGCCCTCCTGGGAATCTGTGGGCCAGAGATGTGGCCCCACCTCCGGCTCCAAAGCCTTTCAGAGCTGTCTGTCCCTGTCCTCTGGACCTCGTTTGGCCCCAGCACTTCTGCGTCATCAGCAGGGTCAAGGGATGTCACGGGCTTGGGGCGCTGCCCGAAGAATACCAATTCCCTGAGAGCCTTACTGTGGGGGAGGGAGAGGGAGAGCTGTGGGGAGGAGCCATGAGCTCATACCCTTGTTGGGGGGATTGTATCTGATTGGCTGCCTGGTGTCCCAGAGCCCAGCTCCTGAGACCTGGAGTCTCTTTGACTTTGCATTATTGATGGAGTTCTCCAAAGCAAAATAGGGCAGGACTGGGCCCCCACCCCGACCCTGTGCCTCTGTCTGTCTCTCCCGCTATGGTTTCCCTCTAACGCTGTGTGACATCATCCCCCAGTTACCTTTTCCTAGAAAGGGGTGAAAGTTGTGCTGGGCACAGTGGGCAAAGGAGTGTACATGAAGGGCCAGGGGCCCCCTGGGCCAGGTGGCAAAAGGCTAGACAGTAAGATGGACCAGGCCTTTCTGATGTCAGCCTGGACTGAAAACTGCTGGAGTTCTCAGGCAGGGTCAAGGAATGCTGTTCCGGGCCTATATGGAAGCCACCTGCTCATCTCTCACCCCTGTACCTACCCCAAAGCCTTGTGTGGACTGGGATTCTAGAGCTTTCTGCCAAGCCCTCGCATTTGGGGTTTGGCACCAGCTCCTCTCTGCCCTAATGGGCTGGGTTGCCAAGCCAGTGTCTGCTGAGTGGCCAGATGTCTGCCCACTGCCTGTTTCTCTCGCTGGGGGCTGCAGGGGGAGGCCTGGCATCCCAAGCTGAGGCCAGAGGCTGGCCAGGCTGGGAGACAGCCAGCCCTGATATTATCACAGACCTTCAGAGGGCGGAGCCATGCTGCCTCGCAGTAGCTGGGGGAGGAGATGGTAGCCACTGTCATTGTGGAGCCCTTCACGTGTTGTTATCTCATTTATTCCTCACAACAGCCCTGTGAGGTAGGAATTATGAGGATGATGGTTTTACTCATTTACAGATGAGGAAGTTGGGGCTCAGAGAGGTTACGTGACTAGTGCAAAATCACCCAGCTAGTCCATCACAGGGCAAGTCCCACAACTCTGAGAGTCCTGGATGGCTCTGCTCCATCCCCCTAGAAAGCCCCCCAAGAGCCCCTGATGCCCTCGGGGAAAGGCGTCTGACCCTACTTGCTCCTCTGCCACTCCAGCTCCATTGGATACAGGCTGCACGTTTACGGTGATGGAAGGCCTCTGGGGGTCCCCAACTGACCCTAAATCTGATGCGGGGGAGGTAACTCCAGGTTAAGTAGAAAGAACACTGGCCAGGATTTTAAAGACCTGGATTCCAGTCCTGGCTCTGCTGGTGTGTGGCCGGGGGCAAATAAGCATCACTTTTCCCATCTGTATAACAGATAGATTAAAATTCATGATCCTCTGGGGCTCTCAAAGCTCCACATTCAGCAGTGTCTGTGTTCCTTCACTAGACCCTCCCCAGCTGCAGGACTGGAGCAGGGAAGGACTGGGAATGCCACCTGCAGTGCAAGATTTGGGACTGTAGGGGGCCCCCTTTGCACAAGCATCGCCAGGACCAATTTGAGATCTGTGTTTGTAGAGGAAGCCTGTGTTGGTAGAGGAACTCTTAGGAGGCCACAGGGCCCTAACTCCACTTAGAACAGAAGCTTAGCTCAGTGAAGTGAGTGTCCCTCACTGTGGGACCATGCAGCAGGTGCTGGTGTCTGGGGAAAGGGTCTGGAGACCACGTTCTGGCCCCTCATTGTTGCATGCTCACTCACGGCCTCCCCTGCCCACCCACACCCCATTACTTCCTCCCCTGAGCCTCCTTGGCCTCACAGGGGATCTGACCAAATGATCTTCAGGTCATTCCAGCACAGACAGTCTAGGATTCCAAAAAGACACCTGCTCATCACATAAGTCAGAAGGGACAGATGTGGTCTTAACTCCTGAAATATCCAGCATTCTCAACCCAGGGGTCAGTGGCATTCCCCCAGCTCAAGAGTTTCTGCAGATGCTGAGGCAATGGGATTTGACCTGGAAGACTGCACGGCTTGGTGGGCTGTGGAGGTCAGATAGCCCCTGCTTGCGTGTTTGAGTCTTTGAATGGCCAGGATGCGCTGACTTCCTGTGTGGCATATAAAAGCCACCTCATCCCTCGCACTCTCACCGAGGTGTGAACACACAGGTGCAAGCAAGCTCCTGTGCACACCTGCGTGCATGTGTGCTTCTCAGCAGCCAGCCTGCCTCTTGTGGAAATGGACTGGGAGCTCTGAGGTTCTGGCCCAGCTGAGGATGGGGAGCAGGTCTGTGGGAGCCCGACACCTGGCAGGGCCCTCTGACAACTACACTCCTTGTCTTTCAGCCCATGAGGCTCCCAGTCCCCACTGAGTGCCACCCTGAAGGATGTCCCAGCTCTCCTCCACCCTGAAGCGCTACACAGAATCGGCCCGCTACACAGATGCCCACTATGCCAAGTCGGGCTATGGTGCCTACACCCCGTCCTCCTATGGGGCCAATCTGGCTGCCTCCTTACTGGAGAAGGAGAAACTTGGTTTCAAGCCGGTCCCCACCAGCAGCTTCCTCACCCGTCCCCGTACCTATGGCCCCTCCTCCCTCCTGGACTATGACCGGGGCCGCCCCCTGCTGAGACCCGACATCACTGGGGGTGGTAAGCGGGCAGAGAGCCAGACCCGGGGTACTGAGCGGCCTTTAGGCAGTGGCCTCAGCGGGGGCAGCGGATTCCCTTATGGAGTGACCAACAACTGCCTCAGCTACCTGCCCATCAATGCCTATGACCAGGGGGTGACCCTAACCCAGAAGCTGGACAGCCAATCAGACCTGGCCCGGGATTTCTCCAGCCTCCGGACCTCAGATAGCTACCGGATAGACCCCAGGAACCTGGGCCGCAGCCCCATGCTGGCCCGGACGCGCAAGGAGCTCTGCACCCTGCAGGGGCTCTACCAGACAGCCAGCTGCCCTGAATACCTGGTCGACTACCTGGAGAACTATGGTCGCAAGGGCAGTGCATCTCAGGTGCCCTCCCAGGCCCCTCCCTCACGAGTCCCTGAAATCATCAGCCCAACCTACCGACCCATTGGCCGCTACACGCTGTGGGAGACGGGAAAGGGTCAGGCCCCTGGGCCCAGCCGCTCCAGCTCCCCGGGAAGAGACGGCATGGTGAGTTTACCCTTGGGGACCGGGGATAGGCTGGGGAGGCAGCCACTGATGGAGAACAGCCAGGCTGAGGGCTCGACTCCCAACCTGACTGATGACTGACAGGCTGCTCCTGGTGGAGACAAACAAGAGAAGTCATCCTGGCACATCTGGTGCCCCTGGGGCTCCGTGCCGAGGGGAGGGGCCTTCCCACTCTGCCTAGAAAGCCCACTCAGGGCCCGCGCACTCGAGGATAGTCCAGTAGTGTTCTCAGGAATGCTCTGCTGCGCCCAATGAACCACTCTTCTCACCTTCTCCTTTTCTATGTGACATGCCAGTGTCTCCTGCAGGCCTTGCCCCAACCTGGGCTGGATGCGGGGGGGCCCAGACCACCAGTGCACCCTGTGGCAGGAGGGCCTCCTTGCTGTGGTTGCATCTCCCCTCTTGTGCAGGCTTTATTCCCTAGCCCCAAGGCCTGGCTTTACATTTGGACATAAGACATCAGGGGAAGAGGGACTCTCCTCTGAGTGACACTGGCATACTCAGGACCAGGGTATCAGACAGCAATGCTTATCATCTGGCTTTGGAGAAAGTAGGGGAGAAATTTTTATCTAGGGCTTGAGACAATCCAATACCTCTATTCCAGCCCTGCCTCAGCTGGAATGAGGGAAGAGGCTCTGCTGGAGACTGACCAAGGGCTGGCATGGGCTCGCTCGCCAACTAATGCCCGCACACGCCTCTCTTGGGGCACTGACGACATCTGCCTTTTCTGTAGTTATTAGTGTGCCCATTAGGTGGCAAGCTCTCAGAGGAGGAAAAAGAAATCCTATCTCTAGATCCCCTGCCACGTGCCTCCCACAATGGGGGCTGACCTGCTGATTGCAGGGATGAATGGATGGATGGATGTGTGGGTGGTGGGTGGGTGGATACACGGGTAGATGGCGGGTGGACAGATGGACAGGCAAGCATATGGGCAGAAGGGCTGGATGCTGTGTCTCCTCCATTACCTTATGTACCCCTCCCTACTCCTAGGACAAATACATTTTGAAAACAACAGCATGCCACAGCAAGAAATACTGCTTGGAGGGCTGATCCAGACAAATGCAGCAGGGGTTCAGGAATAGGGGCAGGACCTTGAAGCTTGCATAACTAAAGGTCTTGAGAGAGCAACTTTGATAATATGACTTAGGGAGTCTTGGCTTTGTTGTGCCATCTGTGAAGTGGCACAGGAGATAGAAACGCTGGTGCCTCCCAGAACATTCAGAACTTGACAAGGCAGGGCTGGATCCACTGTAGAAAGGAGTGGAGAAGAGAGATGTGTCACAACAGAGCTGGCATGGTGGGGAAGTATCAGCTCTCAGGGTGCTGCGTGCTGGGCTTGGAGTGGAGCAGGACTCACTTGGACTCGGCTGGTGCTGTTCAACCCCAGGGCAATTAGAATATGGCTCTCCTCGGAGGGGCTCGGGTCCTAGAAGCCTCTGCGGGGCTCCCTCCCCTTGCTCAGAAGAGAAGGGTTGTTTCATGGTCAGCAGTGCTCCTTAAAGTGGGGTCTGCAGACTGCCTGTGTCAGAGTCACTGCAGGGCTTAACGATTCATCCAAACCCACTGAAGCAAACTCTCTCGGGATGGGGCCTGGGAAGCTGCTCTTTCCACAAGCTCTTTGGGTGATCTCTAGGCATGCTGAGATGGAAAACCTCAGCGCAGACTAAACTACAGACCCACCCTCAGCCCCAATCATGACAGCAGTATTCCCCTTTACTGGGGATCAGATTCCACTGGGAATCTGCCTCCTCCCCACACAGGCATGGCCCAACCCTCCTGGGAGTCTGCCGCCCTCCAACTCTCCAGAAGGGACAACCCTGGCTCCTCCCCCCGGCTCCAGGGCCAAGGTGAAGGGAATTTTGAGAGAGGACCTCAAAGAAGTGGCAGATTGCCCTGGGACAAACTCAGCCACCCTCATCCAGAAGCAACTCATAAGGCACTTTAGCCGGGAATGCCCTGCAGTTGAGCTAGTGTTTCATTCTGAGCTCATGCCCCAGAAGATACTGCCAACCAGCAGAGGCCTCTCCAGGGTCAATAGTACAAGACCTTTATTTAACCTCACCCTGATCTCTCCACCCCTTATCGTCATTTCCTGGAGCAGAGTGCGTCTTGCTGAGGTGAGAACAACCCTGCTCGTGCGGCCTGGACCACTTCTTTCTAAAACTGGGTCCAGTTTCTTTCTAGATCTCCATCTGGGGATCTTGCCTTCTGAGGCACTCATTTGTGGTGCTCAGCTTACTAGCAGCGTGACCTCAGATAGGTCCCTTAGCTTCTGAACTTGTGTCCTCCTCTGTAAGATGAGTGATCATAGTTCCCACTTCACAGATTACTTGAGGAATGAAAAGATAATGTATGTGAAAGTGCCTGGCATGTTGCTTAGTAAATGTTAGTCCTCGTTGTTGTACCCTTCTGGTGCTTTGGCAGGCAAGAGATGTGTGCGAGCAACAGTCCCTGCCTTCAGTGCCTTCACAATTCACTTAGGGAAATAAGTTTGTTTTGTTTTGTTTTTTTGGAGATGGAGTCTCGCTCTGTCTCACTCAGGTTGGAGTGCAGTGGTGCGATCTCGGCTCACTACAACCTCCACCTCCCAGGTTCAAGTGATTCTCCTGTGTCAGCCTCCCAAGTAGCTAGGACTACAGGCGTGTACCACCACACCAGGCTAATTTTGTATTTTTAGTAGAGACGGGGTTTCACCATGTTGGCCAGGCTGGTCTTGAACTGACCTCAGGTGATCCACCCGCCTCGGCCTCCCAAAGCGCTGAGATTACAGGTGTGAGCCACCACGCCTGGCCAAGAAGAAGTTCTTAAATAGGTACAATGGGAGGCAGCCCTGGGTGTTCTTGAGTGTCACAGGTGGACGGAAAGGGAGAGGTCATCTGAGGCTGGGACGGGCTGCTCGTGACCAGTGGAAGGAACAGTTGGCCTCTCTAACCTTGGACACCTATCAGCTGGGCTGTATTTCCTAGACTATAAAAGGGAACAATCACGCCCGCCCTGCCCACCTCTCAAGCATGCCATGAGGCTCAAAGCAAATAATGAAGGTGGAGGAATGTGAAATCAATAAAATGCTGCAGAAGAGGTCATTTAAACTTAAGGGGGGAAAAGAGATCATAGAAAGGGGGCGTTTGGCAGCTGACTAGAGTAGGAAGCCCCCTCCCCACCAACCCCGTGGGAGAAACAGAGGTAAAAAAAAGTACATCCTGTGTCCCAGGGGATTCTCAGGATAGCTGACTGGAGCTACAGCTGGCATTCATTAAGGGAGGTCAACAGCAGGCTGTGACCAGGGAGAACAGTTCTAGCCAGACTTCTTTCCCTCATTAACAGTAATAGGCAACACGAACTTTGAATATCACAGACTCAGCTGAGCATGAGCACAGAGCTGGCGGGGGGCAGGGGCGGGTGGCAGGGGGCGCCACATAAATTCAGAATTATCCCCTCCCCATGCTTGTGTAAGCACCAACAAAATGCCAGGCCAGGGGGGCGCAGCTCAGCACTTGTATAATGAGGGCCTCCCCTGAGACTTCACCTTCTGCTTAAAATGCAGAGAGGAGGAACAGTGATGGTGGAAAAAAAGTGTTCACTAACCCAAGTGGGGACTCCAAGCCAGCTCAGGTGGCTCAGCCCTGCAGAGACCCAGGAGCCCCAGTCCCAACCCTGTCATCTCCCTACTCTGCCCCACTTCTCCTGTTCCCGGGGTCTATGGAAGGACGAGCTGTTCCCATTGAGCCCTGCCAGGGCTGCGCTTTAACCCCTACAATCCTTCCTAATCCCCCTCAGCTCCACCCCTCCAGCTGCTCCTCCCTAGCCCTGGCATTCTGCCCGCTGGCCTCTGCCCAGCCCTTGCCCCACCCTGCCCAGGCCACCCTCTCCTCTCCCCAAGAAGATCCAGGGGTTGGCCCAGGGCCCTCCAGAGCACAGTCAGCAAGCTGGGCACCTGCAACTCGGAGGCAGAGCCAGGGCTGAGGCTCAGAGTCTGGCCCAGCCTATTCTCACCCACCCAGTCTCTTCCACACCCTTGCCCTCCGCTCTAGGACCTGTTTCTAGGAGCAAAAGGTCTGGGAAACTGAATACCTGGGTCCTATTTGCCACTGGGGCTGCTGACTCATCTTCCGAAGCCTTGGGTTCCAGCTGTTCAGTGACAGGGAGATTATATAAGCTGAGGTCATGTGATTTTTCCCTGGGGTGGGACTTTGGACTTGAATGCTGCCCTGCAGTGAGCGGAGGTTACTCCAAAGAGAACAAATTGCGGATAGCAGGGGCTGTCCTGGAGCTCCTAGGTGAGAAGTACAACTCGCCTCTCGTCCCTCATGTTCTCGCTCCGTTCACGCAGCCACACTGGCCTGTATCCCTGCTGCCTTGTTTGTCTAGCTTGGCAGCCTGAGATCCTGGGGTCTGTCCTTACCTACTCCCACCCCGGGATCACTAAGCCACCCTAAGGAGGTTGAACTTCCTGAGGTCATGAATCTGTGTTGGCAGCATGAGAAGGTCACTAAAGGACCTTAAGCCAGAGGGGCCCCTTGGCCAGGAGCTGTACTAGCTGCTGCGAAGGAAAGGGCAGTGGGTTTGCGGTTTGTGACTAGAATCAGCAAGACACTGATGTCTCCATCCCTTGCAGACCGGCTGTGGGCTGTATCCTGGCCGTTAGCCTTGGTACTGCCTTATCCAGGCTCAATTTCTCAATCGGTGCCCAGCACCATCCTCCCGCCTCCTCCTCCACCCCCACTCCAGGATGTCTTCATGAGTTAATGTGGTGCTGGGGTGGGGCTCAGCAATGCAGAAGTTAATCCAAGCCTGGCAAAATGTTCCTTGCCCCTGGGGGAGCCGCTCCACTGACCACCAGCTGCAGAAATGAACATCATGTTCAGAGCCCAAAGCTGCACACGTGGCCCCTTGTACTCTCTCACCTCAATACGTACATAAAACTAGCGCCCCAGACGGAGACACATGCAAAAGAAGGAGGTGTGTGGGCCTCTGGAATCCAGCTGGTTCAGGCCAGACTGCCTGGGCTCAAAGGTGCACAGAGCTTTTGGCCTCTTGGGGTCCACGTCATGCAGGGAAGCAGACCTTCCTACAGAGAGTGGGGAGGATGGGCTGACCCTCTCTCCCCAAGGTGCACTGTGGGGCAAAAGCCCAACCCCTAACAAGGACTCAGAGCCCCTACCTTTTCATCCATCAATCAATCAGGCCACCGGTCTGTCCATTTGCGGTGGTAATCGCAGGCACATGCTGGGAGCCAGGCTTTAAGACATCTGCCTTAGCCCCAGCAGTGTCACCAAACCCTGGCCTAAGCTGCCCACGCAGATCTGAGAGAAGCAGAATACTCTCAGTCCCCGCCCTCATAGAGCTAGCCCTAACTTTCATTTATATCACTCCATCTCATGCCAGGAAGGATTTAAGGTGACAAAAATTACTTATCCTATAGGGAAGCAGGCCAAGCCCAGGTTCTGAGGAACGGCAGTCAGGATGCAGGAATGAGCCCAGCTCAGTTTAGCTTTGTGTATTTGAAGCACAGAGAGTCACTGAGCCAGAGCCAGATTCAGATGCCAGAAGCCTCTATCCTTTGTATCCATCCCACTCCGAGAATGGCAGTGAAGAGAAAGGGTCTCACAGAGACCTGGCTGGCCGAGAGATGAGCCAAGGTCCTTTGTGGCCGTGTCCTGCAGCAGTCGGACCTGCTTGACTAGACTGGACTCTGTGTGAATTCTTTCCCCCAACCCCAGACTTCTCAAAGTGCTCCCACGCTAAAGCTTTCTGCATCTGGCCCTCCCTGCTCCTGGCAACCCCTCTAACCTCCTAAATCCCAGGGAAGAGGGAGAGCAAGCTGGCAGAACACCCAGATGTCCTGGGTGGGAGTGCTTACATCACTGTGTCTAAGTCATGGGGAAACAGGCCAAATGCTATAGTGGGTGAGCACCTCTTGGGCAGGTCCCCCCAAGCCCAGCAGCACATGTGTTCAACATGCAAAAGCAGACTCACACCCCACCCTCTGAGGCTTAGTGTGACTCCCAGGATTCCTAGCAGAGCCTGGTCTGGCCCTCTTTAGAGACAAGATCAACACCATTTATTAAGAACCCACCAAGAGAACCCACAACCCTGCCCTTGAGGAGGTTTCAGTGTGCTGGCAAAACCAAGACAAGCCACACACAAGACCATTTATAGGACTCTTTGAAACACTTATAAAGCAAAGATAAACATATTAAGATAGATTAACACCATGCAAACTGAATGCGCATAGACTGACGATATGCAGTAATGGAGAGTTTAGAGATGGGTGGAGTTAATTAGGGAAGGCTTTTGGAAGATGCAAATTTTAGGCAGAATTTACAAGTAGGTAATTGGCAGAGAGCAGGAAGTACATCCCAGAATTTCCTGTTAAAAGCATGGGTTTTGCTGTAAGACAAAGCCCCACATTGTCATTTATTAACTTTGCAGTCCTGGAAAGTCATTTGACCTCTCTAGGCTTAAGGTCCTTCACCTATAAAACAGAGGTAATAGGCCGGGCGTGGTGGCTCACGCCTGTAATCCCAGCACTTTGGGAGGCTGAGGTGGGCGGATCACTTGAGGTCAGGAGTTCATGACCAGCTCGGCCAACATGGTGAAACCCCGTCTCTACTAAAAATACAAAAATTAGCCAGGCGTGGTGGTGCGCACCTGTAATCCCAGCTACTCAGGAAGCTGAGGCAGGAGAATTGTTTGAACCCGGGAGGCAGAGGTTGCAGTGAGCCGAGATCGTGCCACTGCACTCCAGCCTGGGCGACAGAGCAAGCCTCCGTCTCAAAAAAAAAAAAAACAAAACAAATAAAATAGAGGTAATAGTTACTACAGCATGATGTTATAGAAATTAACTGGGATAATATATATAAAACCCTTAACCCAGTGCCTGGGATCTAATAAGTACTTAATGAGTGGCAGTTTTGGTTTTTCAGCAGAGGATAAGCACAGGCTGGTTGACAGCAGTGGTCAAAGACTGAGGGTGGTGGGCCTGTGGACAAACAGCCTTAGAGAAAGGCTACCTGAGGCTTCGGGGCTGGATGCAAGGGCAGGTGCTCTAGTTGTTTCAGGACAGAAGAGTGATGAGATCAGATGCAAACATTGCTTCAGATGGTGTAGGGCTGGCTTGAAAGCGTTTGGCTGGAAAGGAGGCTTGGAGAAAGGCTGCTGCAGTTTGTCCGGGGTCCAGATTCAGTCAGAGTCTGGGTGAGGACAGTGACTGTAGAGATCACCACTCCTCACATGCCCACTCTCACTGATCACAAGCAGACTGCCTGTGGTTCCTGTCCCCTGCCCCCTCCTCCCACCACACTGCTGGCACACAGGGGAGGGGGCAACTGTCCCCATCCCTCTCTCATTAGCATGAAATTGCTGCTTTGTCGGTGGCCTGGGGTACTGCCATACGTGTGTCCTGGACACAGTCCCCATGTAGCTGTGGTCATGTGTGCGTGTACATGTGGGGATGAGCACACCAGAAGGAACAGAAGGAGCCCACAGATGAGTAACAGCATACACTGCTGCCTCTTGGAGTATTTTTAAATGCTAAAAATACTGGCTAAAAATAGCCAGCAAGCTCCAAACAAGATACTTTCTCTAGGCAGATTCGTGAGCTTCCCTGTTAGGTGGAGGGGTGGGGCATCAGAAACGAAATCTAAAGACCCCTGATCTTCCAGCATGGCTGTGCTTGACGCCAGAGTAGAACACTCGCCCCATGCCAGCTGAGCGCCTATTTCCCCACTATTGTATTGCTTTCTCCCCAGCTCCCCAAAACAAGTCAAATTTGAGAATGGGAGAGCCGGAGCTGGGTAATTGGTTAGAAGAGACCAGAAAAGGTTCTTTTCAGGAGCCAAATGAGAAGGTGACCTATTGGACCTTATAAAACATGAGCACTGCCTCTCTTGAAAGAAGCCAAACAGGACTGTTTTGAGGAGGGCAGCTCAGCCCCTAGGCCGTGAAGGTCCATCTTCTTAACCTGGGCACATTGACCTCCACAGACTGCATGAGTTTGGGTCTTCACGAAGGCCTGAGTACCCCCGGAACTCTAGACAAAAGTTTGTGCATATACGTATTTCGCCCTGAAGAGAGAAGAGCTTTCATCACGTTCTCAAAATGGTTTGCAGCCCCCTCAAGAGTTAGGAAGTGTAATGGTGCCTTGGGGGAAGCTCACCCGGTTGCCACTGGGTCTTGGGGAGACGTCCTCTGCGGGCCCCAAAGATCACTTATCCCGAGCTGAGCCTCAACCCCGAGGCCGGCCAGGGCCTCAGGGCTCCGGTCCTGCCTCCCCCGCGGGCCTGCCTGGCCGGGGGTCAGCGGGCTGGGGGCGCCGGGGAGCGCGGGGAAGGCCCGGCGGGGGAGGACCGACCTTGTCGCCTCGTTCGGGTCCGCGTGCCGGCGCCGGGGGCGGGGTAGAGGCGAGGTGGGGCGGGGCTTAGGGCCTGGCCCCGCCCCAGCGCTGACGTCGCGGGGCCCGAGGCGCCGGCGGGGCCGCCAGTCGGCCGGAGCGCGAGAGCCGGGACCCGGGCTGTTGGCGGCGCACGCCGGGGAGGTTGAGGCGGAGGAGCGCGCGTTCGGGCGCCGCGGACGCTGTCCTGTAGCGGTCTCGCCGGCCTCGGCGTCCGGACTGTGGCACCGCGCGGGGACTCCCCCCGCGCCCCCGCTGCCAACGTTAAGCGAGGGCCAAAGCCCGCCGCCCGCCCCCCAGCATGCGCACCTCGTACACCGTGACCCTGCCCGAGGACCCCCCCGCCGCCCCCTTTCCCGCCCTCGCCAAGGAGCTGCGGCCGCGCTCCCCTCTCTCCCCGTCCCTGCTGCTCTCCACCTTCGTGGGGCTCCTGCTCAACAAAGCCAAGGTACGCGGGCCCTTTTCCGGGACCCCCGCGCCGAGGGCCTGGGGTCCCGCCTTCTCCCTGGCCTCTGCCCGCCACGCGCCCCTAGGTGAGGGGACGGATTCTTCCCAGCCCCCACCCCTCCTTTCCCAGGGTCTCCTGGCAAGGAATGCCCCCTCCTCAGGTGATCGCACGCTTACTCGTGGTCCCCTCCCCGGGTGGAGGTCCGAGGAAGTCCCCCTTGCCCCCTCCCTCTCGGTGGCCCCGGCACCAGGTGGTGGCTCTTGGCCTCTCAATTCCTGGCACCTATCAGGACAGGTGCAGGAAAGCATAACCTTGACTGGGTCTCGATCGGTGTGCGAGGGCAGCACGCTGGACCGTGCCGGGGTACTCCTCCGAGGCCAAACCCCGGCGAGGAAGGCTGGGCAGAAAGGGGCCGCCTCCCCTTCACTGTCCACCAAGGGCTCTTTCCCAAGGGTTGGTGACGGGGGTCCTTTGACCCTGTGAAGGGCAGACGAGGTGCAGACAGGTGACAGAGGGCAACTTCCCCTTCTTTCCGTCCTCTCCATTTATGCAGCGGGCAGCGGGTCCCTCCGCGGAAGCAGCCCCCAGGGGAATGCCGGGGCCGAGGCTGGGCGCTGCCCGCCTGGGGAAGGGAGAAGGGGCCCGAGCTTTGACAGGTCTTATGTAACAGGCACCAGCTCCCGTGCTGGCAGTGCGTGCCCTGCCCCGTGCCAGGGCCACACCAGGCTTCCTAGCTGCAGCCAGGACTTGGGGCGACCCTCACCACACAGGTGAGGTAGGCGGGAAAGCCCTTGATTGGGGTCTCAAGTGTGAAGACACAAACCTCGGCCTCTCCTACCGAAGGGTGCCCAGATGCTACCTCTGCATTAACCCAGGCAGGGCTCTCCTGAGCCCCCGCTCCTCTCCTCTAGAAGGTGAAAGCTGTCTATTTGCTGATGGTGAAGGTGCCATCTGCTCCCTGCAACAGTGCTTGATACTGAGTCAAAACTAGGTTTGCTGATGGCTGAATGGAAGGAAGACTGGGTCCAAACTTTCTCAACTCTTTGCACATGTGTCCCAGCATAACACTTGGGGTCATTTCCTTCTCTGGCTTTCACCGAAAGAGGTTGGCTGTGCAGGGTCTCCCACCTTCTGCAGTTCTGGCCCCTTTCTCCCTGTCGACCCTGAGGTAGGATTGTTTGTCCTGTAAGAAAGGTCACTCTGGGGACATTTTGTTCCCCTCTGTAATGAAAAGTGCTGACTTTCCCTGGAGCTCCTGATTTCCTATTCTTGGCAGAAGAATATCTGGCTGGGCATGGAGCAGCCCTGCTCCCCCTCCTCTGTCGCCCCCACTCCTGTTATCCACCCGCCTTCTACACAGAGCACCTAGAAACTGGCATGTGGTTTTGAGCTGAGGAAATTTTAGACAAAGGCATCAACCCCCACCCTAAAACATAACAACCAAGGGTCCTAAGGATGCCTTAAAGGAGCTTCTCCCATCTCCCCACCCCCCAGGCCAATAGAGGGGTTAGATCCTCAAGAATAGTAATCGTGGGTGACGAAGTGTCCTTCTTGCCCCTCACTGCTGGGTCAGAATTAAGTGTCAACATCTTAAAACACCACAGGAGTGCTTCTGTAGACAGATGACTCCGTTTTCCCATTTCCCTACCCCCATTAGCACTGAGTGACTGTTGTCTCAGCTGAGGGCCTGCTTTGGTGAACATTGACACGGTCACCAGTGGTAGAATGCTTTCCCCTACAGCCTGTTTAGACAGATGTCATCTGAGGCACAGGGGCTAAGAACTAATAAAGCACTGCCAAAAATAGACGTAAGGGTGGGTATTCTGTTGTGGGCAAGCTTTAACATTTAGTTCCGAGTGCGCAACATGGAGACTTTTGCAGCGTTTCACCAATTCTGGAAAATGCTGAGAAGGTCTTTGTCCCAGGGAATTATCTCTGTTGCGGCCCTCTTGCTGACTGTCAGTAAGTCAGATTCAGATGTTGTGTGGGGCCATATACTGCCAGCCCTAGCCAAGTTCTCTAAGGATGCTTATATCCCACCTGCTGCCAATTGGCCTTTCTCTCTAGCTGCAGGTTTAAACTGGGTCTCTTTTCTGGGTATATTTTTCTTCCCTACCTGTTAGTGCTAGCCCTGACAGCTGGCCAAGAAGGGATCCTCTTACTTGTGGGATCGGTAAGGCAGTTCTTGAGAAAAGCCCTCCTTCAGCCTGCTCCTCCCCCACCCACACCCCTCCCCCCCAGCTGACAACCTCATGGGCTTTGAGCTGCTGACAGCCTCATAGGCTGTCAGCACACGGCATGAGTAATTTTAGCTGAGTTATTTCAGGCTCCTGTTCTGATCAGGGCTGAGCTGGCCCCACGCATGCCCCAGTGTTGCTCCAGAGTTGCCTGCTCCCAGTCCCCTCCCTGAGAGAGGGGGTGGCAGACTCATCTGCAAACTGTTTATTTAACCCTTTGAGCCTGAAGGTTTTCTGACTCCTTGGAGATATGCCCAGGATTAGCCAAGAGACCTTGACAAATAAGCTCAGAGTCCTCGATCCAGCACCTGTTCTCTCTCCAACCCCCTCACCCGCCTCCGCTATAGGGCCAACAGCAAGAGTGGCAATTTCAGCCAGGCCCTTGCCTCTGCGGGCCCAATCTGCCATCTCCAGGATTCCCAGACAGTGGCCAGTCAGGATGTTGAAACCTGAGCCAGGCAGGGAGGATTCTCCGAGTCTTTAATCAGCCCTTAGGAGCTGAGCTCAGCTGGAAGGAATTCCACCTGTCTCTGGCAATTCAGAATGGCAGGCTTACTTGAGTTTTTCCCAACTGAAGATCGAAACTCAAGGTGTTTTGTTGTTTAACTTTTCAAAACCTCCTCAAAGTGTCTCTTATGAGAGTTACTTTATATATTGGACTTCTAGGAGTACAAATATAGGTCATTTGAGATAGCACCTGGATTTGGGACTCAAAATTTCTTATAGTAAGGAGTCAATATGTACCAAATATATGAATTCCTAGTCTCCACTGTAGCAGAGAATAGAGAATAACATAAAGATGGGGGGCAGGGAGATACATAGTCAATACACACTCAATAAAGCCCTGAAGAATATTTTTGTTGGTTGTTGAAAATAACAGGCATTTAGGCAGGACGCGGTGGCTCACGCCTGTAATCCCAGCACTTTGGGAAGCTGAGGCAGGTGGATCACCTGAGGTCAGGAGTTCAAGACCAGCCTGGCCAACATGACGAAACCCTGTCTCTACTAAAAATACAAAAAATTAGCCGGGCATCGTGGCACACACCTGTAGTCCCAGCTACTCAGGAGGCTGAGGCAGGAAAATCGCTTGAACCCACGAGGTGGAGGTTGCAGTGAGCTAAGATCGTACCACTGCACTCCAGCCTGGGTGACAGCGTGAGATTCCGTCTCAAAAAAAAAAAAAAGAAAAGAAAAGAAAATCACAGGCATTCCTCAATCCTCTTTCCTACAAAGTACATAGATGGGTAAAGTTGAAGAAAGAATATTATGTGTGGCCTGCTGCCTGTGGCTCCAGCTGGTTAGAAATTGCACGAGAGAGCCCAGCACAGGCCTAGCATCTTTGCTTCCACCTTATTGCCATATGTTCTTTGCTTACAGAATTCTAAGAGTGCCCAGGGTCTGGCTGGTCTTCGAAACCTTGGGAACACGGTGAGTTTTTCCTGGCCTGCTTCTTCCCCAGGCCCACCCCCTACTATGCTGACTGGAGCCATATAACCAGAGTCCCCTTCTGGTTGTGGCTGACTCCCTACCCGTTCAGCCAGTTGGCACTTGCCCTTCCTGGCTGGTGTTTCACAGAATTGCTGGGCTGTGCTTTACCCACCCCCAGCAGGAAGCACTGCTAAAAGGAAGTTGCCCTTTTACCCATCAGCCTGCTCCTCTCCTGGATCATTCCCCTAAAGGATGCCCATCACTTCCCACACACTTCTGTCCATCACATCACGCCCTTTTGTGCACCTCTATAGTAAATAACCAATTAGGTCACCTATGCCTGGAGTGGGGGTTTGCCTCACTTCACCCCTTTCACTTATGAAAAGAGGAACTTGAGGCTATGAAAGGATAGCCTCCTATGAAAGGATTCTAGGTAGATGAACCAGAGAGCCTCTGGTAGTAAGTAACACAGGTGAAGGTGGGACTCTCGTCTCCCCACTGATTGCCTGGTCATCTCTTGCAGTGCTTCATGAACTCAATTCTGCAGTGCCTGAGCAACACTCGGGAGTTGAGAGATTACTGCCTCCAGAGGCTCTACATGCGGGACCTGCACCACGGCAGCAATGCACACACAGCCCTCGTGGAAGGTGAGAGGCCCTCTGTCATGTGCCCCTGCCTACCCCCGGATGCTCCTCCACTCCACTGGGGCTGTTCTAGGTGTTGTGTCTTAGACACTCCTATCCTGTCTGTCTTTCTCTGCTTGCTTTTTGTTGGGATTCTAGTTTCAGAGTTTCTTATAGAAAATATCTCAGCTGTCCTGTACACTCTCTCCTTCCAATAGAGTTTGCAAAACTAATTCAGACCATATGGACTTCATCCCCCAATGATGTGGTGAGCCCATCTGAGTTCAAGACCCAGATCCAGAGATACGCACCGCGCTTTGTTGGCTATAAGTAAGGGCCTTGCAGACATGTCCTCTCAGGTGGGTGGCAGTAGGAGCAGGTTCTTAGGACAAGAGGTGTTGCTCACCCTCCTTCCTTTGGGTTCAGTCAGCAGGATGCTCAGGAGTTCCTTCGCTTTCTTCTGGATGGGCTCCATAACGAGGTGAACCGAGTGACACTGAGACCTAAGTCCAACCCTGAGAACCTCGATCATCTTCCGTAAGTAAGAGGAGAATGCTGTGGGAAAGCAAAACTTTTGTGAACTCGAGATTTTTACCCACCACTTTGGGGTTAATGATTTGGGAATAATCTGATTTACTTTTGAAGATGAAGGATCAAAATTGACAGACCCTTAAACTTAAGTTTTGAGCTTTGACCCAATTGTTGTCTCTCTCTGGTTCCCAGTGATGACGAGAAAGGCCGACAGATGTGGAGAAAATATCTAGAACGGGAAGACAGTAGGATCGGGGGTAAGCGCATGAAAGGGAAGATGCCTGTTTTCACTGTTGCCTGCTCTTGCCTGAGTGGAGCATGAAAAGCCCTAAGAATCACTCTCCCGGGGAAGCCTGTTTCTGCCTAGTGTTCAACAAAGCAAAGCAGGAACAGCAAGAAAGAAGATGCTGTGCAGGCCGGGCATGGTGGCTCATGCCTGTAAACCCAACACTTTGGGAGGCCAAGGCGGGTAGATCACCTGAGGTCAGGAGTTCAAGACCAGCCTGGCCAACATGGCAAAACCCCATCTCTACTAAAAATGCAAAAATTAGCCAGGCATGGTGGTGGGCACCTGTAATCCCAGCTACTTGGGAGGCTGAGGCAGGAGAATCACTGAACCCAGGAGGCAGAGGTTGTTGTGAGCTGAGATTGCACCACTGCACTTCAGCCTGGGGGACAGAGCAAAACTCCATCTCAAAAAAAAAAATAAAAGCTGCTGTGCAGAAGACCATGCTCTACTTCCTGTATTTCAGCATCTCATGGCCTTCTCTTCCCCAGATCTCTTTGTTGGGCAGCTAAAGAGCTCGCTGACGTGTACAGATTGTGGTTACTGTTCTACGGTCTTCGACCCCTTCTGGGACCTCTCACTGCCCATTGCTAAGGTATGCACCCCAGTTGCCCGCCTTGTTGAACTCCCTCTCCTGTCCTTTCATGTTGACCTCTGACCTTTGCTTTTTTCCCCTTCCCAGCGAGGTTATCCTGAGGTGACATTAATGGACTGCATGAGGCTCTTCACCAAAGAGGATGTGCTTGATGGAGATGAAAAGCCAGTAAGTCACCCTTCGGTAATAGCAAGAACAAATTTCCGTGGGACCTACTGGGAAGAGGCTGATACCAGCAGATCCAGTTGAGGAGTGACTGGATTGGGGCCCACTGACTTCCCCACAAGTTCTTTCTGTTTGTCTTGTCTCTCAGACATGCTGTCGCTGCCGAGGCAGAAAACGGTGTATAAAGAAGTTCTCCATCCAGAGGTTCCCAAAGATCTTGGTGCTCCGTATCCTTAAGATCCATCAGGGCTGGGACATGACTTTCAAGGGTGACTGATGACAAGGGGCCCATAGGTGAGGGGAACAGTCGGAAGAAACGGACCTTGTAGGCTTTCCTTTTGTTGTCTGCCCTTCTGCATTGGTTTGACTATCCTTGACTCACGTCAATGCCAGATCTGAAGCGGTTCTCAGAATCCAGGATCCGAACCAGCAAGCTCACAACATTTGTGAACTTCCCCCTAAGAGACCTGGACTTAAGAGAATTTGCCTCAGAAAACACCAGTGAGTATCTTTGAGTAGGCAGGGCAGAATGAAGACGCAGGTGTGCAAGGCCGGAGGGAGGGCAGGAGGAAGGGGAGCTGCCAGCACCAGCTACTGAGAGACCCAGAAGGAGAGGTTGGAGGGGGGAAGTCGGGGCAGGGGGGCCTCGGGGGCTTGACGGCTGCCTCCTCCTCAGACCATGCTGTTTACAACCTGTACGCTGTGTCCAATCACTCCGGAACCACCATGGGTGGCCACTATACAGCCTACTGTCGCAGTCCAGGGACAGGAGAATGGCACACTTTCAACGACTCCAGGTGAGAGCCAGGGCAGGGCCGGAGCCCCTGGCTGTAGCCACCCACTCTCCCCCCACTCCTCCACCCTCCCCCCAAACCCACCCCCCTCCCACCCCCCGCACGGCTTACACCGAGAATGGATGGCAAAGTTTAAGGCCACGAAGCCGCTGCCCGTGGGGAGGCTCCCTGAAAGGCAGGCCGGCCGGCCTCGGGGGCACAGAAAGAAGCCGGCGGGGGGTCTCCCGGTCCTGCCCGCTCCGGGCTGACTCCCCGCTCTCTCCGCAGCGTCACTCCCATGTCCTCCAGCCAAGTGCGCACCAGCGACGCCTACCTGCTCTTCTACGAACTGGCCAGCCCGCCCTCCCGAATGTAGCGCCAGGAGCCACGTCCCTTCTCCCTTCCCCGTGGTGGCCCCGCTCCCTAAATTTTTTAAAAAGACAAAAACAAAACAACAACAACAACACACAAACCTGACAAGAGAAAAACAAACCTGAAGCTGCCGAGCAGGAGTGGATGCAGCCTGATCAGGGTCTGGAGCAAGGAGCCGGGCTTTCCTGAGCTGTGGCCCGGCAGGGAAGATCGCCTGGACGTGGAGCCAGCATCGCCCCGTGCCCTCGGCGTTTGCATTTGTAAACTTGTGGTCTTCCTATGTGTCAGAAACAACTGTGTCTTGGGGGGGAAGACCCTCGCTGCGCCGCTTCCCGCCGCAGCGCCCGCGCCTCCGAGGGGACAGCGCCCTCTGGAGCTCGCTGGGAGCATCACCGCCTGGACGCCCGCGCCGCGGAGGAGCCGGCGCCCATCTCCACCCGCACGGCTCGCCGGTCCAGAGCCATGAGCCAAGAGCCCTCTTCACGCTGCTAACTCCAGGGGACAGACGAAGGGACATCTTTGGAAAACGCTGGTTTTGGTTTTTAAAAAGCCCAACTTTTTTTTTTTAATTTCCATAACTAAAGTGTTCAGACTGGAGTGCTCTCCTTCAGGCCTCTTCATAGCTGGGACGTTGCACTGGTCCTTTTATTGCTTTTCCAAGTACAACTTTCTAATGCTAGCCCTCCGTGGTGCTAGGTGGGCGTTGGCCAGGCCCCAAGCACAGCCACAGTAGACCTGGGATCTAAAACAAGTTTCTGTTTTGGGGGTTTGGGTTTTTTTTTTTTTTTTTTAATGTTTTGAATGGAATTTAGTTGCCTCCAAGAATTGTGCCTTATAGCATTTGGGGACCAGGGGGTAACTGCCCCTCCTGAAATATCCCTCAGCCTCTTCCCTTTTCCCCAGTGCTCTGTTCAAACCCGCCTGGGAAAGGGATCCTGCCCTTAGCCCTGGCTCGTTGTGCATTGCAGTGAGGCAAAGAAGAAAGCAGGTAGATTCCTTCCGACAGGGCATCAAGTTCTTCCCGCCCACGTCCTCTAGCCCACCCCTGGTCTGCTCCCCAGCTGTTTGAAGGATAGCACAAGCCCCTCGTCCCTAGAGCTTCTCTCCCTTTTATTTATTCTCTTAACATCCCTTTCCCCCTGGCCTTCCTGCCCCCGCCCCCTTCTCAGAGCCTCCTAGACAATAGGCCCTTTGGACCGAGTTTCTCAGGGATGCCCAGGCCACCCCTCAGCTCTTCTTAGCGCTGGTCTCCAGTCCTGCCCTGGGAGCTGGAGCCTGGGTATTTGGGGACATCTTGCCTCAGTTGTATGGTTCTTTCCTGTGGGCTCAATTTTGCCCTACATAGTTGGATAAAACTCTGTGCTGTCCTGGAGAGTAAAGCTGTTCACCCACACAGCTGGGCCCGGCTTGTGCCCCGTGGAGCCTGGCACATTCCAGGCTCCTAGGAGGAGGCATCAGAGAAAGACACCCTGAGTTTTACTGGCCTGACACCCTTCTCCAGAGAAGACCTGTGAACCTGAGCCCAAGGGCAAGTGTACACTTGTTTACTGTGTAAGCAAGAGTAGAAGAATGTCTAATGTACAGTGGAACCTTGTACAGAATAAATAATAGCTTTGAGAAATCAGTTGGCAGATGTTGGAATCTTGATTTGGGAGTGTTTGAATCTAGGAAGGGCTCCTAGTATATTAGGGGCCATCTATTTCATTGTTTCAACCAGTTTGTAAATTCCAAGTTTCTGGAAAAAGTTACCCACTTTTTAGTTTGAACATTTAAGTTTAATTTTTTAAAAACTGAAACAATACATATTTTGGACACTATATTCTTCATCTGGATTCACCAATTGTTTACAAACACATTTAAATATACAGCCATCCCCCAGTATACACAGGGAGATTGGTTCCAAGATACACACATACCAAAATCTGCACCATATTCAAGTCCCAAGGTCACCCCTGCAGAACCTGCGTATATGAAAATCAGCCTTCTATATATGTGGGTTTTGCATCTTACAAATGCAGTATTTTCTATCCTTATTTGGTTGAAAAAATCCACGTGAAAGTGGACCCACACAGTTCAAGCCCGCATTGTTCAAAGGTCAACTGTACTTTATTCTGTCTGCCGAAACATTTTCAGGTGAGGTGTTATATCACCACTTCTAAATACTTGAGCATACATCTCCTAAGAATCAGGACATTCTCCTATGTGACATGGTTTTCACATGTCCATTTTTTTTTTTAATGAACTGTCTACTTTTTAATGCTGGTATGGGCTACTCTCTTAATTCTTGGTTGAAACTCTTGGGGCTGGGCATGGTGGCTCACACCAGTAATTCAAGAAGTTGAAGTGAGAGGATGGCTTAAGGCCAGGAGTTTGAGACCAGCCTGGGCAACATAGTGAGACCCTGTCTCTATGAAAAAAGAAACACTTGGGTGTTTTCACAGACCTATGATAAGATAAAATACATCTCTCCAGCAGATGTCAAATATAGCAAAACTTGCTCTTAGAGCAGAGTATCATTACCTGGATGTGGAGTGACCAGGGCTTAGTCTTTTTTTTTTTTTTTTTTTTTTTTTGAGACAGAGTTTCACTCTTGTTGCCCAGGCTGGAGCGCAATGGCATGATCTCAGCTCACTGCAACCTCCATCTCCTGGGTTCAAGCGATTCTCCTGCCTCAGCCTCCCAGTAGCTGGGATTACAGGCATACGCCACCACGACCAGCTATTTTTCTATTTTTAGTAGAGACGGGGGTGTCTCCATGTTGGTCAGGCTGGTCTCGAACTCCTGACCTCAGGTGATCTGCCTGACTCGGCCTCCCAAAGTGCTGAGATTACAGGCGTGAGCCACCACGCCCAGCCAGGGCTTAGTCTTTGATAAGTCAAAGATCTCAGCTTTACCACCTAATACTTAGAAACAGTTACCTTTATGTTACAGGCTTTGTTCCCTAAAGTGCTTTTTCTCAAGACTTCAGATTTAACCCCTAAAAGAGGTGATGCCTTTGGTGCACTCGGTGACCCACGTCTCCTTTGGTGTCACCTCTTCATTAGCACTGTTCAGCTTTTCCATTTCTGCTGCTGGTCTTAGAACTAGGGAAGCTGAAGGCTCCACCAGGTGAGCCTGGAGTGTTTCATCAGGATTCTTCCTCACTGCCTTCACTGCTCCAGACACTGAAAAATAAAGGCCTGACTATTCCATCCTTGCTGAGACAGAAGCACCTGCTGTCACTTAAGGCCTGTGTGCTGCTATCAAACCCACCTCATGGAGGGGGACAGTTGTGGGGGCATTTTTCTAAGCATTTCCCAAGAGTGAAGAAGAGGGATTGAAAATGACAGTGACTTAAAACTTGGAATTTCTCCCTGAGGGACCCAAACTTCCCTGGCCTGCCCTGAGGGTGGCCTGACCCAGGCTGTGATTGGAAATCTTACCCTGATGATTGCCCCCAAGCCGCAGGCAAACAGGATCCCCTCAAAATAAAAACATGAGGCTTGTAGCAAAGTGAATGGCTGTACTCTGACTAGTTCTTCACTGGAGGTAGAAGCAGCCCTGTAATTTTTGCTGTCTTCCACTGGGGAACAGATGGACTCTAGGAGACATTGAGGGCAGGGGCTCCACTCAGGTCCGCCACCCTTGCTCCCAGCTCTTCAGTAATTAATCTGTGGTGCTTTCTCATCCCCATGGCAACAGGTCCTAGTGTTACACAGAGCACAAACACACGCAGGTCTGTCCCCACGTTTTTTTGTCCATCAAGCTTTGCCTCCTAGCAACTTGGCTCTCTTCCCTCATTGTTTGCTCTTGATCCAGCAGGCCTCTCCCTAGGGGAGGGGCTTCCCCTGCAACTGCTCTTGTGTGACCTTGAACAAGAACCTCCCTCTTTCTGGGCCTCCGTGCCTCATCTGCAAATTACTGAGATAGGACTTGTGGATCTTGAAGGTCTCCACTCCCATGTTATCAATCATTCTAAGTCACTTTTCCTCTAAACACATGCTCAAGTCCCAAGATACGGAACTTAACTCTAGTTCCCTGGTTCCAGTTTATAGAATTTTTTTAAGTGACCAATGCTCAGAATGCTTACTTCTTTCTATAAAGCTATATTTTATATATTTTTTTATTTATTTATTTTTTGAGACAGAGTCTCACTGTGTCACCCAGGGTGAGAGTGCAGTCATGTGATCTCGGCTCACTGCAACCTCCACCTCCCGGGTTCAAGCGATTCTCCTGCCTCAGCCTCCCGAGTAGCTGGGATTACAGGCATGCACCACCATGCCTGACTAATTTTGTATTTTTAGTAGAGACAGGGTTTCACCATGTTGGCCAGGCTGGTCTCGAACTCCTGACCTCAGGTGATCCACCCGCCTTGACCTCCCAAACTGCTGGGATTACAGGCGTAAGCCACCATGCCCGGCCTCTACAAAGCTTTAGAGTTAGATCATAGAGGTCACCTTGTCCATGATCTCGATTTGGCAGTGAGGATACTGAGCCCTAGAGAAGACTTGCTCAAGGCCACATAGCATGTCAGAAGCAGAGACAGGATGGAACCTGGGTATCTTGACTCCCTACCCAGTTCTCTTTCCGAGTACTCTGTCTTTAGTTTGAATAATTGACAGCATTTTGCAGGACTTTCTGCAGCAAATTTTCCAACCCTGCATCTATTAGGAACTGAGCCAAACAGCAGTGTGACATTCACACATACCCAACAGCAAAACCACCATGATCTGCCTCCTACCTGGACCCTAGTAGGTCTGTCTGAGCTGGACACCTCTGAGGGTCCCCATCCTTCATTGCTCTACGAGCAGAAACAAGCACCTGTGCAGGATGCAGGAGGCAGCAGAAAGAGACTAACATTCACAGCCCAAGCAAGTTACTTAATCTCTCTGAGCCTCAATTTCCTCATCTGTAATCTGAGCATAACATTACCTATTCAGAGTTGTGAGTGCCAGTTAAGAAAAACAGTGTCTGGCCAGGCACAGTGGCTCATGCCTGTAATTCCAACACTTTGGGAGGCCAAGATGGGCAGATAACTTTAGCCCAGGAGTTTGAAACCAGCCTGGGTAACATGGTAAAACTCTGTCTCTACAAAAAGTACAAAAATTAGCCAGACATAGCACCATGCACCTGTAGTCCCAGCCACTTGGGAGGCTGAGGTGGGAGGATCAATTGACCAGGAGGTTGAGGCTGCAGTGAACCGTGGTCACACCAGTGCACTCTAGCCTAAGCAACAGAACAAGAACCTGTCACACACACACATGCACACACACAAAAAAAAAAAAAAAAACGAAGGAAGAGGGGAGAGAGAGAGGAAAGGAAAGGGAGAAAGGAAAGAGGAGAGGAGAGGGGAGGGGAGGGGAGGACAGAGGAGGGGAGGGGATGGGATGGGTGGGTGTCTGGCACATAGTAGGTACTCAACAACTCAACAAACTTCCATTTCCCCCGCTCAACTCCCATTTCCAGGACTATACCATCAAAGCTCCACTGAGATTCTCATGGTGGGTGATCCTCAGCAAATTTTTTTTTAAACCAACACTGTCCCTATTTAGCAAATATTTAATTCCTCTCATCTCTCTGGATGCTTCTATCTTCTCTTCCTTAACAATACACTTGATGTATGTAAGTATAGCATTGCCCAAACTAAACAGAGTGCCCGTTAAATAGGGATTCCAAAATCAAGGAATTGGCTTTTCCAATTTTCTGATATTTGGGGGCATCTGCCTCTTGGAGGTAGTAATGGGATTGAGCTGCTATCTCTCATGCTTCTAAAGACTAGGGAAGCCTATGGCCGAGGCAGGAGAATTGCTTGAGCCCAGGAGTTCGAGACCTGGCAACATAGGGGGATCCCTTCTCTACAAAATTAGTCAAGCATGGTGGTGCACACATGTAGTCTCAGGTACTTGGGAGGCTTAGGTAGGAGGATTGCTTGAGCCTGGGAGGTGGAGGCTGCAGTGAGTTGTGATCACACTCCAGCCTGGGTGACAGAGCAAGACCCTGTCTCAAAAAAACAAAAACAAAAACAAAAAAAAGTGGAAACCAGGACTCCAACAGCCCCAGCTCTGCAACCCAGCCCTGCCCCTGGGCAACTGTACAACTTTGGGCAAAGGCACTTAACTTCCAGGAGCCTTGGTGGCATCCAGAAAATGAGAAGAAAACACCTACCTCCCTCCTCTTGCCACCGGGGCTGGAATAAGGATGACGTGAGGCAATGAGCTGAGGGGTCTGCAGTGGATTTCACTCTCAGTGTGTTTTAGGTGTGCCACTCCCCAACCCTGAGCTGGCCCCTGGCTCCCCTCCTTTCCTCCAGAAACCCCTTCATAACGCAGACAGTTGCAGGAGTGCCTGTGCCCACAGAGGCACTCTGCGGCCTCTACTACATCCTGGGTGTAGTCGAGGATGGCCGTGGGTAACAGCAAAGCAGAGAGAAGCTTCCTGGTCTTCCAGGCCTCCCCTTGGCCTCCCTTCTGTTGTCTCCCCACTCACAGGAATAGTTCTGAGACCCAGTTGTGACCAAGCTCCTCAGGCCACAGTGCTAAGCCTCTCCTCCTTCCTGGAATTCCCTAACCAACCCCCAAGTTCTGCCTATTCAAATCCTTTTCAACCCTCAAACTTTAGACTAAAGGCTCATCTCTTCCAGGAAGTCCTCCTGCTGGCCCCATCAGAGGAAGTCATTGTTTCTTCGGATTACCCAGCATTTAATCTCCAGACTTACGGCCCAGTAAACTGTCTTCATCTCTGTCCAGTGAACCACACTTCTCAAAAGACTCCCTCACATTCTTTTTTTCTTTTTTTTTTTTTTTTTTGAGACAGAATCTTGCTGTGTTGCCCAGCCTAGAGTGCAGCAGCGCAATCTCGGCTCACTGCAACCTCTGCCTCCCGGGTTCAAGCAATTCTCCTGTCTCAGCCTCCCAAGTAGCCAGGACTACAGGCGTTCACCACGATGCCCGGCTAATTTTTGTATTTTTAGTAGAGATGGGGTTTCGTCATGTTGGCCAGGCTGGTCTTGAACTTCTGACCTCAGGTGATCCACCCACCTCAGCCTCCCAAAGTGCTGGGATTACAGGCGTGAGCCACCGCACCCAGCTGACCCCCTTACATTCTTTTTTCTTTTTTTTTTTTTGAGACGGAGTCTTGCTCTGTCACCCAGGCTGGAGTGCAGTGACACGATCTCAGCTCACTGCAAGCTCCACCTCCCAGGTTCATGCCATTCTCCTGCCTCAGCCTCCCAAGTAGCTGAGACTACAGGCGCCCACCACCACGCCTGGCTAACTTTTTTGTATTTTTAGTAGAGATGGGGTTTCACTGTGTTAGCCAGGATGGTCTCGATCTCCTGACCTTGTGATCCACCTGCCTCGGCCTCCCAAAGTGCTGGGATTACAGGCATGAGCCACCACACCCGACCTCCCTTACATTCTTAAAAATTATGGAGAACCCCAAAGACCTTTGCTTTATGTGGGTTCTATCTATTAATATTTACCAAATTAATATTAAAGCCGAGAGAAATTTAAGTATTTTCTTACTAATTTTTAAACAATAAATTTTAATATAATGAACCCTTTACAAGCTAAAGTAAGACGGAGTCTCGCTCTGTCGCCCAGGCTGGAGTGCAGTGGCGCAACCTCGGCTCACTGCAAGCTCCGCCTCCCGAGTTCACGCCATTCTCGGGCCTTAGCCTCCCAAGGAGCTAGGACTACAGGCGCCCACCACCACGCCCGGCTAATTTGTTTTGTACTTTTAGTAGAGACAGTTTTCACCGTGTTAGCCAGGATGGTCTCGATCTCCTGACCTCATGATCCGCCCACCTCGGCCTCCCAAAGTGCTGGGATTACAGGCGTGAGCCACCATGCCTGGCCAATAATGTTTTTAAACCATATAATCCCATCACTTTGGGAGGCTGCGGTAGGAGGATTACTTGAGTCCAGGAGTTTGAGACCAGCCTGGCCAACATAGTGAGACCCCATCTCTACTAAAACTGTAAATTAAAAAAAATTAAAAAAAAATTTTAAAAAACCTCCTATATTTTCTGAAACAAAAAAAAATTTAGTAAGAATGGGCCGGGCGCAGTGGCTCACTCCTGTAATCCCAGCACTTTGGGAGGCTGAGGCAGGTGGATCACCTGAGGTCAGGAGTTCAAGACCAGCCTGACCAACATGGAGAAACCCTATCTCTACTAAAAATACAAAATTAGCTGGGCATGGTGGCACACGCCTGTAATCCCAGCTATTCAGGAGGCTGAGGTGTGAGAATCCCTTGAACTCGGGAGGTGGAGGTTGTGGTGAGCTGAGATCTCGCCATTGCACTCCAGCCTGGGCAACAAGAGCGAAACTCCGTCTCAAAAAAAAAAAATTAGTAAGAATGGCAGTGTGGCTTTATATTTGTGCAAATCTCTTTAGCATCTGGCTTAATAGAAGGCAGCTGGACTCGCGTCTCCTTCAGCATTCACCCCAATGTCATATCACATGTCACGGAGCGTCTGGAAAACATGAATGAGTGTGAAAAAGGCACATCATGTCTTAGTGTTATTATGAGCCTAGTTCTAAGCTCTCAAGTCCTCTAAAAAAAGGCCCCGGGCCCCACTTTGAGAACTGTCACAGCAGAGCAGGGGCTCCTTGAGACGAGGGCACCTTGTCTCAGTCGGCTCCATGAGCCCAGTGCCTGGCCAGACCCCGGCACAGCAACCTCTCTCTCAATGATCACAGCGAACGAGCAGCTTCAGAGGAGCAGACCCAAGGGCGTGGCTCTCCCAGCTCATCATTCTCAAAGCTCAGCGCAGGGCCACTCTGTCCAGGAAGCTGCCCCTGTGGCCAGGCTCTTAACACACAGTGTGGCAGGAATCCTGCTCTGTCTTGATCCACCCAGAATGAGAAGTACTTTGTGGTCAGGGACTGTCTGATCCTCTCCAAGAGCACCTGTCCCTACAGCTCCCAAAAAGTCTCTTCCCTAAAGACCATGTACCATTAGACTTCCAAGGGTCTAGGAAACAGCTTGACCCCCTAGACAAAAGCAAACTAAGACCCTCCAGGGACGAATGGAGAAAAACTTGTGGGTGGAGGCATCTCCTTTCCTGAGTGCAAGGAGGGCAGCCTGTCCTCTTTGCTTCCATCCCCAAGGGGTTCCTCACTCTGCCCCCATGTCACTCTGATCCCTCTGCTCCCCCAGCATGCCTCAGCCCCAATGTGGGGTGAAAGAGGTACATCATAGAAAACGTGAGCCTAAGATCTATCCATTCCTAGGCTCAACTCTCATCTCTGTATCTTACCAGCTGTGTGACCTTGGGAAAGTGACATAACCTCTCAGAGGCCAGCACCAGCATTTGTAAAATGGTGACGCTACCTCATAGTTATGAAAGGAGAGAAACTGCATGTAGCCCTCTTGCCCAGACATTCTACAAATAGTAGCCAGAAATATGAGGCTCTCTCCCCACTTCCCTCCCTGCCAAACTCTCAGCCTAAGCATGGCTAACACAAAACAGATTACCAATCCCTTTCCTTTCTCCCTGAGGACAGCAGGGCTAGGCTGGGATTTTCCAAGAGGACTTCGCCCATGGAGAAACAGGCATGAAGTAATCTTGTTTGCAGGGTGTAGGTTTCCTACTGTGCAACAGCCCCAGTGGCTAGACTCCACACCCCAACCCTCCCCAAGACCTGGGCACCTTCTCCCCCTTCCCTGTCCTTTCTCCTGCGGGCTTAGGGGTCCCAGGAATGAGCAGCCAGTCCCCCTGCTCATGCCATGTTCTTCTCTCTTGTCCTGGTCACACCGGTGATCTACCAGGGGCCTTCCAAAGACCCGGCCTGGCCAATACCCCTGTCACCCTGGTGGGGAGGAAAGGTGGGCAGCTGGCTTTGTCCACCCCCTACACCCTGCTTCTTTCTCAGACCACCTAAGGCTCCCTTCTGCCTGCAACTTCTCTCCCCTCCCAGCGACCCCCTAAGTGCTCACTCAGTGCCTTGGGTGATGGGGTGGAGAGCTCCCCTCGTCACATCCCCGCACAGAGCACCTAGTTTCCTCTGCTGGGTGTTCTCAGCCACCGCCTGTGCCTTTAAGAACTGCCACCCTGTGCCAGGGGCTTGACCTCAGCATCCTCAGCTGAGTTGGATTAAGGGACCATTTCGTGCCTTTGTGAATTCCTCCTGGCTGCCATCCCTTCCCCCACACAGAGACAGAGTAGCCCATAGGCCAAACCACTCTACCAAGGACAGCCCAAGAACTGGTCTAGCCTGGCAGCCTTTTCCCTCGGGTAGTAGAGGCTGCCCCTCTGACAGGGAGTTTGTGGTCAGCGAGTGGGCCCTTGGGGGTCTTGGGCTGTCACAGGGACTCCAGAAAGCCATGCAGAGCCTTGTGCCATGAAGGACTTCTCAGATGTCATCCTCTGCATGGAGGCAACAGAATCGAGCAAGGTAAGGACCACATAGAATCGTGCTCCTAAGACCCAGCACCAGTGGTCACTGCTGCCCTCAGCCCTCAAGTATCTCCCCCTTCCAGACCGAGTTCTGCAATCCTGCCTTCGAGCCTGAGTCTGGGCCACCCTGCCCTCCCCCAGTTTTCCCAGAGGATGCCAGCTACAGCGTCCCAGCTCCCTGGCATGGTAACCATCCCAGGGGGTGACCTGGGGGAGGACAGAGAGGCCCAGGAGCCAAGGACAGCATGAGGAATACCCAACAGAAGGGGCTTTCAAAACCCCACCTGCCAACCCGCAGGTCGGCGTCCTCGAGGGCTACGGCCAGACTGCCGCTTCTCCTGGCTCTGTGTCCTCCTGCTCTCCAGCCTGCTCCTCCTGCTGCTTGGGCTGCTGGTGGCCATCATCCTGGCCCGTAAGTACCCGGGGACAGCTTGAAACGAGGGCTTTGGAATGAAACTCCATGAGCCGCTCTCCCAGCCTCCCAGGACCCAGCTCCTCTGAACGCCACCCTCCATCTTCTCGCCTCCAGAGCTGCAGGCTGCACCCCCATCTGGGGCGTCCCATAGCCCACTGCCTGCCGGAGGCCTTACCACGACCACCACCACCCCCACCATCACCACCTCTCAGGCAGCTGGGACCCCTAAAGGGCAGCAGGAGTCAGGCGTGAGCCCCTCCCCACAGTCCAGTGAGTACTGGGGGCAGATCTTCCGGGAGAAGGGCCCAAGATGACGGGGTGGGGTTGAGGGGAGGGTGAGGAAGAGGCACCTTGAGAATAAAGGACCTCACTCCTTTTGACCTCTGAACTCTAACCTCCATCTCTGCAGCCTGTGGAGGCCTCCTCTCTGGCCCAAGGGGCTTCTTCAGCAGCCCTAACTACCCAGACCCTTACCCCCCCAACACCCACTGCGTGTGGCATATCCAGGTGGCCACAGACCATGCAATACAGCTCAAGATCGAAGCCCTCAGCATAGAGAGTGTGGCCTCTTGCCTTTTTGATCGCTTGGAACTCTCCCCTGAGCCTGAAGGCCCCCTCCTCAGGTAGGTCCCTCTGTCCCCAGGACATCCCACCGTGTCCTGAACCACTATCTAAAGAGCAGAATCAGGGAGTGGCAGGGAGAAGGGCTAACCGAGGAAGAAATTGAGAGACTAGACCTCTGGGCCCAGCTCTGCCACCACCTTGCTGTGTGCCGTGAGGAAGATCACTTCCCCTCTCTCACCTGTTTCCTAGTCTGTAACATGGATCTCCTGCCTATCTCCCCATGAGTAGATGCTACAAGGATAAATGTGCAGGTGCTAGGAAGGTCAGAGCTCCCTGGGACATCAGAGGAGCCTTTTTGACCACATGGTCACCAGTTTGGGGGTTGAGAAAATAGGACTGCAAGGCCCAGGCAAGCTCCTCTCTGGCTGACCCTGCTCTTGGAGCCTCCCTCACCCCCAACCTGGCTTCTTGCAGGGTTTGTGGAAGGGTGCCTCCCCCCACGCTCAACACCAATGCCAGCCACCTCCTGGTGGTCTTCGTCTCTGACAGCAGTGTGGAAGGATTTGGTTTCCATGCCTGGTACCAGGCTATGGCCCCTGGGCGCGGTGAGTGTGTTCCCACCTGCCTGTTGAGTGTCCACTTTCTTCCCCTCCACCCACTCCCAGTCCTGTCAAAGGGGTGGAGACTCCGGGCCTCCCTGACTCCTGGTGCCCACATCCAGGGAGCTGTGCCCATGATGAGTTCCGCTGTGACCAGCTCATCTGCCTGCTACCTGACTCAGTGTGTGATGGTTTTGCCAACTGTGCTGACGGCAGTGATGAGACCAATTGCAGTGCCAAGTTCTCGGGTACGGGCCAGGCATGGGGGTCCTCTCTTCAGGCGTCTGATCTGGGTTCAAGCTGGGCTCCCCAGCTCTGGTCCAGCCTCAAACCGGGCCCTCCGTCAGCATTTCCTGCTCAGTCATTCTTTGGCCCAGAACTTGTTTCCCATGGGCATGGCCAAAACTCTCGCTCTGTAATCACCGCCAGCCCTATTGGATGGAGGCACAGATCCTAGCAAACTCATGAGCCCTTCCACCTCTCTACAGGGTGTGGGGGGAATCTGACTGGCCTCCAGGGCACTTTCTCTACTCCCAGCTACCTGCAGCAGTACCCTCACCAACTGGTAAGCACAGTGCTCCATGCAGAACGGGAGGGGCACACACGGAAGCACCTGATCCCCAAGTTAGTGTAATGGGAATGGCATGGTAGACACTACCTTCTACTTGGGAAGGTCAGAGATCAAGCAGACGGGGGATGGGGGAATATTATTAAGTGCCTGCTGTGTACCCAGATGTTCCCACACTGGGTCAACTCACCTCTGAAACCAGGTAAATTAAAGGTCCTTAAGAACCACCAATGATGAAAGCACCACCCCATCCCCCCAGCCAGCAGTGGGGGAAGAAGACCCTTCTGGGTGCCCGGGATGAGACAGGAGAAGGGGCCATGAATTGCTCCACCTATGCCCTCCCCCAGCTCTGCACCTGGCATATCTCGGTGCCTGCCGGACACAGCATAGAACTACAGTTCCACAACTTCAGCCTGGAGGCTCAGGACGAGTGCAAGTTTGACTACGTGGAGGTGTATGAGACCAGCAGCTCAGGGGCCTTCAGCCTCCTGGGCAGGTACAGGAGCCAGGGAAGAGCCATGGATAACTCCATCCTCACTGTCTGCCACCCCCGGCTTCCATGTCGGCCCAGCACATTCCATTCTCCAGCTTCATTTTCTTCTGCTACTCCAGGCCGGGGGTCTCTTCACCATCACCCTAAAGACAGCTCTCACCTCAAAACCTTCACCCCACACTCTCCCTGTCCCCAGGAGGTCCTTCCCCAAACCTCTCCCTGCCCCAGTTCCTCCCCACCGGCAGGGGCCACTTCCACCTCCCCTACAAACCCTCATTGATTTTTCTTTTTCTTCTTTTTTTGAGGCAGAGTGTCACTTTGTTGCCCAGGCGGGAGTGCAGTAGCACCATCATGGCTCACTGCTGCCTCAACCTCCCAGCTTCAAGTGCTCCTTCCACCTCAGCCTCCTAAGTAGCTGGGATCACAGGCACATGCCACCACGCCCAGATAATTTACTTTTTTAATTTTTTTGTAAAGACAAGGTCTCACTATATCGCCCAGGCTGGTTTCAAACTCCTGGGCTCAAGTGATCCTCCCTACTCAGCCTCCCAAAATGCTGGGATTACAGGTGTGAGCCACAATGCCAGGCTGCTTCGCTGATTTTTCCCCATCTAGAAGTGGCTCGAGTTCAGACAGTTTGTTTAATGCTTTCCCTGTTGAATATATGTGTCTTTCTCGCCAGACCCTAACCCTGTGTCTTCCATCACCTTTGGCATCATCCAGGGCTCCCAGCTCAGAGCCAGGCCTGTGGGAGGCTGCAGTGCCCCCTCAGTCAGCCAGGGCTGGTGCCCAGAACAGCTGTCTGCTTTGGGCAGGTTCTGTGGAGCAGAGCCACCCCCCCACCTCGTCTCCTCGCACCATGAGCTGGCTGTGCTGTTTAGGACAGATCATGGCATCAGCAGTGGAGGCTTCTCAGCCACCTACCTGGCCTTCAATGCCACGGAGAGTAGGTGCCCCTGGGCAAGTGGGTGGGGGCAGTAGAGGCACCTCCAGGGGGACAGACAAGGGCTCTGGACCCTGGTCAGGACACTCTGGGGGTACTGGGGGTGTAGGTATGTCCCCGGGCACTGCCATGCCCCTTGTGCCTGCAGACCCCTGTGGGCCCAGTGAGCTCTCCTGCCAGGCAGGAGGGTGTAAGGGTGTGCAGTGGATGTGTGACATGTGGAGAGACTGCACCGATGGCAGCGATGACAACTGCAGCGGCCCCTTGTTCCCACCCCCAGGTGAGAAGCCTGCCCCTGGGGACCCTGAGCAGGCTGGGTGCCCACCTCACAGAACCCTACTGCCGTACTGCACAGTGTCCCATCCCAACCTCCCTGAGGGGGCGGGGCCAGCTGGCCTCACCATCCTGACTCTGGGACCACTTCACAGAGTCCTGGAAGACAGTCGGCTGGTGGTGGCAATAGTACTGAGTGTCACCCCAAGGGAAATGGGAATCTGGGAATCATTGGTGGGGCTTCAAGAACCAGTCCCTTCTGTCACCCAGAGCCCCTTTCCACAGCCCACACCAAAGATGAAGGCATCCTCTTACACAGAGCAGGGGGTTTCTTCCAGATGCCCAAGCAGTCCCTGCAAACGCGGGTGCCCCATGTTCCCTGAGATTAAAGACGTGCCTGCATGATGCCCAGGGCTGGCAAGCGATGCTGGAGCAGGCTCTCAGGGATGGCAGGGATCCTCAGAGTGTGTACAGCCTGTCTCTTTGTTATCCTCTTGCTTCCTCACAACCACCCCCATTGGACCCATGTACACACAGGACCGAGCGATTCGGTGACTTGCCACAGGCCACAGAGCCAGTGAGCAGTCCCCACAGTGGCCCTCCCCTCCACCCCTGCAGAGCTGGCCTGTGAGCCTGTCCAGGTGGAGATGTGCCTCGGTCTGAGCTACAACACCACAGCCTTCCCTAACATCTGGGTGGGCATGATCACCCAGGAGGAGGTGGTAGAGGTCCTCAGCGGTTACAAGGTCTTCTGGGTGGAGGGAAGGAGGGCGGGCCTGGGAGGGGAGGAGCCTGGGAGCAGGTGCCTGAAGGCCACTCTCCCTCCGCAGAGCCTGACAAGCCTGCCCTGCTACCAGCATTTCCGGAGGCTCCTGTGTGGGCTGCTTGTGCCCCGTTGCACCCCACTAGGCAGTGTTCTGCCCCCTTGCCGCTCTGTCTGCCAGGAAGCGGAGCACCAGTGCCAGTCTGGCCTGGCACTACTGGGCACCCCCTGGCCCTTCAACTGCAACAGGCTGCCAGAGGCAGCTGACCTGGAAGCTTGTGCCCAGCCCTGACCCTGAAGCCGGCCCCTGCCCTCTTCCTGCCCGTCCTCTTTTGCCGGTCAGGGCTGGCACGCAGGGGAACAAAGGAAGGAGCATCAGCAGGGTCTCTACCCATCCTTCTCTGGGGCTCCCAGGGAGGGGGAAGAGAAGTCCTCAGCTGGGGCTCATGGGACCCTACCACCCTCCCTGCTCCTTCCTGTCCCTTTACCGGTCCCAGGCTGCTGACTGGCCCCACACTGTGCCACCGGACAATCGAGACCACTTCCCATCCAGGCCTCTTCCCCTTTCCATCTGCTTTTTCAGCTTCTCCATCGCCTGCCTTCTGACCTTTTCCTTGATTCAACAAAAATGTACTGAGCATCTATTCATGTGGCAGGCCCCTGTCCTAGGCCCTAGGGATCCAACTGGCTGTCTGCCTCTAGAACTCTCCACCCTCATCTCTCTGCGTATTTCTCCCTGAAATGGGGTCTGGTCCTTGGTCTCTGCCACTGCCCTGCCTCTCCTCTGGCCCTGGGAACAGGAGGTGCCCTGTGTGTCCGTCTCTCGAAGTTCTGCCTCTCTGTGCCCAGCTCAAGTCTCTCTCCCCCTCCTTTCTCCCCCTAAACTTTGGCCGGCCGCCGGGCGACACCACGAGTTATTTCCCAGCTATTTCCCGGTCCGGGAGCTCTTGGCCCCTGAACAACTGGTTTCCTCTTGGAGTCTGGGAGGAGGAAAGCGGAGCCGGCAGGGAGCGAACCAGGACTGGGGTGACGGCAGGGCAGGGGGCGCCTGGCCGGGGAGAAGCGCGGGGGCTGGAGCACCACCAACTGGAGGGTCCGGAGTAGCGAGCGCCCCGAAGGAGGCCATCGGGGAGCCGGGAGGGGGGGTGAGTCTGGCGGAGGAGGGGAAAGGGGCTGGGGAGGGGACTGTGGGAAAGGCTGGCGCGGGCCGGCGGTGGGAGGGAGGGCTGGCCGCTCCCACCCTCTCGCGCCTGCCTGTGCTCTCCGGATGCTCGGCCCTGCGAGCGCTCAGCCTCAGGGGCACGGCAGTGGGGTGGGGACCGACTGGGCCGCGCCGGGGTGGGGAGAGAGGCAGGTCCCAGGATTCTGGGTCCCGACTCCAGTCCTGCCTGGTCCACAGACTGCGAGAGGACCCCGGCGTCCGGGCTCCCGGTGCCAGCGCTATGAGGCCACTCCTCGTCCTGCTGCTCCTGGGCCTGGCGGCCGGCTCGCCCCCACTGGACGACAACAAGATCCCCAGCCTCTGCCCGGGGCACCCCGGCCTTCCAGGCACGCCGGGCCACCATGGCAGCCAGGGCTTGCCGGGCCGCGATGGCCGCGACGGCCGCGACGGCGCGCCCGGGGCTCCGGGAGAGAAAGGCGAGGGCGGGAGGCCGGGTAAGAAGGCACCGCCGCGGCTATCGGTGGCGATGTCCGAGCAGGCGCGGCCGCAGCTCCAGCTCCCGGTGTCCGGGACTCGGGTCTCCCGCCAGGGGGCGCCACTCCCCGCGCTTTGCAGCCCTGAGCGGGGGAGGGGCCCAGGCGGCGGGAGCCCCCTTGGCCAGCCCCCCAGATCTGCCCTGCGGGAAGGGGTGGAGGAGGTACCCGTGCGGGAGGAGGCGCTGGCCGAAGCTCAGGCAGGGGCGGGGAGGGGTACGGTGACCTTAGAGTCGCCGCCCCGCTGCGGGCTGAGCCGCCGCTACTCTCACCCTGCCGCCCCGCTTACCCCGCAGGACTGCCGGGACCTCGAGGGGACCCCGGGCCGCGAGGAGAGGCGGGACCCGCGGGGCCCACCGGGCCTGCCGGGGAGTGCTCGGTGCCTCCGCGATCCGCCTTCAGCGCCAAGCGCTCCGAGAGCCGGGTGCCTCCGCCGTCTGACGCACCCTTGCCCTTCGACCGCGTGCTGGTGAACGAGCAGGGACATTACGACGCCGTCACCGGCAAGTTCACCTGCCAGGTGCCTGGGGTCTACTACTTCGCCGTCCATGCCACCGTCTACCGGGCCAGCCTGCAGTTTGATCTGGTGAAGAATGGCGAATCCATTGCCTCTTTCTTCCAGTTTTTCGGGGGGTGGCCCAAGCCAGCCTCGCTCTCGGGGGGGGCCATGGTGAGGCTGGAGCCTGAGGACCAAGTGTGGGTGCAGGTGGGTGTGGGTGACTACATTGGCATCTATGCCAGCATCAAGACAGACAGCACCTTCTCCGGATTTCTGGTGTACTCCGACTGGCACAGCTCCCCAGTCTTTGCTTAGTGCCCACTGCAAAGTGAGCTCATGCTCTCACTCCTAGAAGGAGGGTGTGAGGCTGACAACCAGGTCATCCAGGAGGGCTGGCCCCCCTGGAATATTGTGAATGACTAGGGAGGTGGGGTAGAGCACTCTCCGTCCTGCTGCTGGCAAGGAATGGGAACAGTGGCTGTCTGCGATCAGGTCTGGCAGCATGGGGCAGTGGCTGGATTTCTGCCCAAGACCAGAGGAGTGTGCTGTGCTGGCAAGTGTAAGTCCCCCAGTTGCTCTGGTCCAGGAGCCCACGGTGGGGTGCTCTCTTCCTGGTCCTCTGCTTCTCTGGATCCTCCCCACCCCCTCCTGCTCCTGGGGCCGGCCCTTTTCTCAGAGATCACTCAATAAACCTAAGAACCCTCCTACCGGCTCCAGCCTTTCTTCTTTAGTGGTGGGGGCTCCCTGTTTCTGGGATCATGGTGTGGAGGGGGTGTTCAGGCAGAAGGGAGGGTTCTTGGATGAAATAGAGATATGCGGCAGATATACAAGAAGCCGGCCCAGGGGAATGAGAGGCTGCTCCACAGAGCCGCCACCTAGGTTGTGAATGGGAGTGTCTGACAGCGGGATGCCCTCCTGGTGTGGGGCTCCATCCATCCTTGAGAAAGGGAGCACCTTTTTCTAATTCAAAGATGCCAACTGAACCACGTAGGGGCTGCCTGCGCCACACATACCTCTGCCCTCATCCAACAAAAAAGAGCCGAGGACTTTCGTCCATGGCTGCTCCGGCTGCTTGCCTGCCCCCGATGAGCAGAAAGCTATTGCTCTGTAACCCGAGTGAGTGGCGTCCTCGGGCGTCTAAAGATAAGCAGTTTCTGAGATGACCACAAGGGGGTGCCCTGGCCCCAGAATGCCGCAGGGATCCTGGGTAGCTTGAGCTCCTGACTATGGGGGGGTGAGGGAGAGGAGGGGTATTGAGGTCGGCCAAAGGAATTCCAGATGCGGATGGAAGAAAAGGGGGGGTCCTTTACTCCCAACTCAGGAAGTTTATCTTCTATCATAAAATGTTTATCTCCACATTAAACAGAGACTGGAAGGAGCCAGGCCTCCCCTTGCTCAGCTCCCTGTCCCGGATTGAGGGAAGGAAAGAGCAAGTGCCAAGCCCTCCCAGTTCTGAGGTGGAGATGAGGAGCCCTCCCCCACTGTGCTGGGCATAGCCTGGGTGGGCCGAGCCACTGTGTCTGAGGCTAGCCACAAAGCCCCTCAAGGCTCCGCCCACCCCTGGAGCCCACCCCCAACCCAATGACTAACAAACCAGGACTGCCCAGCCCCATCTGCACAGCCTCAACCCAAGGAAGGGGGGGGGCCTCTCCTCAGAGTTTCTTTCTGAGCTACCGGCACCCCCTTCCTGAAGGCAGTCCCAGGCACTGTGGTCCCAGACAGAACATACAATTATGGGGGAGTGCCCCTGCTCTTCTGCTGGTCATGTGAGGGCAGATACGGCCAATGGGGACTCAGCCCCAAATGTGAGCCAGAGACAGGCCTTAGGCAGCCTCCACCAGGAGATCCCGCAGCCGCACTCCAGCCCAGCCCTGCACCAGACCCCCATGCCAAGACACACAGAGACACACACCAGCTCCTCCTGGGATCCGAGGGCAGACTGGACTCCAGGCAGGAGGAACCCCATGCTCCCTCCCAGGAAGACTGGCCCGGAGGAGGAGCTGGGAAGGTTGACTCAAGGGGTGAGATGGTTCACATTCCTCTCTACAAGGGCTTAATTTGGGAAAAAACAGAAAAAATAGAAGGCTTTTCGAAAGCCATGTGTTGCGAGAGGGGACAAATCAGAAGGGATGAGAGCTCACAGAGCCATGCCTGGCATGCACTCTCCCCATGACATAGTCTTCCCAGCCTATCTTAGCTCCTTCCCTGTCCCCCCTCTAAAGCCCAGGTACCCCCACAGCCCACACTTCTGACTCTGGCGGGGCTGAAGGACCCTGATGCAAGGTCTGTTGCCTTGACCAACTGCTCCCTTGCAGGGATGCACACAGAGACTGTCAGAGCTGTCAAGAGAACTTTATTCATTGGAAACTGGGCCAGAGACCCCTCACGAAGCTGCAAGCCCCTGGGCCCTGGGCCCTTCTGTATTTGGACCCTAGTGAAATGTGCACAGTCTGCCCTCTCCATGCCAGGGAGAGACAGAGAGGAATGCCATTTTTCTGTGTGATGTGGGAGTGACAGGGGAAAGAGCAGAAATCCGGTTATCCCTCCTGAGACTCCCAGTGAGCTGGGGTGCCACAGGGCACGTGGCCCCAAAGTCAGGTGCAGATGCATCCCCCATCCCAGGGGTAAACTCCTGAGACTGGCTTTTGGATCAGGTTGGGAGGGAGCCTCATCAGACGATCACAGGCAGAGGTGGCTCTGAGGGCACCCGAGAGATACTAACCCCAACGCCTACCAGGGCACAGGGGCTCTGGCTGAACACAAAGGTTTAAGATCATCCGAAGGCCCCTGAGTTGCCAAAACACCCAAATGACACTGATGTGTTGTGGCCGCAAAAGCTGGGGAGGAAATGTGAAGGAGGCAGGAAAAGGACCTATAGATCTCCAACAGAAAAACCAGAAGCAGACAGGGGTAACCCCAGAGGCATCTGGGTGGGCCCTGGGCAGGCTGGAGGAGAGCCCACAGCAAATAGTCTCAGGGCCCTTGCATAGTGACATACTCACCACCCTCAGCATCGAAGGGACCCACTGGGTAAAGAGAAGCCATGTTATCCTGCCCCCACCCAGATCATAGTCTTCCAACTCAATGTCCTGGATGTATGGCAGGATGGCCACAGGGGTAGGAGGGGATTCAGACCAGGACCCGGAGATGAGGTGTTAATGCTGTCCTAGCGTGAGTGCCTGCGTGGAGCATGGAGGGGTGGGCAGGCAGGGAAGGAGGCTTCAGAGGTAGACATTGAGGGTCTGCAGGATGCCCCGGCGGCAGAGCGGGCAATTGCGGTGGTAGACGGGGTGGCGCATCAGGATTTCAGTGCAGGCCTGGCACAGGCACAGATGCCGGCAGGGCAGGAGCAACACTGTCTTGCTCTGGTCCTGGCAGATGACACACTTCTTCCGCTCCTCTTGCTCCTTCAGCAATTTCCAAGGGTCTTGCCCACCTGGAGGCTCCTCCTCATTGAGCCTCTCTCGGCCCCTGACAGGTGTCACTCTGATGGTCCTGGCCTCCTCCTCTTCTGCCTCTGATCTGCGCCCCGCTTCAGGAAGAGTGTCCTGTCTCCGGGTCCTAACTGAGAATACCCTCATAGGGTCACCCTGGGGAGCTCCAGGTGCCCCTCCCCGGTTTGGCCAACTCGCCAGCTGCAGACTGCGGCTCCAGACTCGGCGCCAGGCCTCTGAGCCCAGTGCTAGGCGAGAGAGCCGCATGACATCCTCTCGAAGACGGTGGTAGGATGGCCGGGCATGGAGCTGGCTGAGTGCCTGGGTAGCCAGCCTCAGGGTGAAGTCCGGATGCAACACAGTCACCGTCACTGCCAGCACACAAGCTAGCAACACCAAGCCAGTGAGATTGACAAGCACAAAGCTGGCCAGGAGGCGGGCAGCTGAGGCCAGCAGCTCCAGGGCTAGTTGGCAGGGTGTCCAAAGGAGGATGGCCATGGCCACAGCACTGCTGGAAATGTGGGCTAGGAAGGCAGCCACTACGTCCGTCATCCTCCACAGAGGCCCGGTCACTGCATCCCACAGGGCCAGCACCAGGGAAAAGAGGTTCTGAGTGCCGATGAGGCAGATGTTGACCAGGCTGTTGATCACATAAGCCACCAGGCTCATGGCAATGGCACAGATGTCACAGGCCTGGCGCAGCAAAGCATGGCCACTGGAGACCACATTGAGGACGCCCCGGTGCAGTATCTCCCTGCTCCGCAGTGCCCCATGAGAGGCCAGGTGCCCCAGGAGCTTTAGGCTCTCTAGGCCAGAGCAGCAGCTATACAGCAGAGTACACAAGGCCTGCAAGCCCCCACATGTGAACCGGACCACGGCTTCGATCAAGGCCAGCAATGAAAGCAAGACTCCGCGGCCCAAGTGCAGAAGACTAGTCAGTACCGTGTGCGGCAGGTTGTAGACGAAGGCCAGGAGCCAGGCCAGGGAAGCCAGGAGGGAGGACACCAGCAGGAAGTTGAGGTCCAACACCAAGGTCAGCACGTCCAGCACCAGGCCCAACCCATTCACTACCAGGTACACTGCCTCCATGATAGGGCTATGGAAGTTAGTCCAAAACAAAGTCTGGCTCCTCGGTTGGGGGGTTGTCAAGGTTGTCAATATTTTAGGGGGTCTGGGATTAATTTGGAAGGAAAATGAGCAGTCTCCAACCCAGGGGGTACCAAGAATCTGAGGAAGAAGTGGGTAAGACGGAAGTGGAGTCTTGGTAGAGGGAAAGGTGGCCAGGTGCCAGTCCAAGAGTCCAGGTTTTGAAGATGGGCTGTTTGGGAGGGAAGAGGCCAAACATCTCTAAAGCGAAGGCGAGCCCAGGCCGTAGGAGCGACCTCAGCTTTGGATGCCTGGTGTGGCGAACCACGGCCGGGCAACGGGTCAGACCGGGAGGAGACGAGGAACGGATGGAATGGGATCGGATCGGATCGGGTCGCGTCGGGTCGGGCCGGGGCCGGGTGGGGTCGATGTAAGCTGGGCGCAGGCTCTCAGTCCAGCTACGCAGGTGCCCCTGTCCCCGCCCGGCCCCCGTCTTCCCGCTAGCGGCGCTTTGCACCCAAAAGGGGAGTGGGAGAGGCAGCCAGCTTCAGCAAACCCCAAGCGCAGCCCCTACTCCGCTGGGCGCCGCCATCTTGTGTGCAAAGGGGTGGAGCCAGAGGCGTGACGAGGAGGGAGGGACGACAAACTCCAGCCAATCGGTGAAGGCCAACCACAAAAACGTCGATCACTCATTGGTCCGTTTGAATGGCGCCCGAACGTATTTACTTTCCAAAGGGAAGGAGAGGCGACAGATTAAATCCCCTCCCCCTTTAGGCGGGGATTGGTTCGTTGGCGGGCAGCGTCGAAATACGCTCTCCTAGCCCCACCCTCTAAAAGAGCAGGGTCTTGGACTCCCCTCAATTTGGGAGCTGTTCTTTCTCCCGGCCTCTGAACGCGAGGTTTTTTTTTTGGCTTGGGTCGGAGGTCACTGCCTCTGGGCTGGGCTTTGGAATAGCACCGCCTTCGCAGCCTGCCCAGATCCGTCTCCTCATTCTCTTCTATTTATTCATCTATTCTATCATTTATTGAACTCCTACAGTGCATTGAGGATACAAAAAAATTTTAAGACAGTGCCTGCTGTTCACAAGGGAAAGCAGATTATTACAGGGGATTCCCAAACTGCTATTCCAAACTTTCCTCACCAGGTTTTTCAACATCTCGGAAGATTACTTCATTGTCATTGAGAAAAAGGGGCTACAGATTTAGAAACCGCTCAGCTTCCTACCCTGGGCCTTCCTACCCTAGAGTGCAGTGGCGCGATCTCGGCTCACTGCAACCTCTGCCTCCCGGGTTCAAGCGATTCTCCTGCCTCAGCCTCCCGGGTAGTACAGGTGCCCACCACCTCACCCGGCTAATTTTTGTATTTTTAGTAGAGACGAGGTTTCACCATGTTGGCCAGGCTGGCCTCGAACTCCTGAACCTCGTGATCCACCCGCCTCGGCCTCCCAAAGTGCTGAGATTACAGGCGTGAGCCACCAAGCCCGGCCCTGCCCTTTTCTTTAATACTCAAACAATAGTCAAAATATATTTGAAACCCCATCCCAAATATATTGGGAATCCTGGCGTTTTCTACTAACTCCAAGGATGCTTAGCAGACTCCTAGTGGACTTATCTTTCCCCTGGTCACCTTTGCTGAATTTCCTACTTGAGTTGAATTCTCCATCTCCACTCCTGGGCTCCTGAAAGTGTCCGTCCTCCTTCAGTCTGCCCTGAACACTGCCTCAGAGTCCTTCATTCTCCAAAGCATCACTGATAAGAAGCTGAGGTGTGCAGCAAACCTTTACTGAGGCCTTGGGATCGTGGTAGGGGTACGCTATAGTGCAGAGGAAGGACTGCAGTCGCTGAAACTCCTCTGGCTTCTTCCTACCCTTTCTCTCTCCCTGCTCTCAGGCCCTGGCCAGGTTATGGTTTGTTGTGTTGTGATGTGTTGCTGATGTTTTTATTTTCCTACTCGCATCCTCCCGCCAGTGTCAAATCTTGGAGAATGTGCCCACCTCCCTTTCAAGACAGTTGATCCCATCGCCCGTACCATCTCCTCTTAAGGGATCTTATTTGTCCAGTGAACACTATGTTGTTATTAATCAATCTTCCTCCAGCACTTGACACCACTTCCTCCACCCTTGGCCTCAGAATCATTACCCTTTCCTATATTCTTTCTGTTTCCATCATAGCCTCCTCTCCTGTATACACGATGATTTCTGAATTTGTGTCTTCAGCCTGAACCTGTCCTGCAAACTTCAGGCTCCAGCTGCTTCCTGGACATGAACGGTTCATGGGTATCCCACTGGTGCTTCCTACACAATATGTCCAAAGTCAAACTTGGCAAACGTGCTGTGCCTGCACTGCGTGCAATTAACTGGCCAGTTTTCCACACCAAGAAGCATGTAAAGTCCTTCTCAGAGTTGGCAGGATCCTCTAAGAGAGAATTTCCATTCGTTTAGGACCAAGACCTCCCCTTTGAGTGATTTGAGACTCACTAATCCAAAGCCCTCTTTAATGAGCCACAACCCTTGACTCCCAGGAAACCTAGCAGGTAATCCTGCTTTGGGCAGGGACAAAGACTCCAACTGGCTTTGGGGAGGCAGTTCAAATTGTTTGACAATGTTAGTCCCAGGGATTGAGAAGAAAATAAGCCAGATATTGAGAAAGCTGAACACCTAGAAGCCCTATCCTTGCAGTATTTTCTAATGGAAGATGTAGTGTAAAGCCCTCTGGAGGCCTGCTCTGGTGGCAGCTGGTTTCTGCTGTTGTGCTAACTTCAGGGGTTTTTTTGTTTAGTTTTGTTTTGCTCAGCGTAAGATTCTAGCTGGGACAATAGAAGGGATTTTTAGAGACTATGAAGGACTGAGGATTAAGAGATTGGAAAAACCAGAAAAGAATGTCTAATTCAGGGGTTTTGTTTTGTGCTATTGTGTATATTACGGCCCTCCCCATCGTCTCCTCATCAAGCATTCAGTAAAATCTATATTATTGCCATGTTTTAGGTTGGTTTTTTTTATTTTGTTTTTTAATTATGCAAATCATTTACAGGGTCCCAAAGTCAAAACTTTATAAAAAGATACAGTCACAGAAGGTTTGCTTTCATCCTTGTACCCTCCACCCTGTTCCCTCCCAGTGCCACCCAAGCTTGAGAGGACCCCAAGTATTACAAACATAGACAACAAATGTCTCCATAAAGGAGCACCTGGGTCCTCTATCAGTCAGGATCCAGTGCTCGTTACTGGTACGGAAAAGCCTATAGCCCCAAACGTCAGCTCTGCAAACAACACGGTTCAGGCCCGAAGAAGCTCTTCAGCTCTTCTGCACTTGTTTGAGACAGTCTCGCTCTGTCACCCAGGCGGGAGTGCAGTGGCACGAGCTCAGCTTACTGCAACCTCCACCTCCCAGGCTCAAGTGCTTCTTGTGCCTCAGTCTCCCCCAGTAGCTGGGACTACAGGCGTGCACCACCACACCCAGCTAACTTTTGTATTTTTAGTAGAGACGGGGTTTCACCATGTTGGCCAGGCTGGTCTTGAACTCCTGGCCTCAAGTGATCTGCCTGCCTCGGCCTCCCAAAGTGTTGGGATTACAGGCGTGAGCCACCGTGCTGACTCTGTCCTACACATCTTACAAAAAAAAAAGAAAGAAAGAAAAAGAAGAAAAGAAAAGGAAAGAAAGAAGAAAAGAAATTAACGTGGTTTGTGCAATGTGGCTGAGGAACATTTTTCAATATTAATTCCTATTTATCTTTAAATTTGCATATATGTAAATATAGAGAAAACACGCATGTGTATTTAACTAGCTATATTCTAGTTTTGACTTAAGGAAAAACTAGTTTTCCCTAGTTTTGCACTAAGGAAAAAACCTACTTGCAATTTTAGTCTTTGATTTAAAAGACTGTCAAGGGCAAGTCGATGATAACAGTAATGACATGGTTAGTAAAGATAATAAAGATGAACAAGCCAGGATTTTGGCCAAAAATCTAGAAGCATTTTTTTGGTGACATGTCCCCTGTATGGCACATAGTTGAACTTGTTATTAGAAGACACAGCCTAATTGTGCTGATAATAATGGCATTTTTGGAAAAATAAAAAGATTATATGCAATATTCTGGATGTGCCCAAAGATGAAATATCTTGGAAAAAACTGTATCACAACTGACCTTACAACTGCTCTTGGATACATGATGGGAATGCTGGCTAAATGCTGTTAAAACAAGTCGGTTTAATTTAGACAAGAAACTAGAAGGGCTGGGCACCATGGCTCACACCTGAAATTCCAGCACTTGGGGAGGCCAAGGTGGGCGGATCGCTTGAGCCCAGGAGTGCAATACCAACCTAGGCAACATGGCGAAACCCTGTCTCTACTAAAAATACAAAATATTAGCTGGGCATGGTGGCATGTGCCTATAGTCTCAGCTACTCGAGAAGCTGAGGTGGGAGAATCACCTGAATTTGGGAAGTCGAGGCTGCAGTGAGCTGTGATTGCACCACTTTACTCCAGCCTGGGCAACAGGGTTGAGATTCTGGAAAGAAAGAGAGAAAAAGAGAAAGAGAGAGAGAGAGAGGAAGGAAGGAGAGAAAGAAAAGGGAGAGAGAGAGAAAAAAAAAGAAAGAAGGAAGGAAGGAGAGAAAGAAAGAAAGGCAAAGAAAGAAAGAAGAAAGAAGGAAGGAAGAGACAAAGAAAGAGAGAGAGGAGGGGGAAGAAGGGAAAGAAGGAAGAAAGGAAGGAAAGGGAGGGAAGGAAGGAAGGAAGGGGAAACTAGAAGACTGAGCAGCGTTAAGAAGATTCACAAAGAGCAAATTATGGTCTCAAATGGAAAATCAAATTACCCTTGCATGTGCACTACCCACAGATATTTGAGATGGTTGTTTAATATGAATAATATTGATAAAAGTGTAACCAAAATACTGCTCATTTGGATATTTTTTTAAACAAGTGATGAGCCACTATTGATACTTTATTATGAACTGAAGTCCACAGTTTACATTAGGGTTCACTCTTGGTGTTGTACATTCTATGGGTTTTGACAAATGTTTAATGACATTTATCCATCATACAGTGTTATAGAGAATAGTTTCATTGCCCTAAAAATTCTCCGTGCTGTGCCTATTCATCCCTCCTTCCCCCCAGACTCCTGGCAACCACTGATCTTTTTACTGTTTCCATAGTTTTACCTGTTGTAGAACGTCATATAGTTGAAATCGTACAGTATGTAGCCTTTTCAGATTGGCTTCTTTCTCTTAGCAATATGGATTTAAGTTTCCTCCATATCTTTTCATAGCCCATTTCTTTTTAGCACTAAACAATATTCCATTGTTTGGATGTACTAGCTAATTTATCCATTCATCAATTGAATGACATCTTGGTTGCTTCCAGGTTTGGGAATGATGAATAAGGTCTGCTATAAACATTCATGTGCATTCAGGTGGACATAAGTCTTCAACTCATTTGGGTAAATACCAAGGAACACAATTGCTGGATCATAAATATAGCATGAGTATTTTTAGTTTTGCAAGAAATCACCAAACTGTCTTCTAAAGTGGCTGTACCGTCTTGCATTCCCACCAGCAATGAGTGATAATTCCTGCTGCTGCACATCTTCCTCAGCATTTTGCAGTGTCAGTTTTGGATTTGGGCCATTCTAATGAGTATGTAATGGTATCTCGCTGCTGTTTTAGTTTACATTTCCCTGACAGTATATAGTGTGGAGCATCATTTCATATGCTTATTTTCTATCTGTATATCTTCTTTAACAAGGTGTCAAGGTTTGGGACCCACTTTTAGATTGGGTTGTTTTCTTATTTTTAAGTTTTAAGAGTTTCTTTTATGCCAGACCTACAGTCCCAGCTACTCAGAAGGCTAAGGCAGGAGGACCACTTCAGCCCAGGAGTTCTGGGCTGTAGTGCACTATACCAATAGGGGTCTGCACTAAGTTCGGCATCAATGTGGTAACCTCCCAGGAATGGGTGACCACCAGGTTGCCTAAGGAAGGGTGAATCAGCCCAGGTCAGAAATAGAGCAGATCGGCCGGGCATGGTGGCTCATGCCTGTAATCCCAGCACTTTTGGAGGCCGAGGTGGGCAGATCACGAGGTCAAGAGATAGAGACCATCCTGGCCAACATGGTGAAACTCCATCTCTAAAAAAAATACAAAAACTAGCTGGGCATGGTGGCACACGCTTGTAGTCCCAGCTACTTGGGAGGCTGAGGCAGGAGAATCGCTTGAACCTGGGAGGCAGAGGTTGCAGTGAACCGAGATCGTACCACTGCACTCCAGCCTGGTGACAGGGTGAGACTCTGCCTCAAAAAAAAAAAAAAAAAAAAAAGTAAAAAGAAAAGAAAAAAGAAATAGAGCAGATCAAAAATCCTGTGGCGATCAGTAGTGGGCTCATACCTGCGAATAGCCATTGCACTCCAGCCTGGGCAACACAGTGAGAATCTGTATTAAAAAGAAACAAAAAAAAAGAGTCCTTTGTATATTTTGGATAACAGTCCTTTATCAGATGTGTCTATTCAAATATTTTCTCCCAGTGTGTAGCTTGTCTTCTTATTCTCTTGATAGCTGCTTAATTTTGAAAAAATAAAAACACAGGAAGGTTAAACCAGAAATAACATTAATTACTTCAAGGGGTGGCGGGTGGAGAAATGGAATGGAAGGGATGGGGAGGAAGTGACACTCCTTTGAGTATACCGTTTTTGTATAATGTTGACTTTTTTTTTTTTTTTTTTTTTGAGACAGAGTCTCACTCTGTCACCCAGGCTGGAGTGCAGTGGCATGATCTTGGCCCACTGCAACCTCTGCCACCCGGGTTCAACTGATTCTCCTGCCTCAGCCTCCCGAGTAGCTGGGATTACAGGCGCCTGCCACTGCACCTGGCTAATTTTTGTAGTTTATAGTAGAGACGGGGTTTCACCATCTTGGCCAGGCTGGTCTTGAATTCCTTGACCTTGTGATCCACCCGCCTCGGCCTCCCAAAGTGCTGGGATTACAGGCATGAACCACCACACCTGACCTAATTTTGACTTTTGGAAGAATGCTAATGTTCTTTATATTCAAAAATTAAATTAAATTAAATCAATAGAAATGAGAAAGAAAAAACCAAAATGCAAATAGAAAAAAAAACCCAGCTGCGTTTCATATAGAATAATATAGTCACACAAAAAGGGAAGGGGTACAAGCTAACTGTAGACCCCCGTGGCTCACGCTTGTAATCCCAGAACTTTGGGAGGCCGAGGTGGGTGCAGTACTTGAGGCCAGGAGTTCAAGACCAGACTGGGCAACATGGTGTCGCTACTAAATAAATACATACATACATACATAAAACACATGTGCATGTTTGTTATAAATGTTATAATAATAAATAAATAAATTAGCCAAGTGTGATGATGCATGCCTGTAAGTCCCAGCTACTTGGGAGGCTGAGGTGGGAGGAACACTTTGAGCCTGGAAGTTCAAGGCTGCAGTGAGCTAAGACTGCACTACTACACTCCAGCGTGGGTGACAGAGCGAGACTCTGTTTCAAAAAAGAATAATAAGAAAAAAAAATATTTTAAATATTTTCTGGGATCAAATATTTATCATATGTAACCCCTTTAAAATATTTGAACATGACATATAAAATGTATGATCCCTTTCTGAGTCTAAGTCTTGCTTAAGCATATTAGTAATAATTTCATTTGCTAAGGCCTCAGCAGAGCAGTTTCTCCATATTAAAATTAATTTGTTGGCCGGGCGTGGTGGCTCATGCCTGTAATCCCAGAGCTTTGGGAGGCCGAGGCGGGTGGATCACCTGAGGTCAGGATTTCAAGACCAGCCTGGCCAACATGGGGAAACCCAGTCTCCACAAAAATACAAAAATTAGCCGGGCATGATGGTGGGTACCTGTAATCCCAGCTACTCAGGAGGCTGAGGTGGGAGAATCGCTTGAACCCAAGAGGCAGAGGTTGCAGTGAGCCGAGATAGCGCCCATTGCCCTCTATCCTGGGTGACAGAGCGAGACTCCGTCCCCCCCTCAAAAAAAATTAATTTTTTAAGGCCAGGCCAGGCACAGTGGCTCACGCTTGTAATCCCAGCATTTTGGGAGGCAGAGGTGGGCAAATCCCTTGAGCCCAGGAGTTCAAGACCAGCCTGGGCCACATGGCAAAATGCCATCACTACCAAAAAAACGAAAACAAAAATTAGTCGAGCCTGGTGACACTTGTCTGTGATCCCAGCTACTTGGGAGGCTGAGGTGGGAGGCTCACTTGAGCCCATGTTGCAGAGGTTGCACTGCAGTGCAGATGTTGCAGTGAGCTGAGATGGCACCACTGCACTCCAGCCTGGATGACAGAGTAAGACCCTGTCTCAAAAAAAAAAAAAAAATGGCCGGGGCGCGGTGGCTCACGCCTGTAATCCCAGCAGTTTAGGAGGCCAAGGCAGGTGTATCACTTGAGGTCAGGAGCTGGAGACAAGCCCGGCCAACATGGTGAAACCTCGTCTCTACTAAAAATACAAAAAATTAGCTGGGCATGATGGCGCATGCCTGTAAACCCAGCTACTTGGGAGGCTGAAGCAGGAGAATCACTTGAACCTGGGAGGCAGAGGGTGCAGTTTGCTGAGGTTGCACCACTGCAGTCCAGCCTGGGCAACAGAGCGAGACTGTCTCAAAAAAAAAAATTATTTTTTTGAAGACGTCGGAACAACTATGACTCAAGAAAGGCCAATTAATTTGGCATTACTGGCAATAGAACATGAATTATGAGAAATGTTTTATTATAACAACATAATTAAGGAATTTCCTGAAGTGAAGGCAAGGAAAATTAATTTATGGAATAAATATATAATCATGAATTGTGTATGACTTTATTACACATGTAAATATTGCTAGTCTATCATAAGCATACCCAGGCAATAATATATGTAATAATATATGCAATAATAGCTAAGTTAACTTATCTTTGATATTTTGTTGACTTTGGAGCATCCAAAAACCATAGCGTTACTTTTTTGTTTTGTTTTGTTTTTTTGAGACAAAGTATCTCTCTGTCGCCCAGGCTGGAGTGCAATGACATAATCTCAGCTCACTGCAACCCCTGCCTCCCGGTTTCAAGTGATTCTCCTGCCTCAGCCTCCTGAGTAGCTGGGATTACAGGCAGGCGCCACCACGCCTGGCTAATTTTTGTACTTTTAGTAGAGACAGGGTTTCACCATGTTGGTCAGGCTGGTCTCGAACTCCTGATGTCAAGTGATCTGCCTGCCTCGGCCTCCCAAAGTGCTGGGATTACAGGCGTGAACCACCGCACCCAGCCAGCTTTACACATTTTTAAATTTTGTCATTAGAAGGCATATTTGTCAAGGTAGGAGGATAGAGCATACCGAGCAGCTAGTTAGCTTTCAAATATTTCAAATATTTAGACATATGATATGTCAGCCTTCATTTATACCCTGCCTTATCTCCACAGATGTTATGAGGGTGGAGGGCTGTTCCTTCTATCCCTCTTTAGGTAGCTATTTTTATGTTTTTTATTTATATATTTATTTTGAGACAGGTCTTGCTCTGTCATCCAAGCTAGAGTACAGTGGCACCATCTTGTCTCACTGCAGCCTTGACTTCTCAGGCTCCAGCGATCCTCCGACCTTGGCCTCCTGAATAGCTGGGATTACAGGCGTGCGCCACCACACCCAGCTAATTTTTGGATTGTTTTGTTTTGTTTTTGGTAGAGGTGGGGTTTCGTCATGTTGCCCAGGCTGGTCTCAAACTCCTGGGCTCAAGCCATCCACCTGTCTTGGCCTCCCACAGTGCTGGGATTACAGGTATGAGCCATCTTGCCCAGCCATATACCTATCTTTTTAATTTAAAATCATGTTTGGTAAAGACTGTAAAGCATAGCCTTCCCTTCTCATCTATTTGTTTATGGATATCTTTTTATTATCAGTTTGGAGTCATGGATTCCTATTTTATTCAAATTCAATGGGTTTTATTCCATTACAGTCCACACCAGTGTATAGAGATTGTCCTCACTGTTTTTTGTTTTGTTTTTTTTTCTGTTTCTGTTTTTTTGAGACACAGTCTTGCTCTGTTGCCCAGGCTAGAGTGCAGTGGCACAATCTTGGCTCACTGCAACCTCCGCCTCCCAGGTTCAAGCAATTCTTGTGCCTCAGCCTCCTGAGTAGCTGGGACCACAGGCGCGCACCATCATGCCTGGCTAATTTTTGTATTTTTAGTAGAGAGAGGGTTTCACCATGTTGGCCAGGCTAGTCTTGATCTCCTGACCTCAAGTGATGGGCCCGCCTCGGCCTCCCAAAGTGTTGAGTGTGAGCCACTGCACCCGGCCTGTCCTCATTCTTTTAACAGTTGCGTAGTACTCCACTGCATGGATTTGGTGCAAGGATTGTTTTTAGTGGACTCAGTGAAGTGCTGTATCCCACCTCCAAGAGGTTGCCAAGGGGATCTCAGTCACATATGGATGACATAAGGGAAGAGCCCCCATCCCCACACGTATCTCTCATTCTACTGTGAGACTATTATGATAAAATGAACTGGCTTGTGGGAGGTAAAATAAGGCCACACTTTGTGTGCAGGAGGCAGGCTCCCCAGAAGGGATTGGCTGTTTTCAACCTCATCACCCAAGGGAAAAGAGGGATCTGAGAAGGGAAATGGAAACTTAGTAAGAGGGGCCTTTTGTTCTGTCCCTCTGGGGCCTGAGCTCTAATTTAAAGTCACTCATGGTTGCTCCCCTGCTTAACACCATTTATACACAGCCTGTTGCTCTGAGTAATTGACCATGGCTTACAAATCCTTTGTAATCTGGCCTCATCCTTCACTAACCTCAGCCTTCCCTTGCAGAATATTAACCAACTCCTAGCAGCCCCCTGCACATAGCGAGCTCCGCCACACTTCAGACAGCACAGCCCACCCCCATTTACCTGGCTACCTCCTATTCACCGCCTAAAATGAAGCTCGGCATCAGCTCTTCCAAGAAGCCTTCTTTCATCACCTCAGGCTGGGTTAAGTAACCGTTTTATGTGCATATTTGCACCCTGGTACGCAGCTCTTTGTGTTATAATTATTTATTTGTCTGTCGCCCTCACGAGACTGTACGTTTCTCAAGCACATGACCCCTTGTTTTAGTTATCGTCCTGTCTCCAGCCCCCAGCTTAGTTCCTCACTAGTGTGCTGTATCCCAAATCACAATACACATATGCACCGAGTTATGACACAGAGAAGGGAATTACAATGCCCCTCTTGACCTCAAACCCTCTCTGCCCACATATCATCCCTAGCTTTGTTGCAAGGCTGTCATTACCCAGGATGAAGTGAAACAGAACCCAAGAGTCTGGCTTCTGCGATTCATCAATCCCGCTTTTCAGTCCCCCATCCTCCCACCTGCTCTGTAGGATGAGAAAACAATTCAAACTAGGGGCACCAGGGGGCGCTCTCAGGCCAAGATGAAATCAAGAAACCATGGTAAACCTAAATTCCAATGTCACATCGTTTTTCCACTGCTCAAGAACCTGCAGTGGCTCCCCATTGCCCACCCTATCTTAAGCTGTTCCCCTATAACCTAAGCCCATCTCATCTGCCCAAGCTCCCACGTGCATGCACCCTCTACCGTGCTGAATTTCTACTTAGCCATGTAACTCACAAGGGTGATGCCAAGGGGTAATGGTGTAGCTAAAGCTAGCCCCCTCTCCACTTAGGTAGGTCTGGCTGCGTCAGCCACCCACATCCCTCTGGTGGCTGGGGAGCCCGGGGTTGGATGAAAATCATCCCGGGCTTTGCCAGTGGCCGCGAGTGCCCAGAGCTTCCAGGGGCCTCAGCTCACCATGCACTGCCCCGTGTGTGGCAGTGAAACCCAGGCCCTGACAGGCGCCGTGTAAAAATAAATACATAAATAAAGCTATCCTCAATGCGCTCCAAGTAAACGGATACTGGAAATGAAAGTAGTGGACTAGGCCGGGCAAGGTGGCTCACGCCTGTAATCCCAGCAGTTTGGGAGGCTGAGGCGGGCGGATCACTTGAGGCCAGAAGTTCAAGGCCAGCCTGGCCAACATGGTGAAACCCTATCTCTACTAAAAATACAAAAATTAACCAAGCGTGGTGGTGCGCCTGTAATCCCAGCTACTCGGGAGGCTGAGGCAGAAGAATCGCTGGAACCCAGGAGGCAGGGGTTATAGTGAGCCGAGGTCGAGCCACTGCACTTAAGCCTGGGCAAATGAGCAAGACCCTGTCTCAAAAAAAAAAAAAAAAGTGGGATTGCTATGTGAATATAATCTCAAGACAAGTCACCACCAACTCCATCTTCTAGCCGGATGGCTGCTCTGACACTTTCTGATAGGGAAATTCTGTAGTTGTCCATATACGTGCCCCTTTCGTGGGTCCCATCTCTCTCTTTTTGCTTGTGTCATTTCCCCTGCCTCGAAAGATCATTCCTCACTCCTCCGTATCTAAACCTGACCTTTCATTGAAGGCTTCACATTTCCAGAAAGACTTTCCTAGCCAGCACAGTCCACATCAACACTCCCTTTTCTGAATCCCAGTTGCACTTCCTGTCTTTACCACACAACTGAGCTCTTAATTCAGCTGTGATTATTACACATAGACTGCGCAGGTTTTGGAGTTCGTTAGGTAAAACTTGGTTCAAATTTTGGTTCCTTGGAGTGATGACAAAATTCTGGAACTTGATTATGGTGATAATTGCACAACATTGTGAATGTGCTGAATGCCACGGAACGCTGACGTTTAAACTGGTTAGTATTCTGTTATGTGCATTTCACAATTATTTATTTGTTTATTTTTGGAGATGAGGGTCTCCATATGTTGCGCAGGCTGGCCTTGAACTACTGGGCTCAAGCAATCCTCCTACCTCAGCCTCTCGAGTAGCTGGGACCACAGGTGCACACCACCGTGCCAGCTGTTAACACAGTTGTTTTTTGTTTGTTTGTTTTTTAAGACGGAGTCTCACTCTGTCGCCCAGGCTGGAGTGCAGTGGCGTGATCTCGGGTCACTCCAACCGCCACCTCCTGGGTTCAAGCAATTCTCCTGCCTCAGCCTCCCGAGTAGCTGGGACTACAGGCGCGCGCGACCACGCCCAGCTAATTTTTGTATTTTTAGTAGAGATGGGGTTTCACCATGTTGGCCAGGATGGTCTCGATTTCTTGACCTCGTGATCCGCCCGCCTCGGCCTCCCAGAGTGCTGGGATTACAGGCATAAACCACCGCGCCCAGCCTCTTTCCTCCCCTCTCTACTCCCGGCTCCAAGATCAGCCCTGGCAGCAGCAGTGAGGGTCCCAGGCATCGCCGGGATGGGATGGAACAAGGCTCCCCTTCTCCAGGGCTACCCCTGGGATGCTGGCAGCCCCGTGTGGCAGGGAAGAGGAACTGCAGGAGCGTCCTTCAGGGAGGAGAGGGGCCAGAAGACCTCAACATGGCGCCCCCAGGTTTCCCACAGGCCCCCTCCTGTAGACCAGCCGGCCTTCCCCTCAGTGACGACTCAAAGTCAGATTTGAAGAGCTCTCTGGGGACATTCCTCTCCCTGGATGGTGGTATTCTGGGGAGCGGATGTGAACTTCCCTGAAGGGGAGAGGTGTAAACTCCCAGCATCCTGCTACCACCCTCCGCCCCCATCACCCTTCATTCCCCAGGTGCAGGCTGGGGGCAGAGGAGAGGGAAGGGGATTAGGTGCTGGGGCCGGGGAACCGAGACCCAGGGTGTCACCGCTGACAGCAGCGGGGCCCGCAGAGCTGCAGGGAGACAGAGCCGCCTCCCCGCGGCGCCGACGCTGCCATCTAGCTAGAGGGCCCCACTCTTTCTTTAACCAGAGGTCACAGCCTCATTGCCTACCCAGGAGGCAGCCCCGAGACGCCCCCTGCGGCCTGGGTTTTCTCCACCCTGTCCCCGCGCCCACCCCAGCTCTGCCATCCCCGGCTGCACCGCTTTGTAAAGGGGACGGCTGGTCAGACCGAATCACTGCGCGGGCTCGCGCTGGGTCGGGCCTGGAGACTGGATCTGGGGCTTCCGGAGAGCCCCAGGCTCCCCGCGCGCCCATCCACCCGCAGCCGCCTGAGCATTTATGGTAATGTTTGGGTTGGGGCGAGCGGCCGGATCCCCGCCCCCTGCCTCCGCCGGGCGGGACCTCGAGGCCGGCTCCTGGGGAGCTTAGCGCCGGCGCCTTCCCGCCGCGGCCGGGTCCCCTGGGTGGAGGCCCTGGGTGCCGGAGGCCTGAGGTCCGGCAGGTGGGCTGGCCCCCGTGCGGAGGCTCCTAAGACCGGGGGGTACGAGAGGGACAGTCCCAGTCGGTCGGAGGAGGGGTCCGCGGGGTTGGGGACTCCGATCCCGCTCAACCTACCCTAACCACCCACTGCTGCCCACCCAACCCCCGCCTCTGGCTTAAGAGTCCATCATCCCCAGGAGGAGTCCCGATGCATCCACATCCTCTTTCTCCTTCTCTCCCCCCACCCCCTGGCAGGGAAGGGGCTGAGGGAAGAGGCCAGCAGCTCTCAGGGGAGTCGTCGGAATGCTGGGAGCCTGGGAACAGACCCTGCGGTCCCTGGGAAAGCCAGGCTGTGGGAATCCCACCGTCAGCCCCCTCCCCAGGATGGGCCACCGGATGTCAGAGACCCCAGTTCCCCAACGGGGATCTTTGTGAGGGTGGGCCCTGCCCCCCAGTTCAAGCCCCAGCCTGGCTCGACCCCAGAGTTCAGTAGGCCATCTGTGACGAAGACAGCCCCTCCCCCGCTCTCCGCCCTCCACCCCCCTGCCTGCTCCAACATAATCCTCGCCATTGTGCCCGTCGCCCCCTCCCCCCGCTCCCCCTCTCTAGACCCCTGTACAATGGGGCCTTTGCAGCCTCCAGAATGGAGATGAACTCACGGTTTTTCCAAGTTTAAAAATAGCCCCTCCCATCCCGCAGAAGGCCACCCTCCCTCTCTCCCATGGTGGTGTGGGGTGCACCTCCATCCCGGCTGTGCCTCCTTCCTCCTGCCCTGGGTCAGGTGCGAAGGACATGGGTGAGACAGCATCCGGCGGGAGCAGGGCTGCTTCCCCCGATTCAATCTCTTCCCCCACATCTTCCATCCACCCCCCAGTACAGTATCCGGTTTCCTGCCCCCTACCCTTTTCCACCCTGTTTTCACTCCTTCAGTATAATCTTCTCCTACTCACACCCACATTCTGGAAAAATTCTCCAACTTCCGCACCCCCTCCAAAGACCCAGGCCGGATCCTATTATCTGGCCTGGCCAGGGGGTTCCCCAGTCTCGGTAACTGCCAAGATTGTTGGGACTCCCACCCCATGTCCTCACAGCAGCTGCAAACACCTCTTTATCAGCTTCCTTCCTCGAGCTACTTCTGACCCACCCTTCTCATATCCTCACATCCTGGTCAAGGCCCCTGGATCCAGAAGGGTGGGTCAGAAGTCGCTAAGTTCCCTTTGCTGGAGCTGAGAGAGGACACTTGGGTTCCAGTCTTGCCCCTTCATGGCCTCTGGGGACAGGTCCATCCTTGTCTTTTTACCTCCAACTCCCCAGGGTTCCACTTCTCCTTACAATGAGCTGAAAGCTCCACCCATCCAGGAGACTGTGGCTGAGGAGCCCAACCAGGACCCCCACCCCACCTGGCCTCAGTTTCTCCACCTGTGGTCAGACCTATACCAGAGACACGCAGAGGGCATTATGCGCAGGAGGGTCCCCTCATGTGTGAGGGGCCCAGGTCCACCATGGGGCTGGAGGAAAGCAGCCTTCTTGCCTGCAACCCAACGAGGGAAAAAAGAAGAATTAGGACTCTGCCCCCAGGGCCTCTTCTGGCCCTGGCCTACATCTGAGCCAGGCTCTTCCAACCCAGTCCAGGTGCTGGGTCCCTGCAGGGTAGACGGCCGTGGCCTCCTCCTCCAACTCCCTTCTGCTGGCTGTCACTCCTGTCCTGCTGGAAGTCCCGCAGCCACCTTCTCTCCCCTGGGGCTGCCGGAGCACTAGCCTCTGGCCTCTAAGAAGAGCTGAGGGCTGATCCCCTTCACCTTCCGCTCCCTCCACCCTGCTCCCTGCCTCCACTCCTGCGTCCTTTCCGAGGTCCTGACCCGTCTTTAGTTTGGAATCCCAAAGTGCCCACCTCATGAAACCATCCCAAAGCTATCTGTCCCCTGAGGCTATGACCCACTTCCGAGCAGCCTAGACAGCCCCAGGCTACTGGCTTCCTTAAAGGACAGTCTTCTGTGCTTGTTTGGTGGGGCAATGCGAAGGGACGTCACCCTGGGCTCTAGGCTCTGACCTCATTTCCCTTTCACCGCAGAGACAAATCCTCCACCCCCACCTGGCTTCACTCTCCTCCAGCGGAAGAAGAATTCAGAACTGACTGTCCTTGGTGGTTAGCTGGCTTTGTTTTCAGGCCAGAGAGGCGAATGATTAGTTAATGGTGTTAAGTGAAGGAAGGGGGTTGGGCAGGGAAGCCAGCTCCATGCCCAGCCGGGCCTGCCAGGGCAAACGGCATCCTTCAGCCATTCCCACTCCAGCCCAGCAGACAAAACATTCTCATCTAGTCAGCTCTGGGCCTGGGGCCAGTCCATACATTCACTCTGGAGGGCGAGCCAGCGTCCTCCTCTTGTTCTCCCTGCAGGCTCCAGGCTCCAGGCCCCTGGCCCGGTGGGCCTGGGCTCTGCACAGCCTCTGGCTGGAGACTAATGGCATTGGAGGAGGGGTCGAGAAGGCTCTGAAAGACAAGCCTGGTGTGGTTTTCCAGTCATCTCTGCGTCATCAAAACGCCACCCCGGAGCATGCTCTCAAGTCACCTGGCCATCTCCAGGGTTTGCTGGCTCACCCTCCACCTCCCCCAGCGAGCAAAGGGGTGGCCCCGCTGGGCAACAGACCTCTACCCAAATCCAGGCCCCTATTTGGCACTCCCTGGTGGAGGCGCGCCAGCAGATGTGGACCCCTTTTCTGAGGCCAGGCTGCTGGGGTCAGAGTGAGGCAAGAGCACCTCCCCCTCCCTAGAGCCTTAGTTCAAGAGGCCAGAAGACCCAGGGAGAAGCCGGCGTTTTGGGAGAAGGGGAGCTGCAGAGCTCCCCACCCAAGCAGGTCTGATTTGATTCTTCCCTCAGCTATGGACCCACAATCAATAGGGCTGGGGAAGACATGGGGTGGGGGAAGATCAGCGCTGCCGGGATCCTTTCAATCATCAGGAACAGCAACAGGTTTGCAGGGTCAGGCTGGGGACCCTCGCCCATTAACTCTTTCTTCTCCCTGTTTCTTTCTCTTAGGTGAGGGGAAACTGAGTTCCAGGGTAGGCTCCAGAGTGAAGAGGGAAGAAACATGATTCTCAAGGCCCAGGTCTGGACAAGTGTGAACACCTTGGGCCTGCGAATTCAGCCCCCTCCTTCCTTTCTCTGGTCAAAGGCTAGACTTGCAGGAGCTTGCGTTTGAAGGGACAGCCCAGAAGGCATCGTCTGCACTCCCCATACAGGTACTTCTGGGTCTGTGGGACTGGCGCAGGGTTCTTCTCCCAAAGCTGCCAGCACTGAGGCTGAGGCAGTGTCAGGCCGGCGGCAGCGGCAGTGGTGCAATCGTTCTGGGAAGCGATAGAGGCCGGCCTGAATTCTCTGTGGCAAGGGAGGGGAGCCCAAGTGGGAGGCCCCTTGGGGACACCGAGGACCAGGTCCGCTACTGCTCCTCCCCCAGGAGGTCCCCTAGGGGCTACATTGGCTGGCAGGGGCTGAGCAGCGGTGAGCCTGGCTGGCTTCGACCCGGGGCGACTCCGGGCATCCGGGACAGCTTCTCCTCGCTGCCACCTCGGCCAGTCAGACCCCGAGACACCTGTCACTACCCCCTCAGCCTTCCCAAGCCAGGAGCCTGGGAGTCCGGCTCTGGCCTACCTCCGGCAGCGCTCCTAGGCGCAGCTCCCGGGCTGGCGGCGCCGGGGCCCGCCCCCTAGGGCTGCGGCGCGCGGGGCGGGGGCTGGGGGCTGCGCGGGGCGGGGCGGGCCCGGGCGCTCCGGGCCCCCTCCCCCGCCCCCCTGACGTCAGCCCCCGGCAGCCTCGAGCTGCTCACTTGGCTCTCGCCCTCCGGCCGGGAAGCATGGGGCTTCCCAGGCTGGTCTGCGCCTTCTTGCTCGCCGCCTGCTGCTGCTGTCCTCGCGTCGCGGGTGAGTTCGCTCGCAGGGGGGCCGCGCCCCGGCTAGGGGTCTGCGGTGGAGCGTGCCAGGGAGCAGAGCCAGCGGCGCGGCGGGGTCGGGGCGTTGCGTCTGGGAGGACGAGCCTCCTCCCTGGGTCCCCGATCCCCGGGCGCCTTGCGCGCGAGCAACTCTTCTTTGCAGCCAGTTTGCAGCCGGGATTCTAGAGTATCCCGGGAGCAGCACTCGGAAGGCGGGGAGGAGGCTGCTTCTGGGAACGAGAAGGGGTGGAGCTCAGCCTTTCGGGGTGCTGGGGGGTGGGTGGTCCCTGAGGTGCTCACTCTGGGGGCCCGCAATTGAAGCCGGGCAGGAGGCGCAGCTGGGGCGCATCCTCAAAGCCTGAATTCCGCGCCCGCCTGTTGCTGGAAAAGGCAGCTTCCTTCGCTGGAGGGGGTGCGCCGACCCACCCCTTCCCCCTTCTGCCTGGGCATCACGCCAGGCTGGAGGTGAGCGAGAGCGGGAGGTTCGGCGGCTCCCGCCCGAGCTGGGCGTTGGCAGGGGTTGCGGGGCGGTGTGGGTCGCCTCGCGCCTCCCCGAGTGATGGGATCATAGGGGACAGAGATGAGGGATGGAGGATTCCCATACTGGAAGCGCCCGCTGGCTTATTTTGGGGACCACATTCAGGTGGGAAGTGCGCCCGGGCACCTCGGAGCGTTTCTCCGGATCCGCCTGGTAGCAGGGCGCTCTCGGGTCCACGCTGCCCTTGTATGGCCCGCAGCGGTGTCGCGTGTTTCTCTTGGCTCCCATTCCGCCGTCCCAGCCGCTGTCCGGCTGGGGAAGGGGAGGGCTAGGCAATACCCAGCTCGCTGGCCTCATGCCCAGTGCCAACCATGTCCCTGGGGTATTCCAGGCTACTGCCTCCCAGGCTGACTTTATTTCTGGGGAAAGGGCTAAATCGGGCTCCACAGTTGCAGCCGGTCCAGCTCCACCCTGCCCTGCTCTTCTAGCTCTGGGAGGAGTCAGGGGTCTGAGGCTCTGGGTTGGAGACCCCACCTTCCACCTGCCCTCCTTGTCCGAGAGCCAAGGTAACAACCCAGGCATCCCAGAGCCCAGGCAGATGGTGTCGAGTGACATCACCTCCTCACAGGGCTGGCAGCACGCTGGCACCACTGACGTCACTCCTGCCCACTGCCTGGCCCTTGCCCTGACCCCTGGGGGAGACTCTGACCTCTCCATCCTTACCAGCTACCTAGGGTGGGGTCCGCGGGTGTGTGCGGAGTGTTCATGGAGGTGCTGCTGAGGGAGCATGAGACCGGAACTTCCGCCAGAGTTAGCCCGCTGGGGAGTGAGGGCAGGGATTTTGGAGGGCAGAGGATAGAGCAGTGGTGTCTTCCCCTGGCGGTGGTGACACAAAAGGGCCTGTGTGCCCCAGCCTGGCACATGCTTTGCATTCCCACACTCTGAGCTCACCCGGAGAGGAGGGGGCCTGGAAGGAAAGGGGCCTTCCTCTTGGCCCCGAGCCTAGGTTGCCCCTTTCTGCCCCTCTACCAGCCTCAGCTGGAGCTGTTCGGTGCTCAGTCTCTGCTCAATCTCTGCTTGGCTCCAAGGACCTGGGATCTCCTGGACGGGGAGAGGGCTGGCCCAGGTGGGGCGCGGGTCGGGGTGGGGGTAGAGCGTTCAGAGGACAGGGCCCTCTGCAGACCCTCTGAGTGGCAGGAAAAACAGCTGCAGCAGCGCTGCGAGGGGAGGGGCGGACAGCAGCCGGAGCTGACACAGCTGCGGGGGCCCCGCCTCCCTCCCCCAGGTGTGCCCGGAGAGGCTGAGCAGCCTGCGCCTGAGCTGGTGGAGGTGGAAGTGGGCAGCACAGCCCTTCTGAAGTGCGGCCTCTCCCAGTCCCAAGGCAACCTCAGCCATGTCGACTGGTTTTCTGTGAGTGCTTGGGCTCCTGCAAGAGCAGCCCGGGGAGGGAGACTCTGCCCCTCTTGTAGCCCAGGACCCTTCTCCTCCTCTGTGTCTCCTCCCATTAGGTCCACAAGGAGAAGCGGACGCTCATCTTCCGTGTGCGCCAGGGCCAGGGCCAGAGCGAACCTGGGGAGTACGAGCAGCGGCTCAGCCTCCAGGACAGAGGGGCTACTCTGGCCCTGACTCAAGTCACCCCCCAAGACGAGCGCATCTTCTTGTGCCAGGGCAAGCGCCCTCGGTCCCAGGAGTACCGCATCCAGCTCCGCGTCTACAGTGCGTGACCCTGTGTCTGCCAGCAGGGTAGTGAGGGTGGTGGGACGTGGCCAGATGTCCCCCTCATTTCTATTTTCTTGTAGAAGCTCCGGAGGAGCCAAACATCCAGGTCAACCCCCTGGGCATCCCTGTGAACAGTAAGGAGCCTGAGGAGGTGAGATGTGTGGCAGGTGGGCTGGGCAGCTGGTGCGCAGCCGCTGAGATGGGGCTTGAAGGGGGCTCGGAGGCAGGGAGACTCACACCCTGTGCTCTTTAGGTCGCTACCTGTGTAGGGAGGAACGGGTACCCCATTCCTCAAGTCATCTGGTACAAGAATGGCCGGCCTCTGAAGGAGGAGAAGAACCGTGAGTAGCCCTTTCTCCCAAAAGCCACCCTTGGGCCAGGTGTGGTAGCTCACACCTGTAATCTCGGTGCTTTGGGAGGCCAAGGCAGGAGGATCTCTGGAGGTGAGGAGTTCAGGACCACCTTGGACAACATAGGGTGACCCTGTCTCTACAGAAAATAAAAAAATTAGCCAGGCATGGTGGTGTGTGCCTGTGGTCCCAGATACTTGGGAGGCTGAGGCAGGAGGATCATATGAGCCCAGGAAATGAAGGCTGCAGTGAGCTAGGATTGCACCACCACACTCCGGCCTGGGTGACAGAGCGAGACCCCATCTCTTAAAAAGAGCTGTCCCTATGGTACTACACAGGAACTGCCTTATATTTTCATTAAGCTTTTAACTTAAAAAAATTATACAAATGGTACTTGAAAATATTTTCATGAGAATTTAAACTGACAAAAAATCTAGAAGTTTCTTCTTGCCTGAGACCCCCCCTCCCAGAAATAATCTCTGCTATCAGGGTGTGTTCTTTCAAGCCTATTTCTATGTATTTGCTCATATATAGAAATATTTCTAGAATGATATAGGCTTCTGTGTTTTATTATCTAAATCAGTCATTCTTAACCAGGGGTGATTTTGTACCCCCTCCTCCTAGGAGATACTTGGCAATGTCTGGAGATATTTTTGGTTGTCACACATAGAGGGGGTGCTACTGCCATCTAGTAGGTAGAGAGACCAAGGATGTTGCTAACATCCTATAGGGCACAGGACAGCCCCCACAATAAAGAATCAACGTGGCCTAAAACATCAGTAGTGCTGGCTGGGCTCACGCCTGTAATCCCAGCACTTTTGGAGGCCAAGGTGGGCGGATCACCTGAGGTCGGGAGTTCAAGACCAGCCTGTCCAACACGGAGAAACCCCATCTCTACTGAAAATACAAAAGTAGCCGGGCGTGGTGGCGCATGTCTGTAATCCCAGCTACTCAGGAGGCTGAGGCAGGAGAATCACTTGAAGCCGGGAGGGAGGTGGAGGTTGCGGTGAGCCGAGATTGTACCACTGCACTCCAGCCTGGGCAACAAGAGTGAAACTCTGTCTGAAAAAAAAAAAAAAAAAATTATCAGTAGTGCTGAGAAACCCTGGTCTAAGTGGTGGTGTATGGTATACATTGTTAGACAATTTCTTTTATACAATGTTTCTGGGTCAGTCTATTTAGATCAACTGATCGTTTTGCTTACTGCCAAGTTTTCCATACTACGCATAGCAGGTAGTCGAGTTCACCATTCCCCATTTAGTGGACATCTAGACGGCTGCTCGTTTTTATCATTGCAGCATTCTTTGCACACATCCTTGGATATGAGCAGACATGAAAATGTTTTTCTAGGGTTGACACTGAGCAGTAAAAGTGCTGGGTTGAAGGGTTTCCAGCTTGCATTTGTACCTGGCCTTCTACAGGGGACAGGGGGCTATTTAGATGGTCCCCTGCCAACCCCAGTGGACAACCCTAGGGTGGGGCTGGAGGTGGGGCTGAGGCTGAGTCTTCCTCCCCTTCCTCCCTGCCCAGGGGTCCACATTCAGTCGTCCCAGACTGTGGAGTCGAGTGGTTTGTACACCTTGCAGAGTATTCTGAAGGCACAGCTGGTTAAAGAAGACAAAGATGCCCAGTTTTACTGTGAGCTCAACTACCGGCTGCCCAGTGGGAACCACATGAAGGAGTCCAGGGAAGTCACCGTCCCTGTTTTCTGTGAGTACTAACCTGACTCTCTGCTTACTGGGGCTGGGGCTGCTGGAAACTCCTGCTGGCTCCCCCTTATCCAGCCCAGGGTTGACTCATGGGCCAAGAGCTACCCCCTTTGCCTATGCAGACCCGACAGAAAAAGTGTGGCTGGAAGTGGAGCCCGTGGGAATGCTGAAGGAAGGGGACCGCGTGGAAATCAGGTGTTTGGCTGATGGCAACCCTCCACCACACTTCAGCATCAGCAAGCAGGTGTGGGGGCTTTGTGCTGGGTGCAGGTGGGGATGCAAGCAGAGACCCAGGTGGAGTGGCGGGAGGTGCACTCTGCTCACCTCCCCAATCCTCCCTAGAACCCCAGCACCAGGGAGGCAGAGGAAGAGACAACCAACGACAACGGGGTCCTGGTGCTGGAGCCTGCCCGGAAGGAACACAGTGGGCGCTATGAATGTCAGGGCCTGGACTTGGACACCATGATATCGCTGCTGAGTGAACCACAGGAACTACTGGTGAACTGTGAGGGGCTGGGGACCCAGGACAGGGGGACCAGGCTGGGGCAATAGGGAACTGGCCCCACCCTGCCCTGGGTGACATGATTGCTGTACCCCCAGATGTGTCTGACGTCCGAGTGAGTCCCGCAGCCCCTGAGAGACAGGAAGGCAGCAGCCTCACCCTGACCTGTGAGGCAGAGAGTAGCCAGGACCTCGAGTTCCAGTGGCTGAGAGAAGAGGTACCCAGGCGGGTCTGGGGCAAGGGGCTGATGGGGTGGGTGGGGCTGGCGGTGACAAGAATGTGCTCTTTCCCAGACCCTCTGACCCATCTCTCATCCCAGACAGGCCAGGTGCTGGAAAGGGGGCCTGTGCTTCAGTTGCATGACCTGAAACGGGAGGCAGGAGGCGGCTATCGCTGCGTGGCGTCTGTGCCCAGCATACCCGGCCTGAACCGCACACAGCTGGTCAACGTGGCCATTTTTGGTGAGGCCCTCCCTCTGGGTAGAGACCAGGTCACCCCAAGTGGGGTGGTTTTTAAGCTCTTTGACAAAAAGCCACCTGCTGCCCTGGGGAGCTCTGGTGCGGAGGGGGAGGCAGGCTAGCTGGGCTTGCCACCTCACCTCTCCCTACCTCCCCAAGGCCCCCCTTGGATGGCATTCAAGGAGAGGAAGGTGTGGGTGAAAGAGAATATGGTGTTGAATCTGTCTTGTGAAGCGTCAGGGCACCCCCGGCCCACCATCTCCTGGAACGTCAACGGCACGGTGAGCGGGTGTCTCATCTGCCACACTCTCCTAATCCCTGCCTGCGCTTTGTGGCCAGGACCAGAGATCCTCCCCATCCCCTGAGCTGCCTCCTTCCTTTCCTCGCAGGCAAGTGAACAAGACCAAGATCCACAGCGAGTCCTGAGCACCCTGAATGTCCTCGTGACCCCGGAGCTGTTGGAGACAGGTGTTGAATGCACGGCCTCCAACGACCTGGGCAAAAACACCAGCATCCTCTTCCTGGAGCTGGGTGAGGGCTGCATCCCTGCAGGGGATGGCAGGGGCAGGCCCAGGCACGGGCAGTAACTTGCGCTTCTCCTAACACCCCTCCCTCTGCCTCCTAGTCAATTTAACCACCCTCACACCAGACTCCAACACAACCACTGGCCTCAGCACTTCCACTGCCAGTCCTCATACCAGAGCCAACAGCACCTCCACAGGTAAGCCAGGCCTGGCAAGAGAACAGGGCTGTGCCAGGGCATCCTTTCTGCCCTGTCCCTCCCCAGAGAGCCCTGTCCAGAAAGGTGAGTAGCAGCCCCATCTTGTCGGCCCTGGACTGGCTGGGCCAACGATGGTGACGAAGTGGCCTGGGGCAGGGAGTGACGAGGAGTGTCTTTGTGGCGCAGAGAGAAAGCTGCCGGAGCCGGAGAGCCGGGGCGTGGTCATCGTGGCTGTGATTGTGTGCATCCTGGTCCTGGCGGTGCTGGGCGCTGTCCTCTATTTCCTCTATAAGAAGGGCAAGCTGCCGTGCAGGCGCTCAGGGAAGCAGGAGATGTAAGCCCAACACCGGCCCCTCCGCCCCCGCCCGTTTTGCCACCCAGCCTGCTGCCTGCCCAGCGCCCGCCTGCCCCTTGACAGCAGGAGTGGGGCCCTGGGTCAGGGTGCTGCCTGCTCCACTACCCACTGCCCAGCTTCCATCAGCCACATGGTCTCATGACCTGCTTCCCTGCCCTGGGCTGGCCCTGGAGCAAGGAGCCCTCATCCATTCCACATCCTTCACAGCGGGCCCTTCTCTTCCTGTGGCCCTGAGATACCAACCTCTCACCTCCCTCCCTCCTCCCAGCACGCTACCCCCGTCTCGTAAGAGCGAACTTGTAGTTGAAGTTAAGTCAGATAAGCTCCCAGAAGAGATGGGCCTCCTGCAGGGCAGCAGCGGTGACAAGAGGGCTCCGGGAGACCAGGTAGGAGGCGGTTCCTGTGGCCAGAGCCTGCCACATCCTCAGGGACCGGGGGCAGTAGGGACTAACGGTTCTCTCTATCCTTCATCCCTCTTTGTCAGAGATAGGGAGCAGGCCCCATCTTGCCTTCTTAACACTACTCACAGATGGCAGGGCCAAGCAAGTGGCTGAGGGAGCTTGGAGGAAGACTGAGAAAGACCCTGTCCCATCACCTTTTCCTGACCAATGCCCGTGGCTCTGGGTGTGGCCATTTCACCAGTGCAGTCAGACGGGGGCCGCCCTCCTTCCCTGGCCTGCCATGCCCATCCTAGCTTCCTCCCCAACGCTGCCCACCAAATTCATCGGCTTCTGCTTCCATCTCTCCTTCCTCTCGGTGCTCACACCTTCAACTCAGCACCGTCTCCGTGTTCCCCTCTTCTCCTCTACCCACTTTTAGGGAGAGAAATACATCGATCTGAGGCATTAGCCCCGAATCACTTCAGCTCCCTTCCCTGCCTGGACCATTCCCAGCTCCCTGCTCACTCTTCTCTCAGCCAAAGCCTCCAAAGGGACTAGAGAGAAGCCTCCTGCTCCCCTCGCCTGCACACCCCCTTTCAGAGGGCCACTGGGTTAGGACCTGAGGACCTCACTTGGCCCTGCAAGGCCCGCTTTTCAGGGACCAGTCCACCACCATCTCCTCCACGTTGAGTGAAGCTCATCCCAAGCAAGGAGCCCCAGTCTCCCGAGCGGGTAGGAGAGTTTCTTGCAGAACGTGTTTTTTCTTTACACACATTATGGCTGTAAATACCTGGCTCCTGCCAGCAGCTGAGCTGGGTAGCCTCTCTGAGCTGGTTTCCTGCCCCAAAGGCTGGCTTCCACCATCCAGGTGCACCACTGAAGTGAGGACACACCGGAGCCAGGCGCCTGCTCATGTTGAAGTGCGCTGTTCACACCCGCTCCGGAGAGCACCCCAGCAGCATCCAGAAGCAGCTGCAGTGTTGCTGCCACCACCCTCCTGTCTGCCTCTTCAAAGTCTCCTGTGACATTTTTTCTTTGGTCAGAAGCCAGGAACTGGTGTCATTCCTTAAAAGATACGTGCCGGGGCCAGGTGTGGTGGCTCACGCCTGTAATCCCAGCACTTTGGGAGGCCGAGGCGGGCGGATCACAAAGTCAGGACGAGACCATCCTGGCTAACACGGTGAAACCCTGTCTCTACTAAAAATACAAAAAAAAATTAGCTAGGCGTAGTGGTTGGCACCTATAGTCCCAGCTACTCGGAAGGCTGAAGCAGGAGAATGGTATGAATCCAGGAGGTGGAGCTTGCAGTGAGCCGAGACCGTGCCACTGCACTCCAGCCTGGGCAACACAGCGAGACTCCGTCTCGAGGAAAAAAAAAGAAAAGATACGTGCCTGCGGTGAGGAAGCTGGGCGCTGTTTTCGAGTTCAGGTGAATTAGCCTCAATCCCCCGTGTTCACTTGGCTCCCATAGCCCTCTTGATGGATCACGTAAAACTGAAAGGCAGCGGGGAGCAGACAAAGATGAGGTCTACACTGTCCTTCATGGGGATTAAAGCTATGGTTATATTAGCACCAAACTTCTACAAACCAAGCTCAGGGCCCCAACCCTAGAAGGGCCCAAATGAGAGAATGGTACTTAGGGATGGAAAACGGGCCTGGCTAGAGCTTCGGGTGTGTGTGTCTGTCTGTGTGTATGCATACATATGTGTGTATATATGGTTTTGTCAGGTGTGTAAATTTGCAAATTGTTTCCTTTATATATGTATGTATATATATATATGAAAATATATATATATATGAAAAATAAAGCTTAATTGTCCCAGAAATCATACATTGCTTTTTATTCATCATGGGTACCACAGGAACCTGGGGGCCTGTGAAACTACAACCAAAAGGCACACAAAACCGTTTCCAGTTGGCAGCAGAGATCAGGGGTTACCTCTGCTTCTGAGCAAATGGCTCAAGTTCTACCAGAGCAGACAGTCACCCTACTTTTCAGCAGCAAAACTGCCCTGATGACGCAGCACGAAGGGCCTGGCAGGCTGTTAGCAGGAGCTATGTCCCCTTCCTATGCTTTCCTGCCACTTGGAACTGCCCTCCAGACAGCAGCTCAGGCTCACCGCCATGAGGAAGGGGGCCTTGGCATTTGGTCCTACGGCAACTCGAGTATTGCCTCCCAACCCCCTGAATGAGCAAGAACTCAAGTCTGCTACAACAAAAGAAACTTTATTTAAAAATATTTTTTTACAGACATGGGTGCTTGAAAAAGCTCTTTAGTTAACTAACTGTGTATGGAAATGAAAAAAAATTAATAAATAACATTAGTAAAACAGACTTCTAAACATTAATACACTGGCAAAATAAAATGGACTTAAAATGAAAATGAATCTTAAAGCTCTGCTATTCTCTGTAAGAATATTTACCTTCTGTTTTTCTTATTCTTTACAGGTGAGAATGATTAAATACTGCTAATATAAATTTTTTATATTAATGACACATTTTTAAAATAGTCCACGAAAATCTCACCTATGTGTTTGTTTTGTTTTCTTCTTAACACTGATATACAAATTGGGACTCTTCATTCTGGAGAAAGCATCAGGTTCTCTCCAGCACTCCCAGGCTAAGAATTTCAAAATCTTGAATAAGGAGGACTTTAAAATTTCTGTCTCCCAATTCTTTATTAGTTAAAGGCAGGGGAAAACTGAGGAAAGGGTAAAAGATAAGTAAGATGTCATTATATAGAAAAACTTTTGCTAAAGCTCACTATAGTCACATTACTGAGGACAGGCTTCTGGTCCCATGTTCCTTGCTGCCCTTCCCTGGGGAAACCAGGCCCTGCAGAGGGCACTAGCTGCTTAATGCTTTAAGTCTGAAGCCTTCAAATGAAAGGCCAGCCACATCTGATGGGGGCTGGGGGGTGGGGGCAGGAGGTCTAGACCAGTTCAGGATCCAGCAAAAAGAAAAGACAAAGCCACCAACCTCCCCTTCTCAGGAGAGTCCATCCTATACTCCTCGACACAACTAGGTAATTAATGTCATCAGAAGGCTAGGACACTTGGAATGGTCCAGAGTTTACCTGGGAATTGTGAAACATTCTGTCTTTTGCAGGAGACAAGGCATGCAACCTGATAACTAAGCTTGTGATTGGAACCAACCAAATGATCCCAGGGTACAATGCTTCTCTCCTCCACTGAAGTCTCACAGCAGGGGAAAGGGACTCCAGACACACTGCACCTGCATGTCACCTCTCCAGTCACAGAGAGCATTCTTTCCTGTCTCCTAGACACTAAGGACTAATGAAACTCAAGGTAGAGGAGCTCAGACTCTGGTATTTCCATATTAAGTCCTAAAATGCAGCCTGGGATACAGTGCTGCCTTAGAAAGGCACAAAACATTTGGCTTTTTTTTTTTTTCAGTGTGCTAAAAATTGTTTTGTTTTGAGTAAAGGAAAAAGATATATAAGGTTAAAAATCCCAAGTCACCACAGCCAGAAAACAGACGTAGGAGGTGCCTCATAGCTGCCATGCCCCTACCACATGTGTCAGCAGGAAGTCAGGCTTTTCTTTCAAGGCCAAGACACTAGAACAGTGCTGAGCAGGGTAGGTCAGGAGGCATTTACTCTCATGGGCATTGCGTTGCAGGCTCACTCACCCAGACAGCAGGAGAAACAGGCCATGGAAGACAACACGTGGTCTACAGACTCATAAGTAGTTCTCTGCCTCTCCAGTTTTAAGATGGCCATAAGCATGGCCACCCTCACCCACAAGAAGGTCAGAGGTAGGTAGAGAGGAGGGAGCTGACACACAGGCACCCAGGACACCCTGCTTCAGGGCTCAGCATGGAGGTGGCACAAGGCCTGAGGAGTTGCACATAGCACGCATTGAGCAATACTCCTCTCTGGCCTCCTGTCTGATTTAGGGGCAGAAGGAGAATGTAGGAGAGGCAATGTTGGTGGGGAGGGGGCGGGGCCTGACATTCATTTTTGGGACTGAATCAGGCAATCAGGACTCTGCTGATTTCTTCAGCTGCCAAATCAGGAGATCTGAGGTTGGCTTTTGGGCTTTGCTCTGTACAAACACAGGGAGTGGTCGGCTGCATTTTTCTCAAGCTCTGTACCCAGGAAGGGGCGGCAAGAGCACCACACAGCTTAGTCTGTCTGTCAACAGCCGGCCCTTCCACCCGTGCTCCCCACCTGACTCGCCATGGACATGCGGGGCTTGCTCTCCCCATCCCTATTTCCCCATCTCCTACTCTTTTGCTACTTTCCAGAACCAAGAAATACTGGTATTTCCCACTGGAACCAACCCAGATTTCCTGGGACACAGTGAAGGCACATGGCACTGCTGTCCCTCTGCTGCTTAACTCAGGAGCCTAGTCTACAACATCAAAGGCAAAGTCTGATGACCCACCCTTCCTCCCTTGATGGACATCTTTGGATTATTAGGTAACTTCTGTGTGTATCAAATGACTCTAGTAGTTTAAAAAACTTTTAAGTAAGGCAGTATGAAATACCTTACAACTCAGGACAGGCTCTGAGATGAGAGAAATATAAGATCAAAAGATTTAGGCAAGCAAAAGCATAGTTTTAAAAAAAAACAGAAAAGGAAAGCTTTTATATAGGACTAAAATGAAAGCAATTGCCAGAGAAGACACAGGTATACTGTCTAAAGAGCTCTCGGTAAAAACTCTATCCTAAACTGGAATCTATATTTAATTTCTATCCTGGCAACTGCTCCAATATTATATATTCTTACTGGCTCTGGCAAAGTAGTTTCTGAGGTGCCTAGGAAGGCTTGCCTGAGAACATTACTGCAGAGCGGCCCTCACACAGGAAGGAGCGAGAGGGTGAGGAGGAGAGTGGAGGAGACAGGCCACAAGCCCAGAGAATGAACATTTTCAAGCACTCAAACCTGAAGAGGACCCAGAAGTCCATGGATAGTGGCTACAGTGGAACCCGTTATTAGATTCTGCTCTCTAAATAAACACGGAAGAAGGCAAAAGACCTGAGGCTGAATGGAGGCTAAGGAAGGCTACCCAGGAACAGGCTAGCTCTGGAACAGGACAGGCTGGCCCACAAGAGGGAGGGAAGAAATCTTGGATGCGAAGACTGACAAAGGGAAGAAAAACAGGAAATAAAGAAGACAATGACCAGAATTAAGTTAAACCTAAGAATTTCTATGATGTCCCAGACAAACTCCTGTGCCTTCCTGTCCACTAAGCAAAAAGGCAGGAGTAGTGGCTTTACTTCTTGAGTAGAAGCCTTTTTAGGGTGTCTGTGGAGTCTCTGCTCACTTCTCTGAGAAGCTCCCTGTCTCCAGCTGAAGGAGCCTGCCACATCTCTGCTCTCCCTGGCAAGGCCAACTGCTCAGAGATAGATACTTGATCAATGTGCTGGGCTGAGTGTAGTTTTTTTTAAGAATACGAAGTATGGGCCGGGCGCGGTGGCTCACGCCTGTAATCTTAGCACTTTGGGAGGCCGAGGTGGGTGGATCATGAGGGTCAGGAGTTCAAGACCAGCCTAGCCAAGACGGTGAAACCCTGTCTCTACTAAAAATATGAACATTAGCTGGGCATGGTGGCAGGCGCCTGTAATCCCAGCTACTCGGGAGGTTGAGGCAGAGAACTGCTTGAACCTGGGAGGCAGAGGTTGTGGTGAGTTGAGACTGCACCACTGCACTCCAGCCTGGGCGACACAGCGAGACTCCATCTCAAAAAAAAAAAAAATTAAGTATGGGAAATTGAGAATTTGTTCATGGTGATCCCCAGAGTTGGAAGGTGGTGTAGACTTGAGGACTAGAGTGCCTATTTGGGGGCCACATATACCATAAGCAGACTGTGAAGCGGGAGAAAGGACTAGGTGCAAAGCTCTGCAGTTCCAGCTCCACCCAAGAACCAAAGGCACTTCCCGTCCTGGGTTCTGCGAAATACCCTGCATCCTTACCACAACTCCACTCCCTCCTTTATTCCGCTTGAACATTTCTGTTTCTTGGATCCAAAGAATCCCTAAGCAGTCAAAAATATAACCTTGACCGTCCTTCACTATCCACCACCCTCTAGGCATTAAGCCGTTCTATGTATTTCCAACAAAACACTGCTCATGGAGACTGAGTTCAAAGGAGTGATAGTAATAGTTTATGCTGAGTTACAGTATTTTAGATTGAGCTTCTAAAGCTCTAAGGTCTGGTAGAATGATGTGTGGACACTAAGCTTTAGAATCCCTAAACTCCTTGCTCTGGGAGGGAGGTAAAGGCTGACAATTAGGGGACTGATGGAGTTCAATCTGTATTAATGTCTGGCTCTTGGAAGACCCAACAACTGACTAAAGGATCTTTGGGTCCTGAGACCCGAAGACAGGGCCCACACCTCCAGCCCTTCTAAAACATAGTTAGCCACAACGGTTGTTGAAAGACTGGAAAACCAATTCCAAATAGTACAGGACATGGTGACAGGTCCCATAAGGGTGATACGAAAATCCTCCCAACAAGGGGGATTAGGGACGTAGCAGCTCAGGAAAAAGTTCAAGGAAGGCACTAGATTGGAAAGGGGAGTGTGGGCAGATGCTTTGCTTAAACATTTAATGCCCTACTGTGCAACTCTGAGCCAACTTACCTTTCAACTCACCAAACAGATTCTAATTATGTTGGAACAAATTCCAACATAAAAACAGTCGGTATCCATGACACTTACACCAAGGAATCTCCCAGGCATTATCAAAGCTACAGGAGACAACAGGGGATAATGGGAGAATCTTGGCCTGTTATTAACCAGGATAGCTCTATGAGGAAAGGTAAGTCTACATGGAAGAGCTGTGAATAAAAATTGCACAATCTTACTGGGAAGAGCTATTTTAAGGTCAAACGCAGAGGCTATGACAGTCCAAGTACAATCCCCCAAACATTAGTAAACTACTATGTGGCGCCAAGGGAAGGACACATACCTGACATTTCTGGCACATGGTCATCACTCATAAACATTTGCTGGATGAACAAACAAACTGTTAGAGCCAGACCAATAGTCAGAAAACTATTTTTCAATGAACAGTGGTCATTCCAGAGTCAGAAAGGCCAACGGCAAGAAGAGGGACTTATAGTTTGAGAAGGTCTATAATCTTCTGACTTTAATGACGTGAGGTAGGAGAATATTCTGCTTTATCACCATTGCTGAACACCTACAAAAAGAACTAGATCTTAAAGGGAATATATAGATGGTCCCTAGTTTTTACAAGGAAATTTTGTTATAAAAATTTGTGAGTTGACTGTTTGGGACCATAAACACATTTTACTTTTCTATAGAGAAAACACATATTTTAAGAGTGATGAACAGTGACCCCCACCTCCCTTAACCAGAAATCTTTTAAATCTACAAAATAGTTAAATAATACTAACAGTAGTATCCCACATCTTGGGCCCCAGTAATGAGGGTCTGTATAAGAAGAGAAAGAGAGGAGAAGAATGGTAGATTATGCAGAATGGGGCTGGGGGGAGACGAGCAAGTGGAAGAGAACGGCCACCCACAGGTAGAGAGCACTATTCACAAAAATATTAACAGGTAAATGCTGAGATGAGAAGCTGCCTGGTCTATTACTTAACTAAAGGGAGGTATATGAAGAGCCCACAGGTTTTTCCATTTTAAGAACCCTCTACTTTAGTGGAAGGAACATGGCGACAGCTGGAAAGGTCCAGTTGCTGCTCTGCAGCAACCCCGCAACAAGGCAGCTTGGAAAGCAATCCGTGAAGACCCAGGGAAAGCATGAGACTGGCTGAATACAACAGCCCAATGAATATGAGAAAAAGAGAACAAAGTAGTGTGGGTTTTTTTACTTTATTAGCCACTAGGAAGGGACAAGCGGAAGGGCTTGCCCAAAATGGCAAAACTCGAAGTCTGTTCATAAAAGGCAGTTTTAATTAAATTCAGAGCAAAGCCAAAGACTTTTAAATTGCCATACAAATGGAGGGTGAAGAATGGGTTACTGGTGCCTTAGTCAACAGAAAATATAAGAAATTAAGGTTTTGAGAATAACCTCAAAACAAAAGCCACATGAAAACTTTCCTTAATCTTGCCTGGCAATCTCAGGCACAGACCCAGGTGTGTCCTCACAGCACCCAGTCAAAGGAAAGATCCTCATGAAATGATCCAAAACCTTGAATGCTGGCAGATACCTGTGACAAACTGACACCCAAGCCCATGGATGGCACACACACACAACACAGGGAGCTGGAGCCTCAGTTTCACGCTGATTCAAAGAGCCACACAGGACTCAAAAAAGGAAAAGTCGAGACTGCCCTTAACCTACACAGTAGGGAGATAATCTCCAGAGAAGATTTAGATGCATGGAAAAGGCAAAAGATATATAGCCAATGCTTTGTCTTCCAAAGAGATCTTTAGACTACAGGCAATATCTGCAGATAAAGAAAAATTACAATATGGATGGGCCTGGAAACTGCTTTTTTTTTTCTAGTTCTTTGTCTAGGCCTTCAATATTTAAACAAAATGCAAAACTGAACGTTACCTCAAAATGAAACAGTGTGTGTACTGGCTGTTAGAAGTTGATGGCGGTCTACTGTTTGATATTCACTGCCATCTTCCTCTGCCCCACTCTACCTCAACTCGGGACCGCCTCACCTAATGGTGGGCTTTGCCGCTTTATGCCATGTAGAGAAGACACTGGGTAACCACAGCAAATCAACACGAGATCCTGTACTGCCTACTCTGGGAATATAAATGGCTCTGAGGCCAGGGGATAAAACCAAAAGATCTAGGAGTAGCTGAATGCCAAGAGACGAGTTAGAACAAGTTTTAGTTCCAAAGATGATTAGACTGGAAAGAAAACTGATCCAAGGAGGGTCATTTCTGTGTAGATCTAAAGACAAAAGCATGATTTAGATTTTCAGGAAGACAGATTTATCAAAGAGCAGGCTTGCTTCTGACATGGAGAAAGCTTACACACTGCTAAGAAAGTGAGCTAAACACTCTGGACAGAATACTAACTGAACTCGAGGGATCATTTATCAGCATATAAAAGAACTGACTAATAGTTCTCCCAACTGGACCCTCAATTCTCTTTATGAACTTGCAATTACACAAACTGCCAGCCCATACTGTCTTTGACTACAGTAATTTATTCACTGAATGATGTCTAATTACCGTGAAGAACACAGTAATTACAGAGAGTATTTAGGACCTCAGGTGAAGAGGAAAAGGGAAGGAAAGGAGGAAAGAGATGTTACATTCCCAAAGCCACAGGCACAAGAAAAGAACCACATCATCGGGAGGCAGCAATGCAGGGAAGGTGCCATCAGCAAGAGGCTGGGCCACCGTGGACATTATCCCCACTCCTTAAAGGGCAAAGGAAAAAACCACTGCTGAAAATATAACCTAATATTCCTCATGTTCAAATGAAGACACCCATATAAGCTGAAATTAATTCACTGGGAAGAAAAACTGAACAGATAAATCCTTACTGTCTATTTTGTGCATTTAAATAGCATGTGAACGAAGCTTCCTAAAAGCTTTCCGGTATTCTGGCCAGAAAGTCATCCTGGAAACAAATGTTCTTCCCTTCCCATTAAGTAGAAAGACTCATGACCTACATCAGAACACATACCTGGCACCAAGGCAACTGACTCCCACAGACTATTTTCTGGGGAGGGCATGGAATGTATTTAAAGGCCTCTATCTCAAATCGGTCATTATGTAATTAGGATAATCAAAACATCTTAATAGCTTCAATGTTCCTATAGAAACAGTGCTTTGGAGTGACCAGTGTTAGCTGCTAGTATCAAACATGCCTATAATAGTGTAGCAACAGTACTTTTCCTCCCACTTATCTACCAAACAAACCAATACCATCACACACAATAAAGAACATCCCATAAGCTGCTTGGCCTCAGTAAGGCTGGCCATAGCAAGCCCATGGCCCATGACAGAACACCAAGAAGGATGAGGAAGGAGTTGATGGGGAAAGAACAGACAGAAGGTGTTCTAAAAATAGAAGACTTTAGCTATGCACATGGTAATATAAGCCAAAGGGGAGTGTTGAAGTTGTAATACACACTAGGCTTGGGTATAATACCACAGTAGATGGAAGTCTTTAAAAAAAGATTCCTTCCTAAACCTTTTGTGCTAATTCCCTGCCTGGAATTAACACACACAGCAGGTTAATCTTATAATCACAAGGACACATACAACCACAGGCAGACACACACACACACGGCCACATCCTTAACCCAGGAAGTCTTAAGTCCTCAATTAGGATTTCCAGCAAAATACTTGTTCTATAGCTTTCTGGACTGTTCCCCAGGTAGGTTATCATGTAATATAATCCACACTCTCTCTACGTGGGAACTGAAGGACACCTTCAAATGCACTCAAGACCCATAAAATAATAAAACATACTAGCTGCTCCATTTTCATTTCACCACTTTGAAATCTTGGAACCACTGATGTGATATCCCACAGAGAGGGCAAGACTTCACTGTGAAGTCACCAAAGGAACTCCTGCCCTTCTAGGTGCCACTTGAGTAATAACTCCCAACTCACTGGTCCTCTAAACCTGCAGCAGGGAGATGGTGTGCTAGGTAGCTACATGGGCAGGAGAAGAAATGGAAACAAATTCCCGGAGGATGTTTTTGGCCATCTCGATGTTGTTCTGGGCAATGACCAAAGCTTTCTGGATGTCCTGGTAGGAGTACCCCTGACTCATGAGGTTCTCGATCTCACTGGAGAGCTGAGGTGAGGCGGTGGCAGCAGAGGCGGCAGGACCACTACCTTGCTGACAGCTGCCAGCTTTCCGTTCAGAGTTGATTCTCCGCGGGAATGGTTTTGGAGGCCTCTCGGGAACTTGGGAACCTTCAGTGACATCTAGAAGAAATAGGAAAGAAAATATTTGCAAATCTGGGGAAATCCTCATTTAACAACAGCAATAAAAATGTGCTAATATCAAGATATTACTGACTTCCTGTAAACTGGGTACATGTGCTCTTCAGTCACAAGGCTGGGTTTTACAGGTTCAAGGGTTTTAAGATATAGCCTCCTCATCACAATAAAAACAACCTTCTAAATATACCATGCACCTGTCCTATGAACAATAACCACTGCAATCATAAACATCTGCATCATGCTTTACACTAAGCAACATGTTTGTGCACATGTAATTGTCTGTTTTAATTCTGAGGGGACCAAAGATACTAAACTTCGCCTTCTACAAATAAGGAAAAAGACAGATATAAGTTGCAATGAAGAAGCATTAGCCAAGGCTGAGTGGGGGACATTGCTCGTCTGGGCAAGCGAAGGCTGTATTCTTTTTCACCAGCTGTCTGTCCTGAAGGCTGTCTTCAATTCCAAAGTGACAGCAACTCTGGCTGCTGCCCTACCAGGCAGCCACAGGTGCAAGAAGAGCAGCCTCCAGTAGTCAAGGCCCAACATGGGCTGGCTCCAGGCCCATTCAGTGTGTGTTCCAGAGCTAGCATGCCTTCTTTCCAATGGAACAGAGCCCAGGAAAAAGGAATGTGTGCTCTGAGCCATCAAGCCTAATTACCAGTGTCATAAGGCATACTCAGAGAAACTATAAATCCTACCTACCCCTAACATAAGAAGAGCCAGAGTTTAAGGAATGACCTCTTTTCTAAGTCTGCAAAAATCCTAAAGAGTCTGACTACAGTCTAACTTCCTAACTTGGGACTTTCCTCCCATTTAGACATAATGTTTAGCCTACATACTGACTTACTGTCACCAGAGAAGGTCATCTCCCTTTCAATATAAACATACAGGCCACACTGCCATTCAGGACAAACCCAAAGTAGTCTGGAGACTCACTTGTTGTAGGATCACCATCCAGAGACAACCAGCCAAAGGAGGAGCTGGCATTAGAGATATCTGAGAGAGTTCGGCGGGCCAGCACGGCCGGCACAGGTGGCTTTGGGACATCATACCCATCATCCTCATTTTCTGACTCCTCGGGACCAGTGTTGGCATGGGCTGCGGCCAAATTCCCTTCACCTGGAGAAAAATGAGTGATGTTATCTTCTTCTGACGCACTTCATCTTCTAATACATTTCAATACGGGGCAGCCATTCATTTTTACATGTATGCAATCATTTATCTCATTCAACAGTTACTGATTGTCTACTGTGGGCCAAACACCATGTAAACAGAGATAAAAATAGAAAATAAAATCTGCACCAACACTGCAGCTTTCATTTTTGAACATGCCAAAGGTTATTCTTGACAAGGTTAATAGCCACCGATGCCAATGACTCCAGTGTCATCTCAGATCATTCAATAAACATTTCTATCCACATTCCACCTTGGAAGATCAGCAAAGGATCCTGTGAGAGCAGGCTTCTTGAACTTTCAATCTGGTAGGCTAGTTAACATGGGAATTGAGTGTTCACCACCCCCACATAAAAGAATTTCATCAATGCAATGAGAAAAAAAAGGAGCTTACAGGTCCAGAGTATAGAACACAAATGTCTCTAGGCCCTGGAAGGACAAAGAAAAGCACAAAAGGAACCAGCAGTGTGAGTAGGAAATAAAGGATTGGGGATACTTTACTGCCCATGTCAAAGATATTTTGCCAAAGATTACTGAAAATAATTTTCAGCTTTGTCTGGGCGTGGTGGCTCACGCCTGTAATCTCAGCACTTTGGGAGGGGTGGATCACCTGAGGTCAGGAGTTCAAGGCCAGCCTGGCCAACATAGTGAAACCCCGTCTCTACTAAAAATACAAAAATTAGCCGGGCATGGTGGCACGTACCTGTAGTCCCAGCTACAGAAGAATTTTGAGCTTAGATCAAGCTATCTCAATTGCCAAATATTACATGTTCATTCCTATGACATATCAATGATTTTTAAAGTAGCAGAATGGCAACTTACCAAAGGTGCTGCTCTCGGTGATAGATGGCGCCTGGGACTGAATATTATACATTGCTTCATACGTACAGCTATCAATCTGCTGGTCGCAATCACATGCTCTGAACCAGAAGGAAAGTGCCATAATGATCTTTGGAAATAGAACTGTTATCTATAAACTTATGAAGATTCATCTTCTCGTTTTGCCAATATCACTAATAAATGTTAAAGTTGACTCTTGTGGCAAGTTATAGGTGTATGTGTTTTTGAGGTTCTCATGTTGCTGAGAAAACATAAGTGTAATTACCTACAGCTACAAAAGGCTTAAACCATTAAGGGCTAGATTTATCTTTATCTTTCTGCTTTAATCTGACTGGATAACAGTATGTGCAGGTAGCAAGCCAAGCAGGTGAAGGGTGTCAATTACCCACATAAAGGTATAGGGCCCAAAAAGGGTTGTTGTGAACCTACCGTGAACTCTGGGATGTATCCAAAGGCCGTAGAGGCCTGGAAGAGGGAGTCATGTACTCTGTGTCCTCTTCACCCTCACATTGCTCCCCAGGTGGCAGTTTTGGCACAGGAAGAGGTCTGGAAGATGAAGAATAAAAAATAGAAAAAGAAGTAACAAACCAGTAAACTTTGAAGTATAAAATAAATGGCTTAAAAACAGACATAACTCAAATTGAACAGAGCAAAATACATGTCACCTAGGGAACTATTATTTCTGCTGACCAAGACAAGTAATTAGCAAAAGTACACTAACTAAAAATGTCACTTTCAACTGACCAAAGGTGCAGCTTTTATGCTTCAGAGGTGATATACTGGGCTAATCACCTGAGATACTGGTTAGTCCTAATCCCCCACAGAAGTTTCATTATAGAGTCCCAGGCCCTAGAGTTAGAGAAACGGCAAGATTTTTTCTGACAATGTTAGAACTGTAAACTAAATTCCAATTCTAAACTCTACCTATGGTTTCAAGGAATGCATAGCTTGTCAAAAGCTTTCTCAAACTCCTTGTTTTATATAAGAAAAATTTAAAATAGAGAGAGATAAAGCGACCGCAGTTAGCGTAAATTCTGAGGCTAGATCCCAGATCTACTGACTCCCACATCAAGGATCTGGCTGTTATATCCACATGTAACTTTCACCCAGAAACTTTGGAAACAAGACTTCTGCCACCGCATGAAATGAAATGAAAAAACTCCCAAGAAATACAAAAACACCCCACTAAATTGTAGGGGGGAAAAAAAGACACACAAAAACCTACTTCTTGGAGTGTGAATTTGTGTTTCTCCTCCCTTCCTATTATTTTTGCATATCCTAAAGATGCTACAAGGAGCATCTCTTTCGTTTGTCTGCTTGATGCTTAGTTTTCCTAATTATAAAAGCAACACATTTATAATACACACATAAGTGCTATAGAAACTTAACACAGAACATAGAAGTCCCCTTTAATCTCACTTGAGGTTTTTTCTTATATCTACATATTACTTTTATTAGGTTGGTGCAAAAGTAATTGTGTTTTTTGCCGTTAATGGGAAATATCCACTTAAGATTTGTGCAATGCATGCTGAAGTTCTGAGGCAGAAGTGTATTGGTATCTACAATTTACTTTGAAAACATCAAAAGACAGACATATAGTCTGATAAAACAAGTATAATAAAATGCTAAAAGTAGAATCCAGGTGATCAGTATATGGGTGTTCACTGTAAAATTCTTTCACCTTTACTATCTTTGTAACTTTTCACAATAAAATGAGATGGCGGGAGGACAGTCCATATTCAGAAAGAAACACCTAGATTTTTCGCTGGAGCACAGTGGCATGATGACAACCCACTGCAGCCTTGATCTCCCGGGCTCAAGTGATCCTCCCAACTCAGCCTCCTCAGTAGGTGGGACTAGACATGTGCCACAATACCAGGCTAATTAAAAAAAATTTTTTTTTTTGTAGAGACAGAGTCTCACTATGTTGCCCAGGCTGGTCTTAAACTCTTGGGTTCAAGTGATCCTCCCGCCCCAGCCTCCCAAAATGCTAGGATTACAGGCCTGAGTCACCCCACCCATCCCTAGTTTGTTCTTAATGTGGTATTTGGCCACACGGTGTCAGTGAAGGTGTAGGGAAATGAATGGGTACTTTGTTACAGAGCTGTAGAAATAAGGAATTGATACGTTTCTGTTGTGTAATTCAACAAAAGTATTTACCAAACATGCATACTCTTGGTCTCAGAAATTCCATTTCTGAGAATTTTCCCTAAGGAAACCATCAAGAACATTCACTGCAGCATTATTTATAATGCTGGAAAATTAGGCAATAACTTCAATACCAAATAATAATGTACTGAATAAATACTGAACCACACAACTGTGTCCCCAAGTGCCTTAGAGGTTCCAAGCCGGAGCCACGGAAGCCTACTGCTGCTTCTACTACAATAGATCTGTTCTTATCTATTTTACAAACTGAGATTCCACTTTAGTTACACTGATGTATAATCGTGAAATAATTTGAAAATCATTGCAACAGAATATGTAATAACATGCAAAGATGTTCAAGATATTTTTAGTGAAAACCAGCAATGACAATATGATTTCATACAAGGAAGAATGGCAATGAACATGTATCAAATTGCTAACTATTGTCTGATAGGATTACAGGTAACATTTATTTCTTCAGTGTTGCTTACCTATATTTCCTTTTCCTTTTTTTTTTTTCCTTTTTGAGACGGAGTCTCACTGTGGCACCAGGCTGGAGTGCAGCGGCGTGATCTAGGCTCACTGCAACCTCTGCCTTCCAGGTTCAAGCGATTCTCCTGCCTCAGCCTACCGAGCAGCTGGGACCACAAGCACATGCCACCACACCCAGCTAATTTTTGTATTTTTAGTAGAGACGGGGTTTCACCATATTGGCCAGGATGGTCTCGATCTTGACCTCATGATCTGCCAGCCCTGGCCTCCCAAAGTGCTGGGATTACAGGCGTGAGCCACCGCACCCAGCCTGCTTACCTATATTTTCTAAATTTTAGTTAACATGTATTATTTTTGTAAAAAGGGCCATTAAAAAGGCAATAATTTTTTTTTTTTTTGGAGACGGAGACTCAGTCGTCCAGGCTGGAGTGCAATGGCGTGATCTTGGCTCACTGCAACCTCCACTTCCCAGATTCAAGCATTTCTCCTGCCCCAGCCTCCCAAGTAGCTGGGAGTACAGGCACCCGCCACCACACCCAGCTAATTTTTGTGTTTTTAGTAGACACAGGGTTTCACCATGTTGCCCAGGCTGGTCTCGATATCCGGACCTCAAGTGGTCCACCCACCTTGGCCTCCCAAAGTGCTGGGATTACAGGCGTGAGCCACCGTGCCTAACTTTTAAAAATTTTAATTATAATTCTCTGTTAATAAAGTCCATAAAATACATAATTGAACCTCCTTCTCACAAAGCATGTTGGCAATATATGCTTTAAAAGAAAGAAGACACTGGAGAGCAACCAGGCAGCCACGACTTAACAGGCTAAGATTCAAGAAAGAATACATTAGAGTAAGCCCTGTATTAGGGGTTTTGAACTAGGCGTTTAAAGTAGTCTCAATGGGCTGGTGAGAATGCTACGATTTAAATATGTCCCCCAGTTTCACATGTTGGAAACTTAGTTACCACCTTCATATGCTGATGCCTGGTTACAAGGCAGCAGGAAGGCCCTCACCATGCCAGCGCCATGCTTTTCAACATTCCAGCTTCCAAAAGCGTGGGCTAAATAAACTTCTTTTCTTTATAGATTACTTAATCTCAGGTATTCTGTTATGACAACAGAAAACAGACTAAGAAGAGACAGGAATTTTGGGGTATAATGACAGCCAAGGTATAAGGGACCAAAAAATAC